>NC_000005.10:48939316-49265342 GCF_000001405.40 Homo sapiens
GACAGAATCATTCCCACAAACTGCGTTGTGATGTGTTCGTTCAACTCACAGAGTTTAACCTTTCTGTTCATAGAGCAGTTAGGAAACACTCTGTTTGTAAAGTCTGTAAGTGGATATTCTGACATCTTGTGCCCTTCGTTGGAAACGGGATTTCTTCCTATTCTGGTAGACAGAAGAATTCTCAGTAACTTCCTTGTGTTGTGTGCATTCAACTCACAGAGTTGAACGATCCTGTACACAGAGCAGACTTGAAACACTCTTTTTGTGGAATTTGCAAGTGGAGATTTCAGCCGCTTTGAGGTCAATGGTAGAAAAGGGAATATCTTCGTATAGAAACTAGACAGAATGATTCTCAGAAACTTCTTGGTGATGTGTGCGTTCAACTCACAGAGTTTAACCTTTCTTTTCATAGAGCAGTTAGGAAACACTCTGTTTGTAAACTCTGCAAGTGGATATTCAGACCTGTTTGAGGCCTTCGTTGGAAACGGGATTTCTTCATACTATGCTAGACAGAAAAATTCCCAGTAACTTCCTTGTGTTGTGTGTGTTCAACTCACAGAGTTGAACTTTCATTTACACAGAGCAGATTTGAAACACTCTTTTTGTGGAATTTGCAAGTGGAGATTTCAAGCGCTTTGAGGCCAAAGGCAGAAAAGGAAATATCTTCGTTTCAAAACTAGACAGAATCATTCTCAGAAACTGCTCTGCGATGTGTGCGTTCAACTCTCAGAGTTTAACTTTTCTTTTCATTCAGCAGTTTGGAAACACTCTGTTTGTAAAGTCTGCACGTGGATATTTTGACCACTTAGAGGCCTTCGTTGCAAACGGGTTTTTTTCCTGTAAGGCTAGACAGAAGAATTCCCAGTAACTTCCTTGTGTTGTGTGCATTCAACTCACAGAGTTGAACGTTCCCTTAGACAGAGCAGATTTGAAACACTCTATTTGTGCAATTTGAAAGTGTAGATTTCAAGCGCTTTAAGGTCAACGGCAGAAAAGGAAATATCTTCGTTTCAAAACTAGACAGAATCATTCCCACAAACTGCGTTGTGATGTGTTCGTTTAACTCACGGAGTTTAACCTTTCTGTTCATAGAGCAGTTAGGAAACACTCTGTTTGTAAATTCTGCAAGTGGATATTCAGACCTCTTTGAGGCCTTCGTTGGAAACGGGATTTCTTCATATTATGCTAGACAGAAGAATTCTCAGTAACTTCCTTGTGTTGTGTGTATTCAACTCACAGAGTTGAATGATCCTTTACACAGAACAGTCTTGAAACACTCTTTTTGTGGAATTTGCAAGTGGAGATTTCAGCCGCTTTGAGGTCTATGGTAGAATAGGAAATATCTTCCTATAGAAACTAGACAGAATGATTCTCAGAAACTCCTTTGTGATGTGTGCGTTCAACTCACAGAGTTTAACCTTTCTTTTCATAGAGCAGTTAGGAAACACTCTGTTTGTAAAGTCTACAAGTGGATATTCAGACATCTTTGAGGCTTTCGTTGGAAACGGGATTTCTTCATATTCTGCTAGACAGAAGAATTCTCAGTAACTTCTTGTGTTGTGTGTATTCAACTGACAGAGTTGAACTTTCATTTAGACAGATCAGATTTGAAACACTGTTTTCGTGGAATTTGCAAGTGGAGGTTTCAAGCGCTTTGAAGCCAAAGGCAGAAAAGGAAATATCTTCCTATAAAAACCAGACAGAAACATTCTCAAAAACTGCTCTGTGATGTGTGCGTTCAACTCTCAGAGTTTAATTTTCTTTTCATTCAGCAGTTTGTAAACACTCTGTTTGTAAAGTCTGCACGTGGATATTTTGACCACTTAGAGGCCTTCGTTGGAAACGAGTTTTTTTCATGTAAGGCTAGACAGAAGAATTCCCAGTAACTTCCTTGTGTTGTGTTCATTCAACTCACAGAGTTGAACGTTCCCTTAGACAGAGTAGATTTGAAACACTCTTTTTGTGCAATTGGCAAGTGGAGATTTCAAGCGCTTTAAGGTCAATGGCAGAAAAGGAAATATCTTCGTTTCAAAACTAGACAGAATGATTCTCAGAAACTTCATTGTGACGTGTGCGTTCAACTCACAGAGTTTAACCTTTCTTTTCATAGAGCAGTTAGGAAACAGTCTGTTTGTCAATTCTGTAAGTGGATATTCTGACATCTTCTGGCCTTCGTTGGAAACGGGATTTCTTCATATTCTGCTAGACAGAAGAATTCTCAGAAACTTCCTTGTGTTGTGTGTTTTCAACTCACAGAGTTGAACGATCCTTTACACAGAGCAGACTTGAAACACTCCTTTTGTGGAATTTGCAAGTGGAGATTTCAGCCGCTTTGAGGTCAATGGTAGAATAGGAAATATCTTCCTATAAAAACTAGACAGAATGATTCTCAGAAACTTCATTGTGATGTGTGCGTTCAACTCACAGACTTTAACCTTTCTTTTCATAGAGCAGTTAGGAAACACTCTGTTTGTAAAGTCTGCAAGTGGATATTCAGACCTCTTTGAGGCCTTCGTTGGAAACTGGTTTTTTTCATGTAAGGCTAGACAGAAGAATTCCCAGTAACTTCCTTGTGTTGTGTGTGTTCAACTCACAGAGTTGAACTTTCATTTACACAGAGCAGATTTGAAACACTCTTTTTGTGGAATTTGCAAATGGAGATTTCAAGCGCTTTGAGGCCAAAGGCAGAAAAGGAAACATCTTCGTATAAAAACTACACAGAATCATTCTCAGAAACTGCTCTGCGATGTGTGCGTTCAACTCTCAGAGTTTAACTTTGCTTTTCATTCAGCAGTTTGGAAACACTCTGTTTGTAAAGTCTGCACGTGGATAATTTGACCACTTAGAGGCCTTCGTTGGAAACGGGTTTTTTTCATGTAAGGCTAGACAGAAGAATTCCCAGTAACTTCATTGTGTTGTGTGCATTCAACTCACAGAGTTGAACGTTCCCTTAGACAGAGCAGATTTGAAACACTCTATTTGTGCAATTTGCAAGTGTAGATTTCAAGCGCTTTATGGTCAACGGCAGAAAAGGAAATATCTTCGTTTCAAAACTAGACAGAATCATTCCCACAAACTGCGTAGTGATGTGTTCGTTCAACTCACAGAGTTTAACCTTTCTGTTCATAGAGCAGTTAGGAAACACTCTGTTTGTAAAGTCTGTAAGTGGATATTCTGACATCTTGTGGCCTTCGTTGGAAACGGGATTTCTTCATATTCTGCTAGACAGAAGAATTCTCAGAAACTTCCTTGTGTTGTGTGTATTCAACTCACAGAGTTGAACGATCCTTTACAGAGAGCAGACTTGAAACACTCTTTTTGTGGAATTTGCAAGTGGAGATTTCAGCCGCTTTGAGGTCAAAGGTAGAATAGGAAATATCTTCCTACAGAAACTAGACAGAATGATTCTCAGAAACTCCTTTGTGATGTGTGCGTTCAACTCACAGAGTTTACCCTTTCTTTTCATAGAGCAGTTAGGAAACACTCTGTTTGTAAAGTCTGCAAGTGGATATTCAGACGTCCTTGAGGCTTTCGTTGGAAACGGGATTTCTTCATATTCTGCTAGAAAGAAGAATTCCCAGTAACTTCCTTGTGATGTGTGTGTTCAACTCACAGAGTTGAACTTTCATTTACACAGAGCAGATTTGAAACACTCTTTTTGTGGAATTTGCAAGTGGAGATTTCAAGCGCTTTGAGGCCAAAGGCAGAAAAGGAAATATCTTCGTATAAAAACTACACAGAAATCATTCTCAGTAAACTGCTGCGTGATGTGTGCGTTCAACTCTCAGAGTTTAACTTTTCTTTTCATTCAGCAGTTTGGAAACACTCTGTTTGTAAAGTCTGCACGTGGAAATTTTGACCACTTAGAGGCCTTCGTTGGAAACGGGTTTTTTTCATGTAAGGCTAGACAGAAGAATTCCCAGTAACTTCCTTGTGTTGTGTACATTCAACTCACAGAGTTGAACGTTCCCTTAGACAGAGCAGATTTGAAACACTCTTTTTGTGCAATTGGCAAGTGGTGATTTCAGCCGCTTTGAGGTCAATGGTATAAAAGGAAATATCTTCGTATTAAAACTAGACAGAATCATTCTCAGAAACTGCTCTGCGATGTGTGCGTTCAACTCTCACAGTTTAACTTTTCTTTTCATTCAGCAGTTTGGAAACACTCTGTTTGTAAAGTCTGCACGTGGATAATTTGACCACTTAGAGGCCTTCGTTGGAAACGGGTTTTTTTCATGTAAGGCTGGACAGAAGAATTCTCAGTAACTTCCTTTTGTTGTGTGTATTCAACTCACAGAGTTGAACGATCCTTTACACAGAGCAGACTTGTAACACTCTTTTTGTGGAATTTGCAAGTGGAGATTTCAGCCGCTTTGAAGTCAAAGGTAGAAAAGGAAATATCTTCCTATAAAAACTAGACAGAATGATTCTCAGAAACTTCTTTGTGATGTGTACGTTCAACTCACAGAGTTTAACCTTTCTTTTCATAGAGCAGTTAGGAAACACTCTGTTTGTAAACTCTGCAAGTGGATATTCAGACCTCTTTGAGGCCTTCGTTGGAAACGGGATTTCTTCATACTATGCTAGACAGAAGAATTCTCAGTAACTTCCTTGTGTTGTGTGTATTCAACTCACAGAGTTGAACGATCCTTTACACAGAGCAGTCTTGAAACACTCTTTTTGTGGAATTTGCAAGTGGAGATTTCAGCCGCTTTGAGGTCAATAGTAGAAAAGGAAATATCGTCGTAGAAAAACTAGACAGAAATCATTCTCAGAAACTGCTCTGCGATGTGTGCGTTCAACTCTCAGCGTTTAACTTTTCTTTTCATTCAGAAGTTTGGAAACACTCTGTTTGTAAAGTCTGCACGTGGATAACTTGACCACTTAGAGGCCTTCGTTGGAAACGGGTTTTTTTCATGTAAGGCTAGACAGAAGAATTCCCAGGAACTTCCTTGTGTTGTGTACATTCAACTCACAGAGTTCAACGTTCCCTTAGACAGAGCAGATTTGAAACACTCTTTTTGTGCAATTGGCAAGTGGTGATTTCAGCCTCTTTGAGGTCAATGGTAGAAAAGGAAATATCTTCGTATAAAAACTAGACAGAATGATTCTCAGAAACTTCTTTGTGAAGTGTGCGTTCAACTCACAGTGTTTAACCTTTCTTTTCATAGAGCAGTTAGGAAACACTCTGTTTGTAAACTCTGCAAGTGGATATTCAGACCTCTTTGAGGCCTTCGTTGGAAACGGGATTTCTTCATACTGTGCTAGACAGAAGAATTCTCAGTAGCTTCATTGTGTTGTGTGTATTCAACTCACAGATTTCAACGATCCTTTACACAGAGCAGACTTGAAACCCTCTTTTTCTGGAATTTGCAAGTGTAGATTTCAGCCGCTTTGAGGTCAATGGTAGAATAGGAAATATCTTCCTATAGAAACTAGACAGAATGATTCTCAGAAACTCCTTTGAGATGTGTGTGTTCAACTCACAGAGTTTAACCTTTCTTTTCATAGAGCAGTTAGGAATCACTCTGTTTGTAAAGTCTGCAAGTGGATATTCAGACCTCTTTGAGGCCTTCGTTGGAAACGGGTTTTTTCATATAAGGCTAGACAGAAGAATTCTCAGTAACTTCCTTGTGTTGTGTGTATTCAACTCACAGAGTTGAACGATCCTTTACACAGAGCAGATTTGTAACACTCTTTTTGTGGAATTTGCAAGTGGAGATTTCAAGCGCTTTGAGGCCAAAGGCAGAAAAGGAAATATCTTCGTTTCAAAACTAGACAGAATCATTCTCAGAAACTGCTCTGTGATGTGTGCGTTCAACTCTCAGAGTTTAACTTTTCTTTTCATTCAGCAGTTTGGAAACACTCTGTTTGTAAAGTCTGCACGTGGATAATTTGACCACTTAGAGGCATTCGTTGGAAACGGGTTTTTTTCATGTAACGCTAGACAGAAGAATTCCCAGTAACTTCCTTGTGTTTTGTGCATTCAACTCACAGAGTTGAACGTTCCCTTAGACAGAGCAGATTTGAAACACTCTATTTGTGCAATTTGCAAGTGTAGATTTCAAGCGCTTTAAGGTCAATGGCAGAAAAGGAAATATCTTCGTTTCAAAACTAGACAGAATGATTCTCAGAAACTCCTTTGTGATGTGTGCGTTCAACTCACAGAGTTTAACCTTTCTTTTAATAGAGCAATTAGGAAACACTCTGTTTCTAAAGTCTGCAAGTGGATATTCAGACCTCTTAGCGGCCTTCGTTGGAAACGAGATTTCTTCATATTTTGCTAGACAAAAGAATTCTCAGTAACTTCCTTGTGTTGTGTGCATTCAACTCACAGAGTTGAACGATCCTTTACACAGAGCAGATTGGAAACACTCTTTTTGTGGAATTGCAAGAGGAGATTTCAGCTGCTTTGAGGTCAATGGTAGAAAAGGAAATATCTTCGTATGAAAACTAGACAGAATGATTCTCATAAACTCCTTTGTGATGTGTGCGTTCAACTCACAGAGTTTAACCTTTCTTTTCATAGAGCAGTTAGGAAACACTCTGTTTGTAAAGTCTGCAATTGGATATTCAGACCCCTTTGAGGCCTTTGTTGGAAACGGGATTTCTTCATATTATGCTAGACAGAAGAATTCTCAGTAACTTCCTTGTGTTGTGTGTATTCAACTGACAGAGTTGAACTTTCATTTAGAGAGAGCAGATTTGTAACACTGTTTTTGTGGAATGTGCAAGTGGAGATTTCAAGCGCTTTGGGGCCAAAGGCAGAAAAGGAAATATCTTCGTATAAAAACTAGACAGAATCATTCTCAGAAACTGCTCTGCGATGTGTGCGTTCAACTCTCAGAGTTTAACTTTTCTTTTCATTCAGAAGTTTGGAAACACTGTGTTTGTAAAGTCTGCACGTGGATAACTTGACCACTTAGAGGCCTTCGTTGGAAACGGGTTTTTTTCATGTAAGGCTAGACAGAAGAATTCCCAGTAACTTCCTTGTGTTGTGTGCATTCAACTCACAGAGTTGAACGTTCCCTTAGACAGAGCAGATTTGAAACACTCTATTTGTGCAATTTGCAAGTGTAGATTTCAAGCGCTTTAAGGTCAATGACAGAAAAGGAAATATCTTCGTTTCAAAACTAGACAGAATCATTCCCACAAACTGCGTTGTGATGTGTTCGTTCAACTCACAGAGTTTAACCTTTCTGTTCATAGAGCAGTTAGGAAACACTCTGTTTGTAATGTCTGTAAGTGGATAATCTGACATCTTGTGGCCTTCGTTGGAAACGGGATTTCTTCATATTCTGCTAGACAGAAGAATTCTCAGTAACTTCCTTGTGTTGTGTGTATTCAAATCACAGAGTTGCACGATCCTTTACACAGAGCAGACTTGAAACACTCTTTTTGTGGAATTTGCAAGTGGAGATTTCAGCCGCTTTGAGGTCAATGGTAGAATAGGAAATATCTTCCTATAGAAACTAGACAGAATGATTCTCAGAAACTCCTTTGTGATGTGTGTGTTCAACTCACAGAGTTTAACCTTTCTTTTCATAGAGCAGTTAGTAAACACTCTGTTTATGAAGTCTGCAAGTGGATATTCAGACCCCTTTGAGGCCTTCGTTGGAAACGGGATTTACTTCATATTCTGCTAGACAGAAGAATTCCCAGTAACTTCCTTGTGTTGTGTGTGTTCAACTCACAGAGTTGAACTTTCATTTACACAGAGCAGATTTGAAACACTCTTTTTGTGGAATTTGCAAATGGAGATTTCAAGCGCTTTGATTCCAAAGGCAGAAAAGGAAATATCTTCGTTTCAAAACTAGACAGAATCATTCTCAGAAACTGCTCTGCGATGTGTGCCTTCAACTCTCAGAGTTTAACTTTTCTTTTCATTCAGCAGTTTGGAAACACTCTGTTTGTAAAGTCTGCACGTGGATATTTTGACCACTTAGAGGCCTTCGTTGGAAATGGGTTTTTTTCCTGTAAGGCTAGACAGAAGAATTCCCAGTAACTTCCTTGTGTTGTGTACATTCAACTCACAGAGTTGAACGTTCCCTTAGACAGAGCAGATTTGAAACACTCTTTTTGTGCAATTGGCAATTGGAGATTTCAAGCGCTTTAAGGTCAATGGCAGAAAAGGAAATATCTTCGTTTCAAAACTAGACAGAATCATTCCCAAAAACTGCGTTGTGATGTGTTCGTTCATCTCACAGAGTTTAACCTTTCTTTTCATAGAGCAGTTAGGAAACAGTCTGTTTGTAAATTCTGTAAGTGGATATTCTGACATCTTGTGGCCTTCGTTGGAAACGGGATTTCTTCATATTCTGCTAGACAGAAGAATTCTCAGTAACTCCCTTGTGTTGTGTGTATTCAACTCACAGAGTTGAACGATCCTTTACACAGAGCAGACTTGAAACACTCTTTTTGTGGAATTTGCAAGTGGAGATTTCAGCCGCTTTGAGGTCAATAGTAGAAAAGGAAATATCTTCGTAGAAAAACTAGACAGAATGATTCTCATAAACTCCTTTGTGATGTGTGCGTTCAACTCACAGAGTTTAACCTTTCTTTTCATAGAGCAGTTAGGAAACACTCTGTTTGTAAAGTCTGCAAGTGGATATTCAGACCTCCTTGAGGCCTTCGTTGGAAACGGGATTTCTTCATATTATGCTAGACAGAAGAATTCTCAGTAACTTCCCTTGTGTTGTGTGTATTCAACTGACAGAGTTGAACTTTCATTTAGAGAGAGCAGATTTGAAACACTGTTTTTGTGGAATTTGCAATTGGAGATTTCAAGCGCTTTGGGGCCAAAGGCAGAAAAGGAAATATCTTCGTATAAAAACTAGACAGAATCATTCTCAGAAACTGCTGCGTGATGTGTGCGTTCAACCCTCAGAGTTTAACTTTTCTTTTCATTCAGCGGTTTGGAAACACTCTGTTTGTATAGTCTGCACGTGGATATTTTGACCACTTAGAGGCCTTCGTTGGAAACGGGATTTTTTCATGTAAGGCTAGACAGAAGAATTCCTAGTAACTTCCTTGTGTTGTGTACATTCAACTCACAGAGTTGAACGTTCCCTTAGACAGAGCAGATTTGAAACACTCTTTTTGTGCAATTGGCAAATGGAGATTTCAAGCGCTTTAAGGTCAATGGCAGAAAAGGAAATATCTTCGTTTCAAAACTAGACAGAATGATTCTCAGAAACTCCTTTGTGATGTGTGCGTTCAACTCACAGAGTTTAACTTTTCTTTTCATAGAGCAGTTAGCAAACACTCTGTTTGTAAAGTCTGCAAGTGGATATTCAGACCTCTTTGAGGCCTTCGTTGGAATCGGGATTTCTTCAAATTCTGCTAGGCAGAAGAATTCTCAGTAACTTCCTTGTGTTGTGTGTATTCAACTCACAGAGTTGAACGATCCTTTACACAGAGCAGACTTGATACACTCTTCTTATGGAATTTGAAAGTGTAGATTTCAGCCGCTTTGAGGTCAATGGTAGAATAGGAAATATCTTCCTATGGAAACTAGACAGAATGATTCTCAGAAACTCCTTTGTGATGTGTGCGTTCAACTCATAGAGTTTAACCTTTCTTTTCATAGAGCAGTTAGGAAACACTCTGTTTGTAAAGTCTGCAAGTGGATATTCAGACCTCTTTGAGGCCTTCGTTGGAAACGGGTTTTTTTCATATAAGGCTAGACAGAAGAATTCTCAGTAACTTCCTTGTGTTTTGTGTATTCAACTGACAGAGTTGAAGTTTCATTTAGAGAGAGCAGATTTGAAACACTGTTTTTGTGGAATTTGCAAGTGGAGATTTCAAGCGCTTTGGGACCAAAGGCAGAAAAGGAAATATCTTCGTATAAAAACTAGACAGAATCATTCTCAGAAACTGCTCTGCGATGTGTGCGTTCAACTCTCAGAGTTTAACTTTTCTTTTCATTCAGCAGTTTGGAAACACTCTGTTTGTAAAGTCTGCACCTGGATATTTTGACCACTTAGAGGCCTTCTTTGGAAACGGGTTTTTTTCATGTAAGGCTAGACAGAAGAATTCCCAGTAACTTCCTTGTGTTGTGTGCATTCAACTCACAGAGTTGAATGTTCCTTTAGACAGAGCAGATTTGAAACACTCTTTTTGTGCAATTTGCAAGTGGAGATTTCAAGCGCTTTAAGGTCAATGGCAGAAAATGAAATATCTTCGTTTCAAAACTACACAGAATCATTCCCACAAACTGCGTTGTGATGTGTTCGTTCAACTCACAGAGTTTAACCTTTCTTTTCATAGAGCAGTTAGGAAACAGTCTGTTTGTAAATTCTGTAAGTGGATATTCTGACATCTTGTGGCCTTCGTTGGAAACGGGATTTCTTCATACTGTGCTAGACAGAAGAATTCTCAGTAACTTCTTTGTGTTGTGTGTATTCAACTCACAGAGTTGAACGATCCTTTACACAGAGCAGACTTGAAACACTCTATTTGTGGAATTTGCAAGTGGAGATTTCAGCCGCTTTGAGGTCAATGGTAGAATAGGAAATATCTTCCTATAGAAACTAGACAGAATGATCCTCAGAAACTCCTTTGTGATGTGTGCGTTCAACTCACAGAGTTTAACCTTTCTTTTCATAGAGCAGTTAGGAAACACTCTGTTTGTAAAGTCTGCAAGTGGATATTCAGACCTCCTTGAGGCCTTCGTTGGAAACGGGATTTCTTCATATTATGCTAGACAGAAGAATTCTCAGTAACTTCCTTGTGTTGTGTGTATTCAACTGACAGAGTTGAACTTTCATTTAGAGAGAGCAGATTTGAAACACTGTTTTTGTGGAATTTGCAAGTGGAGATTTCAAGCGCTTCGGGGCCAAAGGCAGAAAAGGAAATATCTTCGTATAAAAACTAGACAGAATCATTCTCAGAAACTGCTCTGCGATGTGTGCGTTCAACTCTCAGAGTTTAACTTTTCTTTTCATTCAGCAGTTTGGAAACACTCTGTTTGTAAAGTCTGCACGTGGATAATTTGACCACTTAGAGGCCTTCTTTGGAAACGGGTTTTTTTCATATAAGGCTAGACAGAAGAATTCCCAGTAACTTCCTTGTGTTGTGTGCATTCAACTCACAGAGTTGAACGTTCCCTTAGACAGAGCAGATTTGAAACACTCTATTTGTGCAATTTGCAAGTGTAGATTTCAAGCGCTTTAAGGTCAACGGCAGAAAAGGAAATATCTTCGTTTCAAAACTAGACAGAATCATTCCCACAAACTGCGTTGTGATGTGTTCGTTCAACTCACAGAGTTTAACCTTTCTGTTCATAGAGCAGTTAGGAAACACTCTGTTTGTAAAGTCTGTAAGTGGATATTCTGACATCTTGTGGCCTTCGTTGGAAACGGGATTTCTTCATATTCTTCTAGACAGAAGAATTCTCAGTAACTTCCTTGTGTTGTGTGTATTCAACTCACAGAGTTGAACGATCCTTTACACAGAGCAGACTAGTAACACTCTTTTTGTGGAATTTGCAAGTGGAGATTTCAGCCGCTTTGAAGTCAAAGGTAGAAAAGGAAATATCTTCCTATAAAAACTAGACAGAATGATTCTGAGAAACTCCTTTGTGCTGTGTGCATTCAACTCACAGAGTTTAACCTTTCTTTTCATAGAGCAGTTAGGAAACACTCTGCTTGTAAAGTCTGCAAGTGGATACTCAGACCTCCTTGAGGCCTTCGTTGGAAACGGGATTTCTTCCTATTATGCTAGACAGAAGGATTCCCAGTAACTTCCTTGTGTTGTGTGTGTTCAACTCACAGAGTTGAACTTTCATTTACAAAGAGCAGATTTGAAACACTCTTTTTGTGGAATTTGCCAGTGGAGATTTCAAGCGCTTTGAGGCCAAAGGCAGAAAAGGAAATATCTTCGTATAAAAACTAGACAGAATCATTCTCAGAAACTGCTCTGCAATGTGTGCGTTCAACTCTCAGAGTTTAACTTTTCTTTTCATTCAGCAGTTTGTAAACACTCTGTTTGTAAAGTCTGCACGTCGATGTTTTGACCACTTAGAGGCCTTCGTTGGAAACGGGTTTTTTTCCTGTAACGCTAGACAGAAGAATTCCCAGTAACTTCCTTGTGTTGTGTACATTCAACTCACAGAGTTGAACGTTCCCTTAGACAGAGCAGATTTGAAACACTCTTTTTGTGCAATTGGCAAGTGGTGATTTCAGCCGCTTTGAGGTCAATGGTAGAAAAGGAAATATCTTCGTATAAAAACTAGACAGAATCATTCCCACAAACTGCGTTGTGATGTGTTCGTTCAACTCACAGGGTTTAACCTTTCTGTTCATAGAGCAGTTAGGAAACACTCTGTTTGTAAAGTCTGTAAGTGGATATTCTGACATACTTGTGGCCATCGTTGGAAACGGGATTTCTTCATATTCTGCTAGACAGAAGAATTCTCAGTAACTTCCTTGTGTTGTGTGTATTCTACTCACAGAGTTGAACGATCCTTTACACACAGCAGACTTGAAACACTCTTTTTGTGGAAATTGCAAGTGGAGATTTCAGCCGCTTTGAGGTCAATGGTAGAATAGGAAATATCTTCCTATAGAAACTAGACAGAATGATTCTCAGAAACTCCTTTGTGATGTGTGTGTTCAACTCACAGAGTTTCACCTTTCTTTTCATAGAGCAGTTAGGAAACACTCTGTTTGTAAAGTCTGCAAGTGGATATTCAGACCTCCTTGAGGACTTCGTTGGAAACGGGATTTCTTCATATTCTGCTAGACAGAAGAATTCTCAGTAACTTCCTTGTGTTGTGTTTATTGAACTGACAGAGTTGAACTTTCATTTAGAGAGAGCAGATTTGAAACACTGTTTTTGTGGAATTTGCAAGTGGAGATTTCAAGCGCTTTGGGGCCAAAGGCAGAAAACGAAATATCTTCGTATAAAAACTAGACAGAATCATTCTCAGAAACTGCTGCGTGATGTGTGCGTTCAACTCTCAGAGTTTAACTTTTCTTTTCATTCAGCGGTTTGGAAACACTCTGTTTGTAAAGTCTGCACGTGGATATTTTGACCACTTAGAGGCCTTCGTTGGAAACGGGTTTTTTTCATGTAAGGCTAGACAGAAGAATTCCCAGTAACTTCCTTGTGTTGTGTACATTCAACTCACAGAGTTGAACGTTCCCTTAGACAGAGCAGATTTGAAACACTCTTTTTGTGCAATTGGCAAGTGGAGATTTCAAGCGCTTTAAGGTCAATGGCAGAAAGGGAAATATCTTCGTTTCAAAACTAGACAGAATCATTCCCACAAACTGCGTTGTGATGTGTTCGTTCAACTCACAGAGTTTAACCTTTCTTTTCATAGAGCAGTTAGGAAACACTCTGTTGGTAAATTCTGTAGGTGGATATTCTGACATCTTGTGGCCTTCGTTGGAAACGGGATTTCTTCATATTCTGCTAGACAGAAGAATTCTCAGAATCTTCCTTGTGTTGTGTGTATTCAACTCACAGAGTTGAACGATCCTTTACACAGAGCAGACTTGAAACACTCTTTTTGTGGAATTTGCAAGTGGACATTTCAGCCGCTTTGAGGTCCATGGTAGAAAAGGAAATATCTTCGTACAAAAACTAGACAGAATGATTCTCAGAATCTTCTTTGTGATGTGTGCGTTCAACTCACAGAGTTTAACCTTTCTTTTCATAGAGCAGTTAGGAAACACTCTGTTTGTAAATTCTGCAAGTGGATATTCAGACCTCATTGAGGCCTTCGTTGAAAACGGGATTTCTTCATACTATGCTAGACAGAAGAATTCCCAGTAACTTCCTTGTGTTGTGTGTGTTCAACTCACAGAGTTGAACTTTCATTTACACAGAGCAGATTTGAAACACTCTTTTTGTGGAATTTGCAAATGGAGATTTCAAGCGCTTTGAGACCAAAGGCAGAAAAGGAAATATCTTCGTATAAAAACTAGACAGAATCATTCTCAGAAACTGCTGCGTGATGTGTGCGTTCAACTCTCAGAGTTTAACTTTTCTTTTCATTCAGCAGTTTGGAAACACTCTGTTTGTAAAGTCTGCACGTGGAAATTTTGACCACTTAGAGGCCTTCGTTGGAAACGGGTTTTTTTCATGTAAGGCTAGACAGAAGAATTCCCAGTAACTTCCTTGTGTTGTGTACATTCAACTCACAGAGTTGAACGTTCCCTTAGACAGAGCAGATTTGAAACACTCTTTTTGTGCAATTGGAAAGTGGAGATTTTAAGCGCTTTAAGGTCAATGGCAGAAAAGGAAATATCTCCGTTTCAAAACTAGACAGAATCATTCCCACAAACTGCGTTGTCATGTGTTCGTTCAACTCACAGAGTTTAACCTTTCTTTTCATAGAGCAGTTAAGAAACAGTCTGTTTGTAAATTCTGTAAGTGGATATTCTGACATCTTGTGGCCTTCGTTGGAAACGGGATTTCTTCATATTCTGCTAGACAGAATAATTCTCAGTAACTTCCTTGTGTTGTGTGTATTCAACTCACAGAGTTGAACGATCCTTTACAGAGAGCAGACTTGAAAAACTCTTTTTGTGGAATTTGCAAGTGGAGATTTCAGCCGCTTTGAGGTCAATGGTAGAAAAGGAAATATCTTCGTATAAAGAATAGACAGAATGATTCTCAGAAACTTCATTGTGATGTGTGCGTTCAACTCACAGAGTTTAACCTTTCTTTTCATAGAGCAGTTAGGAAACACTCTGTTTGTAAACTCTGCAAGTGGATATTCACACCCCTTTGAGGCCTTCGTTGGAAACGGGATTTCTTCATACTGTGCTAGACAGTAGAATTCTCAGTAACTTCCTTGTGTTGTGTGTATTCAACTCACAGAGTTGAACGATCCTTTACACAGAGCGGACTTGAAACACTCTTTTTGTGGAATTTGCAAGTGGAGATTTCAGCCGCTTTGAGGTCAATGGTAGAAAAGGAAATATCTTCGTATAAAAACTAGACAGAATCATTCTCAGAAACTGCTCTGCGATGTGTGCGTTCAACTCTCAGAGTTTAACTTTTCTTTTCATTCAGCAGTTTGGAAACACTCTGTTTGTAAAGTCTGCACGTGGATATTTTGACCACTTAGAGGCCTTTGTTGGAAACGGGTTTTTTTCCTGTAAGGCTAGACAGAAGAATTCCCAGTAACTTCCTTGCGTTGTGTACATTCAACTCACAGAGTTGAACGTTCCCTTAGACAGAGCAGATTTGAAACACTCTTTTTGTGCAATTGGCAAGTGGAGATTTCAAGCGCTTTAAGGTCAATGGCAGAAAAGGAAATATCTTCGTTTCAAAACTAGACAGAATCATTCCCACAAACTGCGTTGTGATGTGTTCGTTCAACTCACAGAGTTTAACCTTTCTGTTCATAGAGCAGTTAGGAAACACTGTGTAAAGTCTGTTAGTGGATATTCTGACATCCTTGTGGCCTTCGTTGGAAACGGGATTTCTTCATATTCTGCTAGACAGAATAATTCTCAGTAACTCCCTTGTGTTGTGTGTATTCAACTCACAGAGTTGAACGATCCTTTACACAGAGCAGACTTGAAACACACTTTTGGTGGAATTTGCAAGTGGAGATTTCAGCCGCTTTGAGGTCAATGGTAGAAAAGGAAATATCTTCGTATAAAGACTAGACAGAATGATTCTCAGAAACTCCTTTGTGATGTGTGTGTTCAACTCACAGAGTTTAACCTTTCTTTTCATAGAGCAGTTAGGAAACACTCTGTTTGTAAAGTCTGCAAGTGGATATTCAGACCTCTTTGAAGCCTTCGTTGGAAACGGGTTTTTTTCATATAAGGTTAGACAGAAGAATTCTCAGTAACTTCCTTGTGTTGTGTGTATTCAACTGACAGAGTTGAACTTTCAGTTGGAGAGAGCAGATTTGAAACACTGTTTTTGTGGAATTTGCAAGTGGAGATTTCAAGCGCTTTGGGGCCAAAGGCAGAAAAGGAAATATCTTCGTATAAAAACTAGACAGAATCATTCTCAGAAACTGCTGCGTGATGTGTGCGTTCAACTCTCAGAGTTTAACTTTTCTTTTCATTCAGCGGTTTCGAAACACTCTGTTTGTAAAGTCTGCACGTGGATATTTTGACCACTTAGAGGCCTTCGTTGGAAACGGGTTTTTTGCATGTAAGGCTAGACAGAAGAATTCTCAGTAACTTCCGTGTGTTGTGTGTATTCAACTCAAAGAGTTGAACGATCCTTTACACAGAGCAGACTTGTAACACTCTTTTTGTGGAATTTGCAAGTGGTGATTTCAGCCGCTTTGAAGTCAAAGGTAGAAAATGAAATATCTTCCTATAAAAACTAGACAGAATCATTCCCACAAACTGCGTTGTGATGTGTTCGTTCAACTCACAGAGTTTAACCTTTCTTTTCATAGAGCACTTAGGAAACAGTCTGTTTGTAAATTCTGTAAGTGGATATTCTGACATCTTGTGGCCTTCGTTGGAAACGGGATTTCTTCATATTCTGCTAGACAGAAGAATTCTCAGAAACTTCCTTGTGTTGTGTGTTTTCAACTCACAGAGTTGAACGATCCTTTACACAGAGCAGACTTGAAACACTCTTTTTGTGGAATTTGCAAGTGGAGACTTCAGCCGCTTTTAGGTCAATGGTAGAATAGGAAATATCTTCCTATAAAAACTAGACAGAATGATTCTCAGAAACTCCTTTGTGATGTGTGCGTTCAACTCACAGAGTTTAACCTTTCTTTTCATAGAGCAGTTAGGAAACACTCTGTTTGTAAAGTCTGCAAGTGGATATTCAGACCTCTTTGAGGCCTTCGTTGGAAACGGGTTTTTTACAAGATAAGGCTTGACAGAAGAATTCCCAGTAACTTCCTTGTGTTGTGTGTGTTCAACTCACAGAGTTGAACTTTCATTTACACAGAGCAGATTTGAAACACTCTTTTTTTGGAATTTGCAAGTGGAGATTTCAAGCGCTTTGAGGCCAAAGGCAGAAAAGGAAATGTCTTCGTTTCAAAACTAGACAGAATCATTCTCAGAAACTGCTCTGCGATGTGTGCGTTCAACTCTCAGAGTTTAACTTTTCTTTTCATTCAGCAGTTTGGAAACACTCTGTTTATAACGTCTGCACGTGGATAACTTGACCACTTAGAGGACTTCGTTGGAAACGGTTTTTTTTCCTGTAAGGCTAGACAGAAGAATTCCCAGTAACTTCCTTGCGTTGTGTACATTCAACTCACAGAGTTGAACGTTCCCTTAGACAGAGCAGATTTGAAACACTCTTTTTGTGCAATTGGCAAGTGGAGATTTCAAGCGCTTTAAGGTCAATGGCAGAAAAGGAAATATCTTCGTTTCAAAACTAGACAGAATGATTCTCATGAACTCCTTTGTGATGTGTGCGTTCAACTCACAGAGTTTAACCTTTCTTTTCATAGAGCAGTTAGGAAACACTCTGTTTGTAAAGTCTGCAAGTGGATATTCAGACCTCCTTTTGGCCTTCGTTGGAAACGGGATTTCTTCATATTCTGCTAGACAGAAGAATTCTCAGTAACTTCCTTGTGTTGTGTTTATTCAACTCACAGAGTTGAATGATCCTTTACACAGAGCAGACTTGAAACACACTTTTTGTGGAAATTGCAAGTGGAGATTTCAGCCGCTTTGAGGTCAATGGTAGAAAAGTAAATATCTTCGTATAAAGACTAGACAGAATGATTCTCAGAAACTCCTTTGTTATGTGTGCGTTCAACTCACAGAGTTTAACCTTTCTTTTCATAGAGCAGTTAGGAAACACTCTGTTTGTAAAGTCTGCAAGTGGATATTCAGACCTCTTTGAGGCCTTCGTTGGAAACGGGTTTTTTTCATATAAGTCTAGACAGAAGAATTCCCAGTAACTTCCTTGTGTTGTGTGTGTTCAACTCACACAGTTGAACTTTCATTTACACAGAGCAGATTTGAAACACTCTTTTTGTGGAATTTGAAAATGGAGATTTCAAGCGCTTTGAGGCCAAAGGCAGAAAAGGAAATATGTTCGTATAAAAACTAGACAGAATCATTCTCAGAAACTGCTCTGCGATGTGTGCGTTCAACTCTCAGAGTTTAACTTTTCTTTTCATTCAGCAGTTTGGAAACACTCTGTTTGTAACGTCTGCACGTGAATAATTTGACCACTTAGAGGCCTTCGTTGGAAACGGGTTTTTTTCATGTAAGGCTAGACAGAAGAATTCCCAGTAACTTCCTTGTGTTGTGTGCATTCAACTCACAGAGTTGAACGTTCCCTTAGACAGAGCAGATTTGAAACACTCTATTTGTGCAATTTGCAAGTGTAGATTTCAAGCGCTTTAAGGTCAATGGCAGAAAAGGAAATATCTTCGTTTCAAAACTAGACAGAATGATTCTCATAAACTCCTTTGTGATGTGTGCATTCAACTCACAGAGTTTCACCTTTCTTTTCATAGAGCAGTTAGAAAAAACTCTGTTTGTAAAGTCTGCAAGTGGATATTCAGACCTCCTTGAGGCCTTCGTTGGAAACGGGATTTCTTCATATTATGCTAGACAGAACAATTCTCAGTAACTTCCTTGTGTTGCGTGTATTCAACTCACAGAGTTGAACGATCCTTTACACAGAGCAGACTTGAAACACTCTTTTTGTGGAATTTGCAAGTGGAGATTTCATCCGCTTTGAGGTCAATGGTGGAAAAGGAAATATCTTCGTATAAAGACTAGACAGAATGATTCTCAGAAACTCCTTTGTGATGTGTGTGTTCAACTCACAGAGTTTAACCTTTCTTTTCATAGAGCAGTTCGTAAACACTCTGTTTATAAAGTCTGCAAGTGGATATTCAGACCCCTTTGAGGCCTTCTTTGGAAACGGGATTTCTTCATATTATGCTAGACAGAAGAATTCCCAGTAACTTCCTTGTGTTGTGTGTGTTCAACTCACACAGTTGAACTTTCATTTACACTGAGCAGATTTGAAACACTCTTTTTGTGGAATTTGCAAATGGAGATTTCAAGCGCTTTGAGGCCAAAGGCAGAAAAGGAAATATCTTCGTATAAAAACTAGACAGAATCATTCTCAGAAACTGCTCTGCGATGTGTGCGTTCAACTCTCAGAGTTTAACTTTTCTTCTCATTCAGCAGTTTGGAAACACTCTGTTTGTAAAGTCTGCACGTGGATAATTTGACCACTTAGAGGCCTTCGTTGGAAACGGGTTTTTTTCATGTAAGGCTAGACAGAAGAATTCCCAGTAACTTCCTTGTGTTGTGTGCATTCAACTCACAGAGTTGAACGTTCCCTTAGACAGAGCAGATTTGAAACACTCTATTTGTGCAATTTGCAAGTGTAGATTTCAAGCGCTTTAAGGTCAACGGCAGAAAAGGAAATATCTTCGTTTCAAAACTAAACAGAATCATTCCCACAAACTGCGTTGTGATGTGTTCGTTCAACTCACAGAGTTTAACCTTTCTGTTCATAGCGCAGTTAGGAAACACTCTGTTTGTAAAGTCTGTAAGTGGATATTCTGACATTTTGTGGCCTTCGTTGGAAATGGGATTTCTTCATATTCTCCTAGACAGAAGAATTCTCAGTAACTTCCTTGTGTTGTGTGTATTCAACTCACAGATTTGAACGATCCTTTACACAGAGCAGACTTGAAACGCTCTTTTTGTGGAATTTGCAAGTGGAGATTTCACCCGCGTTGAAGTCAATGGTAGAAAAGGAAATATCTTCGTATAAAAACTAGACAGAATGATTCTCAGAAACTCCTTTGTGATGTGTGCGTTCAACTCACAGAGTTTAACCTTTCTTTTCATAGAGCAGTTGGGAAACACTCTGTTTGTAAAGTTTGCAAGTGGATATTCAGACATCCTTGAGGCTTTCGTTGGAAACGGGATTTCTTCATATTCTGCTAGAAGGAAGAATTCCCAGTAACTTCCCTTGTGTTGTGTGTGTTCAACTCACAGAGTTGAACTTTCATTTACACAGAGCAGATTTGAAACTCTCTTTTTGTGGAATTTGCAAATGGAGATTTCAAGCGCTTTGAGGTCAAAGGCAGAAAAGGAAATATCTTCGTATAAAAACTAGACAGAATCATTCTCAGAAACTGCTCTGCGATGTGTGCGTTCAACTCTCAGAGTTTAACTTTTCTTTTCATTCAGCAGTTTGGAAACACTCTGTTTGTAAAGTCTGCACGTGGATATTTTGACCACTTAGAGGCCTTCATTGGAAACGGGTTTTTTTCCTGTAAGGCTAGACAGAAGAATTCCCAGTAACTTCCTTGTGTTGTGTGCATTCAACTCACAGAGTTGAACGTTCCCTTAGACAGAGCAGATTTGAAACACTCTATTTGTGCAATTTGCAAGTGTAGATTTCAAGCGCTTTAAGGTCAAGGGCAGAAAAGGAAATATCTTCGTTTCAAAACTAGACAGAATCATTCCCACAAACTGCGTTGTGATGGGTTCGTTCAACTCACAGAGTTTAACCTTTCTGTTCATAGAGCAGTTAGGAAACACTCTGTTTGTAAAGTCTGTAAGTGGATATTCTGACATCTTGTGGCCTTCGTTGGAAACGGGATTACTTCATATTCTGCTAGACAGAAGAATTCTCAGTAACTTCCTTGTGTTGTGTTTATTCAACTCACAGAGTTGAATGATCCTTTACACAGAGCAGACTTGAAACACTCTTTTTGTGGAATTTGTAAGTGGAGATTTCAGCCGCTTTGAGGTCAATAGTAGAAAAGGAAATATCTTCGTAGAAAAACTACACAGAATGATTCTCAGAAACTCCTTTGTGATGTGTGTTTTCAACTCACAGAGTTTAACCTTCCTTTTCATAGAGCAGTTAGTAAACACTCTGTTTATAAAGTCTGCAAGTGGATATTCAGACCCCTTTGAGGCCTTCGTTGGAAACGGGATTTATTCATATTCTGCTACACAGAAGAATTCTCAGTAACTTCCTTGTGTTGTGTGTATTCAACTGACAGAGTTGAACTTTCATTTAGAGACAGCAGATTTGAAACACTGTTTTTGTGGAATTTGCAAGTGGAGATTTCAAGCGCTTTTGGGCCAAAGGCAGAAAAGGAAATATCTTCGTATAAAAACTAGACAGAATCATTCTCAGAAACTGCTCTGCGATGTGTGCGTTCAACTCTCACAGTTTAACTTTTCTTTTCATTCAGCAGTTTGGAAACACTCTGTTTGTAAAGTCTGCACGTGGATAATTTGACCACTTAGAGGCCTTCATTGGAAACGGGTTTTTTTCATGTAAGGCTAGACAGAAGAATTCCCAGTAACTTCCTTGTGTTGTGTGCATTCAACTCACAGAGTTGAACGTTCCCTTAGACAGAGCAGATTTGAAACACTCTATTTGTCCAATTTGCAAGTGTAGATTTCAAGCGCTTTAAGGTCAACGGCAGAAAAGGAAATATCTTCGTTTCAAAACTAGACAGAATCATTCCCACAAACTGCGTTGTGATGTGTTCGTTCAACTCACAGAGTTTAACCTTTCTTTTCATAGAGCAGTTAGGAAACACTCTGTTTGTAAAGTCTCTAAGTGGATATTCTGACATCTTGTGGCCTTCGTTGGAAACGGGATTTCTTCATATTATGCTATACAGAAGAATTCTCAGTAACTTCCTTGCGTTGTGTGTATTCAACTCACAGAGTTGAACGATCCTTTACACAGAGCAGACTTGAAACATTCTTTTTGTGGAATTTGCAAGTGGAGATTTCAGCCGCTTTGAGGTCAATGGTAGAATAGGAAATATCTTCCTATAGAAACTAGACAGAACGATTCTCAGAAACTCCATTGTGATGTGTGCGTTCAACTCACAGAGTTTAACCTTTCTTTTCATAGAGCAGTTAGGAAACACTCTGTTTGTAAAGTCTGCAAGTGGATATTCAGACCTCTTTGAGGCCTTCGTTGGAAACGGGATTTCTTCCTATTCTGCTAGACAGAAGAATTCCCAGTAACTTCCTTGTGCTGTGTGTGTTCAACTCACAGAGTTGAACTTTCATTTACACAGAGCAGATTTGAAACACTCTTTTTGTGGAATTTGCAAATGGAGATTTCAAGCGCTTTGAGGCCAAAGGCAGAAAAGGAAATATCTTCGTTTCAAAACTAGACAGAATGATTCTCAGAAACTGCTCTGCGATGTGTGCGTTCACCTCTCAGAGTTTAACTTTTCTTTTCATTCAGCAGTTTGGAAACCCTCTGTTTGTAAAGTCTGCACGTGCATAATTTGACCACTTAGAGGCCTTCGTTGGAAACGGGTTTTTTTCATGTAAGGCTAGACAGAAGAATTCCCAGTAACTTCCTTGTGTTGTGTACATTCAATTCACAGAGTTGAACGTTCCCTTAGACAGAGCAGATTTGAAACACTCTTTTTGTGCAATTGGCAAATGGAGATTTCAAGCGCTTTAAGGTCAATGGCAGAAAAGGAAATATCTTCGTTTCAAAACTAGACAGAATCATTCCCACAAACTGCGTTGTGAAGTGTTCGTTCAACTCACAGAGTTTAACCTTTCTTTTCATAGAGCAGTTAGGAAACACTCTGTTTGTAAATTCTGTAAGTGGATATTCTGACATCTTGGGGCCTTCGTTGGAAACGGGATTTCTTCATATTCTGCTAGACAGAAGAATTCTCAGTAACTTCCTTGTGTTGTGTGTATTCAACTCACAGAGTTGAATGATCCTTTACACAGTAGCAGACTTGAAACACTCTTTTTGTGGAATTTGCAAGTGGAGATTTCAGCCGCTTTGAAGTCAAAGGTAGAAAAGGAAATATCTTCCTATAAAAACTAGACAGAATGATTCTCAGAAACTCCTTTGTGATGTGTGCGTTCAACTCACAGAGTTTAACCTTTCTTTTCATAGAGCAGTTAGGAAACACTCTGTTTGTAAAGTCTGCAAGTGGATATTCAGACCTCTTTGAGGCCTTCGTTGGAAACGGTATTTCTTCATATTATGCTAGACAGAAGGATTCCCAGTAACTTCCTTGTGTTGTGTGTGTTCAACTCACAGAGTTGAACTTTCATATACAAAGAGCAGATTTGAAACACTCTTTTTGTGGAATTTGCAAGTGGAGATTTCAAGCGCTTTGAGGCCAAAGGCAGAAAAGGAAATATCTTCGTATAAAAACTAGACAGAATCATTCTCAGAAACTGCTCTGCGATGTGTGCGTTCAACTCTCAGAGTTTAACTTTTCTTTTCATTCAGCAGTTTGTAAACTCTCTGTTTGTAAAGTCTGCACGTGGATATTTTGACCACTTAGAGGCCTTCGTTGGAAACGGGTTTTTTTCCTGTAAGGCTAGACAGAAGAATTCCCAGTAACTTCCTTGTGTTGTGTACATTCAACTCACAGAGTTGAACGTTAACTTAGACAGAGCAGATTTGAAACACTCTTTTTGTGAAATTGGCAAGTGGAGATTTCAAGAGTTTTAAGGTCAATGGCAGAAAAGGAAATATCTTCGTTTCAAAACTAGACAGAATCATTCCCACAAACTGCGTTGTGATGTGTTCGTTCAACTCACAGAGTTTAACCTTTCTGTTCATAGAGCAGTTAGGAAACACTCTGTTTGTAAAGTCTGTAAGTGGATATTCAGACATCTTGTGGCCTTCGTTGGAAACGGGATTTCTTCATATTCTGCTAGACAGAAGAATTCTCAATAACTTCCTTGTGTTGTGTTTATTCAACTCACAGAGTTGAATGATCCTTTACACAGAGCAGACTTGAAACACACTTTTTGTGGAAATTGCAAATGGAGATTTCAGCCGCTTTGAGGTCAATGGTAGAAAAGTAAATATCTTCGTATAAAGACTAGACAGAATGATTCTCAGAAACTCCTTTGTGATGTGTGCGTTCAACTCACAGAGTTTAACCTTTGTTTTCATAGAGCAGTTAGGAAACACTCTGTTTGTAAAGTCTGCAAGTGGATATTCAGACCTCTTTGAGGCCTTCGTTGGAAACGGGTTTTTTTCATATAAGGCTAGACAGAAGAATTCTCAGTAACTTCCTTGTGTTGTGTGTATTCAACTGACAGAGTTGAACTTTCATTTAGAGAGAGCAGATTTGAAACACTGTTTTTGTGGAATTTGCAAATGGAGATTTCAAGAGCTTTGGGGCCAAAGGCAGAAAAGGAAATATCTTCGTATAAACACTAGACAGAATCATTCTCAGAAACTGCTGCGTGATGTGTGCGTTCAACTCTCAGAGTTTAACTTTTCTTTTCATTCAGCGGTTTGGAAACACTCTGTTTGAAAAGTCTGCACGTGGATATTTTGACCACTTAGAGGCCTTCGTTGGAAACGGGTTTTTTTCATGTAAGGCTAGACAGAAGAATTCCCAGTAACTTCCTTGTGTTGTGTGCATTCAACTCACAGAGTTGAACGTTCCCTTAGACAGAGCAGGTTTGAAACACTCTATTTGTGCAATTTGCAAGTGTAGATTTCAAGCGCTTTAAGGTCAATGGCAGAAAAGGAAATATCTTCGTTTCAAAACTAGACAGAATCATTCCCACAAACTGCGTTGTGATGTGTTCGTTCAACTCACAGAGTTTAACCTTTCTGTTCATAGAGCAGTTAGGAAACACTCTGTTTGTAAAGTCTGTAAGTGGATATTCTGACATCTTGTGGCCTTCGTTGGAAACGGGATTTCTTCGTATTCTGCTAGACAGAAGAATTCTCAGTAACTTCCTTGTGTTGTGTGTATTCAACTCACAGAGTTGAACGATCCTTTACACAGAGCAGACTTGAAACACTCTTTTTGTGGAATTTGCAAGTGGAGATTTCAGCCGCTTTGAGGTCAATGGTAGAAAAGTAAATATCTTCGTATAAAGACTAGACAGAATGATTCTCAGATACTCCTTTGTGATGTGTGCATTCAACTCACAGAGTTTAACCTTTCTTTTCATAGAGCAGTTAGGAAACACTCTGTTTGTAAAGTCTGCAAGTGGATATTCAGACCTCCTTGTGGCCTTCGTTGGAAACGGGATTTCTTCATATTATGCTAGACAGAAGAATTCCCAGTAACTTCCTTGTGTTGTGTGTGTTCAACTCACAGAGTTGAACTTTCATTTACACAGAGAAGATTTGAAACACTCTTTTTGTGGAATTTGCAAGTGGAGATTTCAAGCGCTTTGAGGCCAAAGGCAGAAAAGGAAATATCTTCGTTTCAAAACTAGACAGAATCATTCTCAGAAACTGCTCTGCGATGTGTGCGTTCAACTCTCAGAGTTTGACTTTTCTTTTCATTCAGCAGTTTGGAAACACTCTGTTTGTAAAGTCTGCACGTGGATATTTTGACCACTTAGAGGCCTTCGTTGGAAACGGGTTTTTTTCCTGTAAGGCTAGACAGAAGAATTCCCAGTAACTTCCTTGTGTTGTGTGCATTCAACTCACAGAGTTGAACGTTCCCTTAGACAGAGCAGATTTGAAACACTCTATTTGTGCAATTTGCAAGTGTAGATTTCAAGCGCTTTAAGGTCAACGGCAGAAAAGGAAATATCTTCGTTTCAAAACTAGACAGAATTATTCTGAGAAACTCCTTTGTGATGTGTGCGTTCAACTCACAGAGTTTAACCTTTCTTTTCATAGAGCAGTTAGGAAACACTCTGTTTGTAAAGTCTGCAAGTGGATATTCAGACCTCCTTGAGGCCTTCGTTGGAAACGGGATTTCTTAATATTATGCTAGACAGAAGAATTCTCAGTAACTTCCTTGTGTTGTGTGTATTCAACTCACAGAGTTGAACGATCCTTTACACAGAGCAGACTTGAAACACTCTTTTTGTGAAATTTGCAAGTGGAGATTTCAGCCGCTTTGAGTTCAATGGTAGAATAGGAAATATCTTCCTATAGAAACTAGACAGAATGATTCTCAGAAACTCCTTTGTGATGTGTGCGTACAACTCACAGAGTTTAACCTTTCTTTTCATAGTGCAGTTAGGAAACACTCTGTAAAGTCTGCAAGTGGATATTCAGACCTCTTTGAGGCCTTCGTTGGAAACGGGATTTCTTCATATTATGCTAGACAGAAGAATTCTCAGTAAATTCCTTGTGTTGTGTGTATTCAACTGACAGAGTTGAACTTTCATTTGGAGAGAGCAGATTTGAAACACTATTTTTGTGGAATTTGCAAGTGGAGATTTCAAGCGCTTTGGGGCCAAAGGCAGAAAAGGAAATATCTTCGTATAAAAACTAGACAGAAATCATTCTCAGAAACTGCTGCGTGATGTGTGCGTTCAACTCTCAGAGTTTAACTTTTCTTTTCATTCAGCGGTTTGGAAACACTCTGTTTGTAAAGTCTGCACGTGGATATTTTGACCACTTAGAGGCCTTCGTTGGAAACGGGTTTTTTTCATGTAAGGCTAGACAGAAGAATTCCCAGTAACTTCCTTGTGTTGTGTGCATTCAACTCACAGAGTTGAACGTTCCCTTAGACAGAGCAGATTTGAAACACTCTATTTGTGCAATTTGCAAGTGTAGATTTCAAGCGCTTTAAAGTCAATGGAAGAAAAGGAAATATCTTCGTTTCAAAACTAGACAGAATCATTCCCACAAACTGCGTTGTGATGTGTTCGTTCAACTCACAGAGTTTAACCTTTCTGTTCATAGAGCAGTTAGGAAACACTCTGTTTGTAAAGTCTGTAAGTGAATGTTCTGACATCTTGTGGCCTTCGTTGGAAACGGGATTTCTTCATATTCTGCTAGACAGAAGAATTCTCAGTAACTTCCTTGTGTTGTGTGTATTCAACTCACAGAGTTGAACGATCCTTTACACAGAGCAGACTTGAAACACTCTTTTTGTGGAATTTGCAAGTGGAGATTTCAGCCTCTTTGAGGTCAATGGTAGAATAGGAAATATCTTCCTATAGAAACTAGGCAGAATGATTCTCAGAAACTTCATTGTGATGTGTGCGTTCAACTCACAGAGTTTAACCTTTCTTCTCATAGAGCAGTTAGGAAACACTCTGTTTGTAAACTGTGCAAGTGGATATTCAGACCTCTTTGAGGCCTTCGTTGGAAACGGAATTTCTTCATACTATGCTAGACAGAAGAATTCTCAGTAACTTTCTTGTGTTGTGTGTATTCAACTCACAGAGTTGAACGATCCTTTACACAGAGCAGACTTGAAACACTCTTTTTGTGGAATTTGCAAGTGGAGATTTCAAGCGCTTTGGGGCTAAAGGCAGAAAAGGAAATATCTTCGTATAAAAACTAGACAGAATCATTCTCAGAAACTGCTGCGTGATGTGTGCCTTCAACTCTCAGAGTTTAACTTTTCTTTTCATTCAGCGGTTTGGAAACACTCTGTTTGTAAAGTCTGCACGTGGAAATTTTGACCACTTAGAGGCCTTCGTTGGAAACGGGTTTTTTTCATGTAAGGCTAGACAGAAGAATTCCCAGTAACTTCCTTGTGTTGTGTGTATTCAACTCACAGAGTTGAACTTTCCCTTAGACAGAGCAGATTTGAAACACTCTTTTTGTGCAATTTGGAAGTGGAGATTTCAAGCGCTTTAGGGTCAATGGCAGAAAAGAAAATATCTTCATCTCAAAACTAGACAGAATCATTCCCACAAACTGCGTTGTGATGTGTTCGTTCAACTCACAGCAGTTTAACCTTGCTTTTCATAGAGCAGTTAGGAAACAGTCTGTTTGTAAATTCTGTAAGTGGATATTCTGACATCTTGTGGCCTTCCTTGGAAACGGGATTTCTTCATATTCTGCTAGACAGAAGAATTCTCAGTAACTTCCTTGTGTTGTGTGCATTCAAATCACAGAGTTGAAAGATCCTTTACACAGAGCAGATTAGAAACACTCTTTTTGTGGAACTTGCAATTGGATATTTCAGCCGCTTTGAGGTCAATGGTAGAAAAGGAAATATCTTCGTATAAAAACTAGACAGAATGATTCTCAGAAACTCCTTTGTGATGTGTGCGTACAACTCACAGAGTTTAACCTTTCTTTTCATAGAGTAGTTAGGAAACACTCTGTTTGTAAAGTCTGCAAGTGGATATTCAGACCTCTTTGAGGCCTTCGTTGGAAACGGGTTTTTTTCATATAAGGCTACACAGAAGAATTCCCAGTAACTTCCTTGTGTTGTGTGTGTTCAACTCACAGAGTTGAACTTTCATTTACACAGAGCAGATTTGAAACACTCTTTTTGTGGAATTTGCAACTGGAGATTTCAAGCGATTTGAGGCCAAAGGCAGAAAAGGAAATATCTTCGTTTCAAAACTAGACAGAATCATTCTCAGAAACTGCTGTGCGATGTGTGCGTTCAACTCTCAGAGTTTAACTTTTCTTTTCATTCAGCAGTTTGGAAACACTCTGTTTGTAAAGTCTGCACGTGGATATTTTGACCACTTAGAGGCCTTCGTTGGAAACGGGTTTTTTTCCTGTAAGGCTAGACAGAAGAATTCCCAGTAACTTCCTTGTGTTGTGTACATTCAACTCACAGAGTTGAACGTTCCCTTAGACAGAGCAGATTTGAAACACTCTTTTTGTGCAATTGGCAAGTGGAGATTTCAAGCGCTTTAAGGTCAATGGCAGAAAAGGAAATATCTTCGTTTCAAAACTAGACAGAATCATTCCCACAAACTGCGTTGTGATGTGTTCGTTCAACTCACAGAGTTTAACCTTTCTTTTCATAGAGCAGTTAGGAAACAATCTGTTTGTAAATTCTGTAAGTGGATATTCTGACATCTTGTGGCCTTCGTTGGAAACGGGATTTCTTCATATTGCTGCTAGACAGAAGAATTCTCAGTAACTTCCTTGTGTTGTGTGTATTCAACTCAAAGAGTTGAACGATCCTTTACACAGAGCAGACTTGAAACACTCTTTTTGTGGAATTTGCAAGTGGAGATTTCAGCCTCTTTGAGGTCAATGGTAGAATAGGAAATATCTTCCTATAGAAACTAGACAGAACGATTCTCAGAAACTCCTTTGTGATGTGTGCGTTCAACTCACAGAGTTTCACCTTTCTTTTCATAGAGCAGTTAGGAAACACTCTGTTTGTAAAGTCTGCAAGTGGATATTCAGACCTCTTTGAGGCCTTCGTTGGAAACGGGATTTCTTCATATTCTGCTAGACAGAAGAATTCCCAGTAACTTCCTTGTGTTGTGTGTGTTCAACTCACAGAGTTGAACTTTCATTTACACAGAGCATCTTTGAAACACTCTTTTTGTGGAATTTGCAAGTGGAGATTTCAAGCGCTTTGAGGCCAAAGGCAGAAAAGGAAATATCTTCGTTTCAAAACTAGACAGAATCATTCTCAGAAACTGCTCTGCGATGTGTGCGTTCAACTCTCAGAGTTTAACTTTTCTTTTCATTCAGCAGTTTGGAAACACTCTGTTTGTAAAGTCTGCACGTGGATAACTTGACCACTTAGAGGCCTTCGTTGGAAACGGGTTTTTTTCCTGTAAGGCTAGACAGAAGAATTCCCAGTAACTTCCTTGTGTTGTGTGCATTCAACTCACAGAGTTGAACGTTCCCTTAGACAGAGCAGATTTGAAGCACTCTATTTGTGCAATTTGCAAGTGTAGATTTCAAGCGCTTTATGGTCAATGGCAGAAAAGGAAATATCTTCATTTCAAAACTAGACAGAATCATTCCCACAAACTGCGTTGTGATGTGTTCGTTCAACACACAGAGTTTAACCTTTCTGTTCATAGAGCAGTTAGGAAAAACTCTGTTTGTAAAGTCTGTAAGTAGATATTCTGACATCTTGTGGCCTTCGTTGGAAACGGGATTTCTTCATATTCTGCTAGACAGAAGAATTCTCAGTAACTTCCTTGTGTTGTGTGTATTCCTCTCACAGAGTTGAACGATCCTTTACACAGAGCAGACTTGAAAACAGTCTCTTTTGTGGAATTTGCAAGTGGAGATTTCAGCCGCTTTGAGGTCAATGGTAGAAAAGGAAATATCTTCGTATAAAGACTAGACAGAATGATTCTCAGAAACTCCTTTGTGATGTGTGTGTTCAACTCACAGAGTTTAACCTTTCTTTTCATAGAGCAGTTAGGAAACACTCTGTTTATAAAGTCTGCAAGTGGATATTCAGACCCATTTGAGGCCTTCGTTGGAAACGGGATTTCTTCATATTATGCTAGACAGAAGAATTCTCAGTAACTTCCTTGTGTTGTGTGTATTCAACTGACAGAGTTGAACTTTCATTTACAGAGAGCAGATTTGAAACACTGTTTTTGTGGAATTTGCAAGTGGAGATTTCAAGCGCTTTGCGGCCAAAGGCAGAAAAGGAAATATCTTCGTATAAAGACTAGACAGAATCATTCTCAGAAACTGCTCTGCGATGTGTGCGTTCAACTCTCAGAGTTTAACTTTTCTTTTCATTCAGCAGTTTGGAAACACTCTGTTTGTAAAGTCTGCACGTGGATATTTTGACCACTTAGAGGCCTTCTTTGGAAACGGGTTTTTTTCCTGTAAGGCTAGACAGAAGAATTCCCAGGAACTTCCTTGTGTTGTGTACATTCAACTCACAGAGTTGAACGTTCCCTTAGACAGAGCAGATTTGAAACACTCTTTTTGTGCAATTGGCAAATGGAGATTTCAAGCGCTTTAAGGTCAATGGCAGAAAAGGAAATATCTTCGTTTCAAAACTAGACAGAATGATTCTCATAAACTCCTTTGTGATGTGTGCGTTCAACTCACAGAGTTTAACCTTTCTTTTCATAGAGCAGTTAGGAAACACTCTGTTTGAAAAGTCTGCAAGTGGATATTCAGACCTCCTTGAGGCCTTCGTTGGAAACGGGAATTCTTCATATTCTGCTAGACAGAAGAATTCTCAGTAACTTCCTTGTGTGGTGTGTATTCAACTCACAGAGTTGAACGATCCTTTACACAGAGCAGACTTGAAACACTCTTTTTGTGGAATTTGCAAGTGGAGATTTCAGCCGCTTTGAGGTCAATGGTAGAAAAGGAAATATCTTCGTATAAAGACTAGACAGAATGATTCTCAGAAACTCCTTTGTGATGTGTGCGTTCAACTCACAGAGTTTAACCTTTCTTTTCATAGAGCAGTTAGGAAACACTCTGTTTGTAAAGTCTGCAAGTGGATATTCAGACCTCCTTGAGGCCTTCGTTGGAAACGGGATTTCTTCATATTATGCTAGACACAAGAATTCTCAGTAACTTCCTTGTGTTGTGTGTATTCAACTCACAGAATTGAACGATCCTTTACACAGAGCAGACTTGAAACACTCTTTTTGTGGAATTTGCAAGTGGAGATTTCAGCCGCTTTGAGGTCAATGGTAGAATAGGAAATATCTTCCTATAGAAACTAGACAGAGATCATTCTCAGAAACTGCTGCGTGATGTGTGCGTTCAACTCTCAGAGTTTAACTTTTCTTTTCATTCAGCGGTTTGGAAACACTCTGTTTGTAAAGTCTGCACGTGGATATTTTGACCACGTAGAGGCCTTCGTTGGAAACGGGTTTTTTTCATGTAAGGCTAGACAGAAGAATTCCCAGTAACTTCCTTGTGTTGTGTGCATTCAACTCACAGAGTTGAACGTTCCCTTAGACAGAGCAGATTGGAAACACTCTGTGCAATTTGCAAGTGTAGATTTCAAGCGCTTTAAGGTCAACGGCAGAAAAGGAAATATCTTCGTTTCAAAACTAGACAGAATCATTCTCAGAAACTGCTCTGCGATGTGTGCGTTCAACTCTCAGAGTTCAACTTTTCTTTTCATTCAGCAGTTTGGAAACATTCTGTTTGTAAAGTCTGCACGTGGATAATTTGACTACTTAGAGGCCTTCGTTGGAAACGGGTTTTTTTCATGTAAGGCTAGACAGAAGAATTCTCAGTAACTTCCTTGTGTTGTGTGTATTCAACTCACAGAGTTGAACGATCCTTTACACAGAGCAGACTTGTAACACTCTTTTTGTGGAATTCGCAAGTGGAGATTTCAGCAGCTTTGAAGTCAAAGGTAGAAAAGGAAATATCTTCCTATAAAAACTAGACAGAATGATTCTCAGAAACTCCTTTGTGATGTGTGCGTTCAACTCACAGAGTTTAACCATTCTTTTCATAGAGCAGTTAGGAAACACTCTGTTTGTAAAGCCTGCAAGTGGATATTCTGACCTCCTTGAGGCCTTCGTTGGAAACGGGATTTCTTCATATTCTGCTAGACAGAAGAATTCTCAGTAACTTCCTTGTGTTGTGTGTATTCAACTCACAGAGTTGAACGATCCTTTACACAGAGCAGACTTGAAACACTCTTTTTGTGTAATTTGCAAGTGGAGATTTCATCCGCTTTGAGGTCAATAGTAGAAAAGAAAATATCTTCATAGAAAAACTAGACAGAATCATTCTCAGAAACTGCTGCGTGATGTGTGCGTTCAACTCTCACAGTTTAACTTTTCTTTTCATTCAGCGGTTTGGAAACACTCTGTTTGTAAAGTCTGCACGTGGATATTTTGACCACTTAGAGTCCTTCGTTGGAAACGGGTTTTTTTCATGTAAGGCTAGACAGAAGAATTCCCAGTAACTTCCTTGTGTTGTGTGCATTCAACTCACAGAGTTGAACGTCCATTAGACAGAGCAGATTTGAAACACTCTATTTGTGCAATTTGCAAGTGTAGATTTCAAGCGCTTTAAGGTCAATGGCAGAAAAGGAAATATCTTCGTTTCAAAACTAGACAGAATCATTCCCACAAACTGCCTTGTGATATGTTCGTTCAACTCACAGAGTTTAACCTTTCTGTTCATAGAGCAGTTAGGAAACACTCTGTAACGTCTGTAAGTGGATATTCTGACATCTTGTGGCCTTCGTTGGAAACGGGATTTCTTCATATTCTGCTAGACAGAAGAATTCTCAGTAACTTCCTTGTGTTGTGTGTATTCAACTCACAGAGTTGAACGATCCTTTACACAGAGCAGACTTGAAACACTCTTTTTGTGGAATTTGCAAGTGGAGATTTCAGCCGCTATGGGGTCAATGGTAGAATAGGAAATATCTTCCTATAGAAACTAGACAGAATGATTCTCATAAACTCCTTTGTGATGTGTGCGTTCAACTCACAGAGTTTAACCTTTCTTTTCATAGAACAGTTAGGAAACACTCTGTTTGTAAAGTCTGCAAGTGGATATTCAGACCTCCTTGAGGCCTTCGTTGGAAACGGGATTTCTTCATATTCTGCTAGACAGAAGAATTCCCAGTAACTTCCTTGTGATGTGTGTGTTCAACTCACAGAGTTGAACTTTCATTTACACAGAGCAGATTGGAAACACTCTTTTTGTGGAATTTGCAAGTGGAGATTTCAAGCGCTTTGAGGCCAAAGGCAGAAAAGGAAATATCTTCGTATAAAAACTACACAGAATCATTCTCAGAAACTGCTCTGCGATGTGTGCGTTCAACTCTCAGAGTTTAACTTTTCTTTTCATTCAGCAGTTTGGAAACACTCTGTTTGTAAAGTCTGCACGTGGATAATTTGACCACTTAGAGGCCTTCGTTGGAAACGGGTTTTTTTCCTGTAAGGCTAGACAGAAGAATTCCCAGTAACTTCCTTGTGTTGTGTGCATTCAACTCACAGAGTTGAACGTTCCCTTAGACAGAGCAGATTTGAAACACTCTATTTGTGCAATTTGCAAGTGTAGATTTCAAGCGCTTTAAGGTCAATGGCAGAAAAGGAAATATCTTCGTTTCAAAACTAGACAGAATCATTCCCACAAACTGCGTTGTGATGTGTTCGTTCAACTCACAGAGTTTAACCTTTCTGTTCATAGAGCAGTTAGGAAACACTCTGTTTGTAAAGTCTGTAAGTGGATATTCTGACGTCTTGTGGCCTTCGTTGGAAACGGGATTTCTTCATATTCTGCTAGACAGAAGAATTCTCAGTAACTTCCTTGTGTTGTGTGTATTCAACTCACAGAGTTGAACGATCCTTTACACAGAGCAGACTTGAAACATTCTTTTTGTGGAATTTGCAAGTGGAGATTTTAGCCGCTTTGAGGTCAATGGTAGAATAGGAAATATGTTCCTATAGAAACTAGACAGAATGATTGTCAGAAACTCCTTTGTGATGTGTGCGTTCAACTCACAGAGTTTAACCTTTCTGTTCATAGAGCAGTTAGGAAACACTCTGTTTGTAAAGTCTGCAAGTGGATATTCAGACCTCCTTGAGGCCTTCGTTGGAAACGGGATTTCTTCATATTCTGCTAGACAGAAGAATTCTCAGTAACTTCCTTGTGTTGTGTGTATTCAACTGACAGAGTTGAACTTTCATTTAGAGAGAGCAGATTTGAAACACTGTTTTTGTGGAATTTGCAAGTGGAGATTTCAAGCGGTTTGGGGCCAAAGGCAGAAAAGGAAATATCTTCGTATAAAAACTAGACAGAATCATTCTCAGAAACTGCTGCGTGATGTGTGCGTTCAACTCTCAGAGTTTAACTTTTCTTTTCATTCAGCGGTTTGGAAACACTCTGTTTGTAAAGTCTGCACGTGGATATTTTGACCACTTAGAGGCCTTCGTTGGAAACGGGTTTTTTTCATGTAAGCCTAGACAGAAGAATTCCCAGTAACTTCCTTGTGTTGTGTGCATTCAAGTCACAGAGTTGAACGTTTCCTTAGACAGAGCAGAATTGAAACACTCTATTTGTGCAATTTGCAAGTGTAGATTTCAACCGCTTTAAGGTCAACGGCAGAAAAGGAAATATCTTCGTTTCAAAACTAGACAGAATGATTCTCAGAAACTCCTTTGTGATGTGTGCATTCAACTCACAGTTTAACCTTTCTTTTCATAGAGCAGTTAGGAAACACTCTGTTTGTAAAGTCTGCAAGTGGATATTCAGACCTCCTTGAGGCCTTCGTTGGAAACGGGATTTCTTCATATTATGCTAGACAGAAGAATTCTCAGTAACTTCCTTGTGTTGTGTGTATTCAACTCACAGAGTTGAACGATGCTTTACACAGAGCAGACTTGAAACACTCTTTTTGTGGAATTTGCAAGTGGAGATTTCAGCCGCTTTGAGGTCAATGGTAGAAAAGGAAATATCTTCGTATAAAAACTAGACAGAATGATTCTCAGAAACTCCTTTGTGATGTGTGCGTTCAACTCACAGAGTTTAACCTTTCTTTTCATAGAACAGTTAGGAAACACTGTGTTTGTAAAGTCTGCAAGTGGATATTCAGACCTCCTTAAGGCCTTCGTTGGAAACGGGATTTCTTCATATTATGCTAGACAGAAGAATTCTCAGTAACTTCCTTGTGTTGTGTGTATTCAACTGACAGAGTTGAACTTTCATTTAGAGAGAGCAGATTTGAAACACTGTTTTTGTGGAATTTGCAAGTGGAGATTTCAAGCGCTTTGGGGCCAAAACTAGACAGAATGATTCTCAGAAACTCCTTTGTGATGTGTGCGTTCAACTCACAGAGTTTAACCTTTCTTTTCATTCAGCGGTTTGGAAACACTCTGTTTGTAAAGTCTGCACGTGGATATTCAGACCTCTTTGAGGCCTTCGTTGGAAACGGGTTTTTTTCATGTAAGGCTAGACAGAAGAATTCCCAGTAACTTCCTTGTGTTGTGTGCATTCAACTCACAGAGTTGAACGTTCCTTTAGACAGAGCAGATTTGAAACACTCTATTTGTGCAATTTGCAAGTGTAGTTTTCAAGCTCTTTAAGGTCAACGGCAGAAAAGGAAATATCTTGGTTTCAAAACTAGACAGAATCATTCCCACAAACTGCGTTGTGATGTGTTCGTTCATCTCACAGAGTTTAACCTTTCTTTTCATAGAGCAGTTAGGAAACAGTCTGTTTGTACATTCTGTAAGTGGATATCCTGACATCTTGTGGCCTTCGTTGGAAACGGGATTTCTTCATATTCTGCTAGACAGAAGAATTCTCAGTAACTTCCTTGTGTTGTGTGTATTCAACTCACAGAGTTGAACGATCCTTTACACAGAGCAGACTTGAAACACTCTTTTTGTGGAATTTGCAAGTGGAGATTTCAGCCGCTTTGATTTCAATGGTAGAAAAGGAAATATCTTCGTATAAAGACTAGACAGAATGATTCTCAGAAACTCCTTTGTGATGTGTGCGTTCAACTCACAGAGTTTAACCTTTCTTTTCATAGAGCAGTTAGGAAACACTCTGTTTGTAAAGTCTGCAAGTGGATATTCAGACATCTATGAGGCCTTCGTTGGAAACGGGATTTCTTCATGTTCTGCTAGACAGAAGAATTCTCAGTAACTTTCCTTGTGTTGTGTGTTTTCAACTCACAGAGTTGAACGATCCTTTACACAGAGCAGACTTGAAACACTCCTTTTGTGGAATTTGCAAGTGGAGATTTCAGCCGCTTTGAGGTCAATGGTACAATAGGAAATATCTTCCTATAGAAAGTAGACAGAATGATTCTGAGAAACTCCTTTGTGATGTGTGCGTTCAACTCACAGAGTTTAACCTTTCTTTTCATAGAGCAGTTAGGAAACACTCTGTTTGTAAAGTCTGCAAGTGGATATTCAGACATCTTTGAGGCTTTCTTTGGAAACGGGATTTCTTCATATTCTGCTATACAGAAGAATTCTCAGAAACTTCCTTGTGTTGTGTGTATTCAACTCACAGAGTTCAACGATCGTTTACACAGAGCAGACTTGAGACACTCTTTTTGTGGAATTTGCAAGTGGAGATTTCAGCCGCTTTGAGGTCAATGGTAGAAAAGGAAATATCTTCATATAAAAAATAGACAGAATCATTCCCACAAACTGCGTTGTGATGTGTTCGTTCAACTCACAGAGTTTAACCTTCCTGTTCATAGAGCAGTTAGGAAACACTCTGTTTGTAAAGTCTGTAAGTGGATATTCTGACATCTTGTGGCCTTCGTTGGGAACGGGATTTCTTCATATTCTGCTAGACAGAAGAATTCTCAGAATCTTCCTTGTGTTGTGTGTATTCAACTCACAGAGTTGAACGATGGTTTACTCAGAGCAGATTTGAAACACTCTTTTTGTGGAATTTGCAAGTGGAGATTTCAGCCGCTTTGAGGTCAATGGTAGAAAAGGAAATATCTTCGTACAAAAACTAGACAGAATGATTCTCAGAAACTCCTTTGTGATGTGTGCGTTCAACTCACACAGTTTAACCTTTCTTTTCATAGAGCAGTTAGGAAACACTCTGTTTGTAAAGTCTGCAAGTGGATATTCACACCTCCTTGAGGCCTTCGTTGGAAACGGGATTTCTTCATATTATGCTAGACAGAAGAATTCCCAGTAACTTCCTTGTGTTGTGTGTGTTCAACTCACAGAGATGAACTCTCATTTACACAGAGCAGATTTGAAACTCTCTTTTTGTGTAATTTGCAAATGGAGATTTCAAGCGCTTTGAGGCCAAAGGCAGAAAAGGAAATATCTTCGTATAAAAACTAGACAGAATCATTCTCAGAAACTGCTCTGCGATGTGTGCGTTCAACTCTCAGAGTTTAACTTTTCTTTTCATTCAGCAGTTTGGAAACACTCTGTTTGTAAAGTCTGCACGTGGATATTTTGACCACTTAGAGGCCTTCGTTGGAAACGGGATTTTTTCCTGTAAGGCTAGACAGAAGAATTCCCAGTAACTTCCTTGTGTTGTGTGTGTTCAACTCACTGAGTTGAACTTTCATTTACCCAGAGCAGATTTGAAACACTCTTTTTGTGGAATTTGCAAGTGGAGATTTCAAGCGCTTTGAGGCCAAAGGCAGAAAAGGAAATATCTTCGTTTCAAAACTAGACAGAATCATTCTCAGAAACTGCTCTGCAATGTGTGCGTTCAACTCTCAGAGTTTAACTTTTCTTTTCATTCAGCAGTTTGGAAACACTCTGTTTGTAAAGTCTGCACGTGGATAATTTGACCACTTAGAGGCCTTCTTTGGAAACGGGTTTTTTTCATGTAAGGCTAGACAGAAGAATTCTCAGTAACTTCCTTCTGTTGTGTGTATTCAACTCACAGAGTTGAACGTTCCTTTACACACAGCAGACTTGAAACACTCTTTTTGTGGAATTTGCAAGTGGAGATTTCAGCCGCTTTGTGGTCAATGGTAGAAAAGGAAATATCTTCGTATAAAAACTAGACAGAATGATTCTCAGAAACTCCTTTGTGATGTGTGTGTTCAACTCACAGAGTTTAACCTTTCTTTTCATAGAGCAGTTAGGAAACACTCTGTTTGTAAAGTCTGCAAGTGGATATTCAGACCTCTTTGAGGCCTTCGTTGGAAACGGGTTTTTTTCATGTAAGGCTAGACAGAAGAATTCTCAGTAACTTCCTTGTGTTGTGTGTATTCAACTGACAGAGTTGTACTTTCGTTTAGAGAGAGCAGATTTGAAACACTGTTTTTGTGGAATTTGCAAGTGGAGATTTCAAGCGCTTTGGGGCCAAAGGCAGAAAAGGAAATATCTTCGTATAAAAACTAGACAGAATCATTCTCAGAAACTGCTGCGTGATGTGTGCTTTCAACTCTCAGAGTTTAACTTTTCTTTTCATTCAGCGGTTTGGAAACACTCTGTGTGTAAAGTCTGCACGTGGATATTTTGACCACTTAGAGGCCTTCGTTGGAAACGGGTTTTTTTCATGTAAGGCTAGACAGAAGAATTCTCAGTAACTTCCTTGTTTTGTGTGTATTCAACTCACAGAGTTGAACGATCCTTTACACAGAGCAGACTTGTAACACTCTTTTTGTGGAATTTGCAAGTGGAGATTTCAGCCGCTTTGAAGTCAAAGGTAGAAAAGGAAATATCTTCTTATAAATACTAAACAGAATCATTCGCACAAACTGCGTTGTGATGTGTTCGTTCAACTCACAGAGTTTAACCTTTCTTTTCATAGAGCAGTTAGGAAACAGTCTGTTTGAAAATTCTGTAAGTGGATATTCTGACATCTTGTGGCCTTCGTTGGAAACGGGATTTCTTCATATTCTGCTAGACAGAAGAATTCTCAGAATCTTCCTTGTGTTGTGTGTATTCAACTCACAGAGTTGAACGATGGTTTACACAGAGCAGATTTGAAACACTCATTTGGTGGAATTTGCAAGTGGAGATTTCAGCCGCTTTGAGGTCAATGGTAGAAAAGGAAATATCTTCGTATAACAACTAGACAGAATTATTCTCAGAAACTCCTTTGTGATGTGTGCGTTCAACTCACAGAGTTTAACCTTTCTTTTCATAGAGCAGTTAGGAAACACTCTGTTTGTAAGGTCTGCAAGTGGATATTCAGAGATCCTTGAGGCCTTCTTTGGAAACGGGATTTCTTCATATTATGCTGGACAGAAGAATTCTCAGTAACTTCCTTGTGTTGTGTGTATTCAACTGACAGAGTTGAACTTTCATTTAGAGAGAGCAGATTTGAAACACTGTTTGTGTGGAATTTGCAAGTGGAGATTTCAAGCGCTTTGGGGCCAAAGGCAGAAAAGGTAATATCTTCGTATAAAAACTAGACAGAATCATTCTCAGAAACTGCTCTGCGATGTGTGCGTTCAACTCTCAGAGTTTAACTTTTCTTTTCATTCAGCAGTTTGGAAACACTCTGTTTGTAAAGTCTGCACGTGGATAATTTGACCACTTAGAGGCCTTCATTGGAAACGGGTTTTTTTCCTGTAAGGCTAGACAGAAGAATTCCCAGTAACTTCCCTTGTGTTGTGTACATTCAACTCACAGAGTTGAACGTTCCCTTAGACAGAGCAGATTTGAAACACTCTTTTTGTGCAATTGGCAAGTGGTGATTTCAGCCTCTTTGAGGTCAATGGTAGAAAAGGAAATATCTTCGTATAAAAACTAGACAGAATGATTCTCAGAAACTCCTTTGTGATGTGTGTGTTCAACTCACAGAGTTTAACCTTTCTTTTCATAGAGCAGTTAGGAAACACTCTGTTTGTAAAGTCTGCAAGTGGATATTCAGACCTGCTTTGAGGCCTTCGTTGGAAACGGGTTTTTTTCATATAAGGCTAGACAGAAGAATTCCCAGTAACTTCCTTGTGTTGTGTGTGTTCAACTCACAGAGTTGAACTTTCATTTACACAGAGCAGATTTGAAACACTCTTTTTGTGGAATTTGCAAGTGGAGATTTCAGCCGCTTTGAGGTCAATGGTAGAAAAGGAAATATCTTCGTATAAAAACTAGACAGAATGATTCTCAGAAACTCCTTTGTGATGTGTGCGTTCAACTCACAGAGTTTAACCTTTCTTTTCATAGAGCAGTTAGGAAACACTCTGTTTGTAAACTCTGCAAGTGGATATTCAGACCTCTTTGAGGCCTTCGTTGGAAACGGGATTTCTTCATACTATGCTAGACAGAAGAATTCTTAGTAACTTCCGCGTGTTGTGTGTATTCAACTCACAGAGTTGAACGATCCTTTACACAGAGCAGACTTGAAACACTCTTTTTGTGGAATTTGCAAGTGGAGATTTCCGCCGCTATGTGGTCAATGGTAGAAAAGGAAATATCTTCCTATAAAAACTAGACAGAATCATTCTCAGAAACTGCTGCGTGATGTGTGCGTTCAACTCTCAGAGTTTAACTTTTCTTTTCATTCAGCCGTTTGGAAACACTCTGTTTGTAAAGTCTGCACGTGGATATTTTGACCACTTAGAGGCCTTCGTTGGAAACGGGTTTTTTGCATGTAAGGCTAAACAGAAGAATTCCCAGTAACTTCCTTGTGTTGTGTGCATTCAACTCACAGAGTTGAACGTTCCCTTAGGCAGAGCAGATTTGAAACACTCTATTTGTGCAATTTGCAAGTGTAGATTTCAAGCGCTTTAAGGTCAATGGCAGAAAAGGAAATATCCTCGTTTCAAAACTAGACAGAATGATTCTCAGAAAATTCTTTGTGATGTGTGCGTTCCACTCACAGAGTTTAACCTTTCTTTTCATAGAGCAGTTAGGAAACACTCTGTTTGTAAACTCTGCAAGTGGATATTCAGACCTCTTTGAGGCCTTCTTTGCAAACGGGATTTCTTCATATTATGCCTGAGAGAAGAATTCTCAGTAACTTCCCTTGTGCTGTGTGTATTCAACTCACAGAGTTGAACGATCCTTTACACAGAGCAGACTTGATACACTCTTTTTGTGGAATTTGCAAGTGGAGATTTCAGCCGCTTTGAGGTCAATGGTAGAAAAGGAAATATCTTCGTATAAAAACTAGACAGAAATGATTCTCATAAACTCCTTTGTGATGTGTGCGTTCAACTCACAGAGTTTAACCTTTCTTTTCATAGAGCAGTTAGGAAACACTCTGTTTGTAAAGTGTGCAAGTGGATATTCAGACCTCCTTGAGGCCTTCGTTGGAAACGGGATTTCTTCATATTCTGCTAGACAGAGAATTCCCAGTAACTTCCTTGTGTTGTGTGTGTTCAACTCACACAGTTGAACTTTCATTTACACAGAGCAGATTTGAAACACTCTTTTTGTGGAATTTGCAAATGGAGATTTCAGCCGCGTTGAGGTCAACGGTAGAAAAGGAAATATCTTCGTTTCAAAACTAGACAGAATCATTCTCAGAAACTGCTGCATGATGTGTGCGTTCAACTCTCAGAGTTTAACTTTTCTTTTCATTCAGCGGTTTGGAAACACTCTGTTTGTAAAGTCTGCACGTGGATATTTTGACCACTTAGAGGCCTTCGTTGGAAACGGGTTTTTTTCATATAAGGCTAGACAGAAGAATTCCCAGTAACTTCCTTGTGTTGTGTGCATTCAACTCACAGAGTTGAACGTTCCCTTAGACAGAGCAGATTTGAAACACTCTATTTGTGCAATTTCCAAGTGTAGATTTCAAGCGCTTTAAGGTCAACGGCAGAAAAGGAAATATCTTCGTTTCAAAACTAGACAGAATGATTCTCAGAAACTTCTTTGTGATGTGTGCGTTCAACTCACAGAGTTTAACCTTTCTTTTCATAGAGCAGTTAGGAAACAGTCTGTTTGAAAATTCTGTAAGTGGATATTCTGACATCTTGTGGCCTTCGTTGGAAACGGGATTTCTTCATATTCTGCTAGACAGAAGAATTGTCAGTAACTTCCTTGTGTTGTGTGTATTCAACTCACAGAGTTGAATGATCCTTTACACAGAGCAGACTTGAAACACTCTTTATGTGGAATTTGCAAGTGGAGATTTCAGCCGCTTTGAGTTCAATGGTAGAATAGGAAATATCTTCCTATAGAAACTAGACAGAATGATTCTCAGAAACTCCTTTGTGATGTGTGCGTTCAACTCACAGAGTTTATCCTTTCTTTTCATAGAGCAGTTAGGAAACACTCTGTTTGTAAAGTCTGCATGTGGATATTCAGACATCATTGAGGCCTTCGTTGGAAACGGGATTTCTTCATGTTCTGCTAGACAGAAGAATTCTCAGTAACTTCCTTGTGTTGTGTGTATTCAACTGACAGAGTTGAACTTTCATTTAGAGAGAGCAGATTTGAAACACTGTTTTTGTGGAATTTTCAAGTGGAGATTTCAAGCGCTTTGGGGCCAAAGGCAGAAAAGGAAATATCTTCGTATAAAAACTAGACAGAATCATTCTCAGAAACTGCTCTGCGATGTGTGCGTTCAACTATCAGAGTTTAACTTTGCTTTTCATTCAGCAGTTTGGAAACACTCTGTTTGTAAAGTCTGCACGTGGATAATTTGACCACTTAGAGGCCTTCGTTGGAAACGGGTTTTTTTCATGTAAGGCTAGACAGAAGAATTCCCAGTAACTTCCTTGTGTTGTGTACATTCAACTCACAGAGTTGAACGTTCCTTTAGACAGAGCAGATTTGAAACACTCTTTTTGTGCAATTGGCAAATGGAGATTTCAAGCGCTTTAAGGTCAATGGCAGAAAAGGAAATATCTTCGTTTCAAAACTAGACAGAATCATTCCCACAAACTGCGTTGTGATGTGTTCGTTCAAATCACAGAGTTTAAACTTTCTTTTCATAGAGCAGTTAGGAAACAGTCTGTTTGTAAATTCTGTAAGTGGATATTCTGACATCTTGTGGCCTACGTTGGAAACGGGATTTCTTCAAATTCTGCTAGACAGAATAATTCTCAGTAACTTCCTTGTGTTGTGTGTATTCAACTCACAGAGTTGAACGATCCTTTACAGAGAGCAGGCTTGAAACAGTCTTTTTGTCGAATTTGCAAGTGGAGATTTCAGCCGCTTTGAGGTCAATGGTAGAATAGGAAATATCTTCTTATAGAAACTAGACAGAATGATTCTCAGAAACTCCTTTGTGATGCGTGCGTTCAACTCACAGAGTTTAACCTTTCTTTTCATAGAGCAGTTAGGAAACACTCTGTTTGTAAAGTCTGCAAGTGGATATTCAGACATCCTTGAGGCTTTCGTTGGAAACGGGATTTCTTCATATTCTGCTAGAAAGAAGAATTCTCAGTAACTTCCTTGTGTTGTGTGTATTCAACTGACAGAGTTGAACTTTCATTTAGAGAGAGCAGATTTGAAACACTGTTTTTGTGGAATTTGCAAGTGGAGATTTCAAGCGCTTTGTGGCCAAAGGCAGAAAAGGAAATATCTTCGTATAAAAACTAGACAGAATCATTCTCAGAAACTGCTGCGTGATGTGTGCGTTCAACTCTCAGAGTTTAACTTTTCTTTTGATTCAGCGGTTTGGAAACACTCTGTTTGTAAAGTCTGCACGTGGATATTTTGACCACTTAGAGGCCTTCGTTGGAAACGGGTTTTTTTCATGTAATGCTAGACAGAAGAATTCCCAGTAACTTCCTTGTTTTGTGTGCATTCAACTCACAGAGTTTAACGTTCCCTTAGACAGAGCAGATTTGAAACACTCTATTTGTGCAATTTGCAAGTGTAGATTTCAAGCGCTTTAAGGTCAACGGCAGAAAAGGAAATATCTTCGTTTCAAAACTAGACAGAATCATTCCCACAAACTGCGTTGTGATGTGTTCGTTCAACTCACAGAGTTTAACCTTTCTGTTCATAGAGCAGTTAGGAAACACTCTGTTTGTAAACTCTGTAAGTGGATATTCTGACATCTTGTGGCCTTCGTTGGAAACGGGATTTCTTCACATTCTGCTAGACAGAAGAATTCTCAGTAACTTCCTTGTGTTGTGTGTATTCAACTCACAGAGTTGAATGATCCTTTACACAGAACAGTCTTGAAACACTCTTTTTGTGGAATTTGCTAGTGGAGATTTCAGCCGCTTTGATGTCAATGGTAGAATAGGAAATATCTTCCTATAGAAACTAGACAGAATGATTCTCAGAAACTCCTTTGTGATGTGTGCGTTCAACTCACAGAGTTTAACCTTTCTTTTCATAGAGCAGTTAGGAAACACTCTGTTTGTAAAGTCTGCAAGTGGATATTCAGACCTCTTTGAGGCCTTCGTTGGAAACGGGTTTTTTTCATATAAGGCTAGAGAGAAGAATTCCCAGTAACTTCCTTGTGTTGTGTGTGTTCAACTCACAGAGTTGAACTTTCATTTACACAGAGCAGATTTGAAACACTCTTTTTGTGGAATTTGCAAATGGAGATTTCAAGCGCTTTGAGGCCAAAGGCAGAAAAGGAAATATCTTCGTATAAAAACTGGACAGAATCATTCTCAGAAACTGCTCTGCGATGTGTGCGTTCAACTCTCAGAGTTTAACTTTTCTTTTCATTCAGCAGTTTGGAAACACTCTGTTTGTAAAGTCTGCACGTGGATAACTTGACCGCTTAGAGGCCTTCGTTGGAAACGGGTTTTTTTCACGTAAGGCTAGACAGAAGAATTCCCAGTAACTTCCTTGTGTTGTGTGCATTCAACTCACAGAGTTGAACGTTCCCTTAGACAGAGCAGATTTGAAACACTCTACTTGTGCAATTTGCAAGTGTAGATTTCAAGCGCTTTAAGGTCAATGGCAGAAAAGGAAATATCTTCGTTTCAAAACTAGACAGAATCATTCCCACAAACTGCGTTGTGATGTGTTCGTTCAACTCACAGAGTTTAACCTTTCTGTTCATAGAGCAGTTAGAAAACACTCTGTTTGTAAAGTCTGTAAGTGGATATTCTGACATTTTGTGGCCTTCGTTGGAAATGGGATTTCTTCATATTCTGCTAGACAGAAGAATTCTCAGTAACTTCCTTGTGTTGTGTGTATTCAACTCACAGAGTTGAACTATCCTTTACACAGAGCAGACTTGAAACACTCGTTTTGTGGAATTTGCAAGTGGAGATTTCAGCCGCTTTGAGGTCAATGGTAGAAAAGGAAATATCTTCGTATAAAAACTAGACAGAATGATTCTCAGAAACTCCTTTGTGATGTGTGTGTTCAACTCACAGAGTTTAACCTTTCTTTTCATAGAGCAGTTAGGAAACACTCTGTTTGTAAAGTCTGCAGGTGGATATTCAGACCTCTTTGAGGCCTTCGTTGGAAACGGGTTTTTTTCATATAAGGCTAGACAGAAGAATTCCCAGTAACTTCCTTGTGTTGTCTGTGTTCAACTCACAGAGTTGAACTTTCATTTACACAGAGCAGATTTGAAACACTCTTTTTGTGGAATTTGCAAGTGGAGATTTCAAGCGCTTTGAGGCCAAAGGCAGAAAAGGAAATATCTTCGTTTCAAAACTAGACAGAATCATTCTCAGAAACTGCTCTGCGATGTGTGCGTTCAACTCTCAGAGTTTAACTTTTCTTTTCATTCAGCAGTTTGGAAACACTCTGTTTGTAAAGTCTGCACGTGGATAACTTGACCACTTAGAGGCCTTCGTTGGAAACGGGTTTTTTTCATGTAAGGCTAGACAGAAGAATTCTCAGTAACTTCCTTGTGTTGTCTGTATTCAACTCACAGAGTTGAACGATCCTTTACAGAGAGCAGACTTGTAACACTCTTTTTGTGGAATTTGCAAGTGGAGATTTCAGCCACTTTGAAGTCAAAGGTAGAAAAGGAAATAACTTCCTATAAAAACTAGACAGAATCATTCCCACAAACTCCGTTGTGATGTGTTCGTTCAACTCACAGAGTTTAACCTTTCTGTTCATAGAGCAGTTAGGAAACACTCTGTTTGTAAAGTCTGTAAGTGGATATTCTGACATCTTGTGGCCTTCGTTGGAAACGGGATTTCTTCATATTCTGCTAGACAGAAGAATTCTCAGTAACTTCCTTGTGTTGTGTGTATTCAACTCACAGAGTTGAACGATCCTTTACACAGAGCAGACTTGAAACACTCTTTTTGTGGAATTTGCAAGTGGAGATTTCAGCCGCTTTGAGGTCAATGGTAGAAAAGGAAATATGTTCGTATAAAGATTAGACAGAATGATTCTCAGAAACTCCTTTGTGATGTGTGTGTTCAACTCACAGAGTTTAACCTTTCTTTTCATAGAGCAGTTAGTAAACACTCTGTTTATAAAGTCTGCATGTGGATATTCAGACCCCTTTGAGGCCTTCGTTGGAAACGGGATTTCTTCATATTATGCTAGACAGAAGAATTCCCAGTAACTTCCTTGTGTTGTGTGTGTTCAACTCACAGAATTGAACTTTCATTTACCCAGAGCAGATTTGAAACACTCTTTTTGTGGAATTTGCAAGTGGAGATTTCAAGCGCTTTGAGGCCAAAGGCAGAAAAGGAAATATCTTCGTTTCAAAACTAGACAGAATCATTCTCAGAAACTGCTCTGCGATGTGTGCGTTCAACTCTCAGAGTTTAACTTTTCTTTTCATTCAGCAGTTTGGAAACACTCTGTTTGTAAAGTCTGCACGTGGATATTTTGACCATTTAGAGGCCTTCGTTGGAAACGGGTTTTTTTCTTGTAAGGCTAGACAGAAGAATTCCCAGTAACTTCCTTGTGTTGTGTACATTCAACTCACAGAGTTGAACGTTCCCTTAGACAGAGCAGATTTGAAACACTCTTTTTGTGCAATTGGCAAGTGGAGATTTCAAGCGCTTTAAGGTCAATGGCAGAAAAGGAAATATCTTCGTTTCAAAACTAGAGAGATAATCATTCCCACAAACTGCGTTGTGATGTGTTCGTTCAACTCACAGAGTTTAACCTTTCTTTTCATAGAGCAGTTAGGAAACAGTCTGTTTGTCAATTCTGTAAGTGGATATTCTGACATCTTGTGGCCTTCGTTGGAAACGGGATTTCTTCATATTCTGCTAGACAGAAGAATTCTCAGTAACTTCCTTGTGTTGTGTGTATTCAACTCACAGAGTTGAACGATCCTTTACACAGAACAGACTTATAACACTCTTTTTGTGGAATTTGCAAGTGGAGATTTCAGCCACTTTGAAGTCAAAGGTAGAAAAGGAAATAACTTCCTATAAAAACTAGACAGAATGATTCTCAGAAACTTCTTTGTGATGTGTGCGTTCAACTCACAGAGTTTAACCTTTCTTTTCATAGAGCAGTTAGGAAACACTCTGTTTGTAAACTCTGCAAGTGGAAATTCAGACCTCTTTGAGGCCTTCGTTGGAAACGGGATTTCTTCATACTATGCTAGACAGAAGAATTCCCAGTAACTTCCTTGTGTTGTGTGTGTTCAAGTCACAGAGTTGAACTTTCATTTACACAGAGAAGATTTGAAACACTGTTTTTGTGGAATTTGCAAGTGGAGATTTCAAGCGCTTTGAGGCCAAAGGCAGAAAAGGAAATATCTTCGTTTCAAAACTAGACAGAATCATTCTCAGAAACTGCTCTGCGATGTGTGCGTTCAACTCTCAGAGTTTAACTTTTCTTTTCATTCAGCAGTTTGGAAACACTCTGTTTGTAAAGTCTGCACGTGGATATTTTGACCACTTAGAGGCCTTCGTTGGAAACGGGTTTTTTTCATGTAAGGCTAGACAGAAGAATTCTCAGTAACTTCCTTGTGTTGTGTGTATTCAACTCACAGAGTTGAACGATCCTATACACAGAGCAGACTTGTAACACTCTTTTTGTGGAATTTGCAAGTGGAGATTTCAGCCGCTTTGAAGTCAAAGGTAGAAAAGGAAATATCTTCCTATAAAAACTAGACAGAATGATTCTCAGCAAACTCCTTTGTGATGTGTGCGTTCAACTCACAGAGTTTAACTTTTTTTTTCATAGAGCAGTTAGGAAACACTCTGTTTGTAAAGTCTGCAAGTGGATATTCAGACCTCTTTGAGGCCTTCGTTGGAAACGGGTTTTTTTCATATAAGGCTAGACAGAAGAATTCTCAGTAACTTCCTTGTGTTGTGTGTATTCAACTCACAGAGTTGAACGATCCTTTACACAGAGCAGACTTGAAACACTCTTTTAGTGGAATTTGCAAGTGGAGATTTCAGCCGCTTTGAGGTCAATGGTAGAATAGGAAATATCTTCCTATAGAAACTAGACAGAATGATTTTCAGAAACTCCTTTGTGATGTGTGCGTTCAATTCACAGACTTTAACTTTTCATAGAGCAGTTAGGAAACACTCTGTTTGTAAAGTCTGCAAGTGGATATTCAGACCTCTTTGAGGCCTTCGTTGGAAACGGGATTTCTTCATATTATGCTAGACAGAAGAATTCTCAGTAACTTCCTGGTGTTGTGTGTATTCAACTGACAGAGTTGAACTTTCATTTAGAGAGGGCAGATTTGAAACACTGTTTTTGTGGAATTTGCAAGTGGAGATTTCAAGCGCTTTGGGGCCAAAGGCAGAAAAGGAAATATCTTCGTATAAAAACTAGACAGAATCATTCTCAGAAACTGCTCTGCGATGTGTGCGTTCAACTCTCAGAGTTTAACTTTGCTTTTCATTCAGCAGTTTTGAAACACTCTGTTTGTAAAGTCTGCACGTGGATAATTTGACCACTTAGAGGCCTTCGTTGGAAACGGGTTTTTTTCATGTAAGGCTAGACAGAAGAATTCCCAGTAACTTCCTTGTGTTGTGTGCATTCAACTCACAGAGTTGAACGTTCCCTTAGACCGAGCAGATTTGACACACTCTATTTGTGCAATTTGCAAGTGTAGATTTCAAGCGCTTTAAGGTCAACGGCAGAAAAGGAAATATCTTCGTTTCAAAACTAGACAGAATCATTCCCACAAACTGCGTTGTGATGTGTTCGTTCAACTCACAGAGTTTAACCTTTCTTTTCATAGAGCACTTAGGAAACAGTCTGTTTGTAAATTCTGTAAGTGGATATTCTGACATCTTGTGGCCTTCGTTGGAAACGGGATTTCTTCATATTCTGCTAGACAGAAGAATTCTCAGAATCTTCCTTGTGTTGTGTGTATTCAACTCACAGAGTTGAACGATCCTTTTCACAGAGCAGACTTGAAACACTGTTTTTGTGGAATTTGCAAGTGGAGATTTCAGCCGCGTTGAGGTCAATGGTAGAAAAGGAAATATCTTCGTATAAAAACTAGACAGAATGATTCTCAGAAACTTCTTTGTGACGTGTGCGTTCAACTCACAGAGTTTAACCTTTCTTTTCATAGAGCAGTTAGGAAACACTCTGTTTGTAAACTGTGCAAGTGGATGTTCAGACCTCTTTGAGGCCTTCGTTGGAATCGGGATTTCTTCATACTGTGCTAGACAGAAGATTTCTCAGTAACTTCCTTGTGTTGTGTGTATTCAACTCACAGAGTTGAACGATCCTTTACACAGAGCGGACTTGAAACACTCTTTTTGTGGAATTTGCAAGTGGAGATTTCAGCCGCGTTGAGGTCAATGGTAGAAAAGGAAATCTCTTCGTATAAAAACTAGACAGAATCATTCTCAGAAACTGCTCTGCGATGTGTGCGTTCAACTCTCAGAGTTTAACTTTTCTTTTCATTCAGCAGTTTGGAAACACTCTGTTTGTAAAGTCTGCACGTGGATATTTTGACCACTTAGAGGACTTCGTTGGAAACGGGTTTTTTTCCTGTAAGGCTAGACAGAAGAATTCCCAGTAACTTCCTTGTGTTGTGTACATTCAACTCACAGAGTTGAACGTTCCCTTAGACAGAGCAGATTTGAAACACTCTTTTTGTGCAATTGGCAAGTGGAGATTTCAAGCGCTTTAAGGTCAATGGCAGAAAAGGAAATATCTTCGTTTCAAAACTAGACAGAATCATTCCCACAAACTGCGTTGTGATGTGTTCGTTCAACTCACAGAGTTTAACTTTTCTTTTCATAGAGCAGTTAGGAAACACTCTGTTTGTAAAGTCTGCAAGTGGATATTCAGACCTCCTTGAGGCCTTCGTTGGAAACGGGATTTCTTCATATTCTGCTAGACAGAAGAATTCTCAGTAACTTCCTTGTGTTGTGTGTATTCAACTCACAGAGTTGAACGATCCTTTACACAGAGCAGACTTGAAACACTCTATTTGTAGAACTTGCAAGTGGAGATTTCAGCCGCTTTGAGGTCAATAGTAGAAAAGGAAATATCTTCGTAGAAAAACTAGACAGAATGATTCTCAGATACTCCTTTGTGATGTGTGCGTTCAACTCACAGAGTTTAACCTTTCTTTTCATAGAGCAGTTAGGAAACACTGCGTTTGTAAAGTCTGCAAGTGGATATTCAGACCTCCTTGAGGCCTTCGTTGGAAACGGGATTTCTTCATATTATGCTAGACAGAAGAATTCCCAGTAACTTCCTTGTGTTGTGTGTGTTTAACTCACAGAGTTGAACTTTGATTTACACAGAGCAGATTTGAAACACTCTTTTTGTGGAATTTGCAAGTGGAGATTTCAAGCGCTTTGAGGCCAAAGGCAGAAAAGGAAATATCTTCGCATAAAAACTAGACAGAATCATTCTCAGAAACTGCTGCGTGATGTGTGCGTTCAACTCTCAGAGTTTAACTTTTCTTTTCATTCAGCGGTTTGGAAACACTCTGTTTGTGAAGTCTGCCCGTGGATATTTTGACCCCTTAGAGGCCTTCGTTGGAAACGGGTTTTTTTCATGTAAGGCTAGACAGAAGAATTCTCAGTAACTTCCTTGTGTTGTGTACATTCAACTCACAGAGTTGAACGTTCCCTTAGACACAGCAGATTTGAAACACTCTTTTTGTGCAATTGGCAAGTGGAGATTTCAAGCGCTTTGAGGTCAATGGCAGAAAAGGAAATATCTTCGTTTCAAAACTAGACAGAATCATTCCCACAAACTGCGTTGTGATGTGTGCGTTCAACTCAAAGAGTTTAACCTTTCTTTTCATAAAGCAGTTAGGAAACACTCTGTTTGTAAAGTCTGCAAGTGGATATTCAGACCTCCTTGAGGCCTTCGTTGGAAACGGGATTTCTTCATATTCTGCTAGACAGAAGAATTCTCAGTAACTTCCTTGTGTTGTGTGTATTCAACTCACAGAGTTGAAGGATCCTTTACACAGAGCAGACTTGAAACACTCTTTTTGTGGAATTTGCAAGTGGAGATTTCAGCCGCTTTGAGGTCAATGGTAGAAAAGGAAACTATCTTCATATAAAGACTAGACAGAATGATTCTCAGAATCTCCTTTATGATGTGTGCGTTCAACTCACAGAGTTTAACCTTTCTTTTCATAGAGCAGTTAGGAAACACTCTGTTTGTAAAGTCTGCAAGTGGATATTCAGACCTCTTTGAGGCCTTCGTTGGAAACGGGTTTTTTTCATATAAGACTAGACAGAAGAATTCTCAGTAACTTCCTTGTGTTGTGTGTATTCAACTCACAGAGTTGAACTTTCATTTACACAGAGCAGATTTGAAACACTCTTTTTGTGGAATTTGCAAATGGAGATTTCAAGCGCTTTGAGGCCAAAGGCAGAAAAGGAAATATCTTCGTATAAAAACTAGACAGAATCATTCTCAGAAACTGCTCTGCGATGTGTGCGTTCAACTCTCAGATTTTAACTTTTCTTTTCATTCAGCAGTTTGGAAACACTCTGTTTGTAAAGTCTGCACGTGGATATTTTGACCACTTAGAGGCCTTCGTTGGAAACGGGGTTCTTTCCTGTAAGGCTAGACAGAATAATTCCCAGTAACTTCCTAGTGTTGTGTGCATTCAACTCACAGAGATGAACGTTCCCTTAGACAGAGCAGATTTGAAACACTCTGTGCAATTTGCAAGTGTAGATTTCAAGCGCTTTAATGTCAATGGCAGAAAAGGAAATATCTTCGCTTCAAAACTAGACAGAATCATTCCCACAAACTGCGTTGTGATGTGTTCGTTCAACTCACAGAGTTTAACCTTTCTTTTCATAGAGCAGTTAGGAAACAGTCTGTTTGTCAATTCTGTAAGTGGATATTCTGACATCTTGTGGCATTCGTTGGAAACGGGATTTCTTCATATTCTGCTAGACAGAAGAATTCTCAGTAACTTCCTTGTGTAGTGTGTATTCAACTCACAGAGTTGAACGATCCTTTACACAGAGCAGAGTTGAAACACTCTTTTTGTGGAATTTGCAAGTGGAGATTTCAGGCGCTTTGAGGTCAATGGTAGAAAAGGAAATATCTTCGTATAAAGACTAGACAGAATGATTCTCAGAAACTCCTTTGTGATGTGTGCGTTCAACTCACAGAGTTTAACCTTTCTATTCATAGAGCAGTTAGGAAACACTCTGTTTGTCAAGTCTGCAAGTGGATACTCAGACCTCTTTGAGGCCTTCGTTGGAAACGGGTTTTTTTCATATAAGGCTAGACAGAAGAATTCTCAGTAACTTCCTTGTGTTGTGTGTATTCAACTGACAGAGTTGAACTTTCATTTAGAGAGAGCAGATTTCAAACACTGTTTTTGTGGAATTTGCAAGTGGAGATTTCAAGCGCTTTGGGGCCAAAGGCAGAAAAGGAAATATCTTCGTATAAAAACTAGACAGAATCATTCTCAGAAACTGCTCTGTGATGTGTGCGTTCAACTCTCAGAGTTTAACTTTTCTTTTCATTCAGTACTTTGGAAACACTCTGTTTGTAAAGTCTGCACGTGGATATTTTGACCACTTAGAGGCCTTCGATGGAAACGGGGTTTTTTCATTTAAGGCTAGACAGAAGAATTCCCAGTAACTTCCTTGTGTTGTGTGCATTCAACTCACAGAGATGAACGTTCCCTTAGACAGAGCAGATTTGAAACACTCTATTTGTGCAATTTGCAAGTGTAGATTTCAAGCTCTTTAAGGTCAATGGCAGAAAAGGAAATATCTTTGTTTCAAAACTAGACAGAATCATTCCCACAAACTGCGTTGCGATGTGTTCGTTCAACTCACAGAGTTTAACATTTCTTTTCATAGAGCACTTAGGAAACAGTCTGTTTGTAAATTCTGTAAGTGGATATTCTGACATCTTGTGGCCTTCGTTGGAAACAGGATTTCTTCATATTCTGCTAGACAGAAGAATTCTCAGTAACTTCCTTGTGTTGTGTGTATTCAACTCACAGACTTGAAGGATCCTTTACAGAGAGGAGGCTTGAAACCCTCTTTTTGTCGAATTTGCAAGTGGAGATTTCAGCCGCTTTGAGGTCAATGGTAGAATAGGAAATATCTTCTTATAGAAACTAGACAAAATGATTCTCAGAAACTCCTTTGTGATGTGTGCGTTCAACTCACAGAGTTTAACCTTTCTTCTCATAGAGCAGTTAGGAAACACTCTGTTTGTAAAGTCTGCAAGTGGATATTCAGACCTCTTTGAGGCCTTCGTTGGAAACGGGTTTTTTTCATATAAGGCTAGACAGAAGAATTCCCAGTAACTTCCTTGTGTTGTGTGTGTTCAACTCACAGAGTTGAACTTTCATTTACACAGAGCAGATTTGAAACACTCTTTTTGTGGAATTTGCAAGTGGAGATTTCAAGCGCTTTGAGGCCAAAGGCAGAAAAGGAAATATCTTCGTTGCAAAACTAGACAGAAATCATTCTCAGCAAACTGCTGCGTGATGTGTGCGTTCAACTCTCAGAGTTTAACTTTTCTTTTCATTCAGCGGTTTGGAAACACTCTGTTTGTAAAGACTGCACGTGGATATTTTGACCACTTAGAGGCCTTCGTTGGAAAGGGGTTTTTTTTCATGTAAGGCTAGACAGAAGAATTCCCAGTAACTTCCTTGTGTTGTGTACATTCAACTCACAGAGTTGAACGTTCCCTTAGACAGAGCAGATTTGAAACACTCTTTTTGTGCAATTGGCAAGTGGAGATTTCAAGCGCTTTGAGGTCAATGGCAGAAAAGGAAATATCTTCCTTTCAAAACTAGACAGAATCATTCCCACAAACTGCGTTGTGATGTGTTCGTTCAACTCACAGAGTTTAACCTTTCTGTTCATAGAGCAGTTAGCAAACACTCTGTTTGTAAAGTCTGTAAGTGGATATTCAGACATCTTGTGGCCTTCGTTGGAAACAGGATTTCTTCATATTCTGCTAGACAGAAGAATTCTCAGAATCTTCCTTGTGTTGTGTGTATTCAACTCACAGAGTTGAACGATGGTTTACACACAGCAGATTTGAAACACTCTTTTTGTGGTATTTGCAAGTGGAGATTTCAGCCGCTTTGAGGTCAATGGTAGAAAAGGAAATATCTTCGTATAAAAACTAGACAGAACGATTCTCAGAAACTCCTTTGTGATGTGTGCGTTCAACTCACAGAGTTTAACCTTTCTGTTCATAGAGCAGTTAGGAAACACTCTGTTTGTAAAGTCTGCAAGTGGATATTCAGACCTCTTTGAGGCCTTCGTTGGAAACGGGATTTCTTCATATTCTGCTAGACAGAAGAATTCCCAGTAACTTCCTTGTGTTGTGTGTGTTCAACTCACAGAGTTGAACTTTCATTTACGCAGAGCAGATTTGAAACACTCTTTTTGTGGAATTTGCAAGTGGAGATGTCAAGCGCTTTGAGGCCAAAGGCAGAAAAGGAAATATCTTCGTTTCAAAACTAGACAGAATCATTCTCAGAAACTGCTCTGCGATGTGTGCGTTCAACTCTCAGAGTTTAACTTTTCTTTTCATTCAGCAGTTTGAAAACACTCTGTTTGTAAAGTCTGCACGTGGATATTTTGACCACTTAGAGGCCTTCGTTGGAAACGGGTTTTTTTCCTGTAAGGCTAGACAGAAGAATTCCCAGTAACTTCCTTGTGTTGAGTACATTCAACTCACAGAGTTGAACGTTCCCTTAGACAGAGCAGATGTGAAACACTCTTTTTGTACAATTGGCAAGTGGAGATTTCAAGCGCTTTAAGGTCAATGGCAGAAAAGGAAATATCTTCGTTTCAAAACTAGACAGAATGATTCTCAGAAACTTCTTTGTGATGTGTGCGTTCAACTCACAGAGTTTAACCTTTCTTTTCATAGAGCAGTTAGGAAACACTCTGTTTGTAAACTCTGCAAGTGGATATTCAGACCTCTTTGAGGCCTTCGTTGGAAACGGGATTTCTTCATACTGTGCTAGACATAAGAATTCTCAGTAACTTCCTTGTGTTGTGTGTATTCAACTCACAGACTTGAATGATCCTTTACACAGAGCAGACTTGAAACACTCTTTTTGTGGAATGTGCAAGTGGAGATTTCAGCCGCTTTGTGGTCAATGGTAGAATAGGAAATATCTTCCTATAGAAACTAGACAGAATGATTCTCAGAAACTCCTTTGTGATGTGTACGTTCAACTCACAGAGTTTAACCTTTCTTTTCATAGAGCAGTTAGGAAACACTCTGTTTGTAAAGTCTGCAAGTGGATATTGAGACCTCTTTGAGGCCTTCGTTGGAAACGGGTTTTTTACATATAAGGCTAGACAGAAGAATTCCCAGTAAGTTCCTTGTGTTGTGTGTGTTCAACTCACAGAGTTGAACTTTCATTTACACAGAGCAGATTTGAAACACTCTTTTTGTGGAATTTGCAAATGGAGATTTCAAGCGCTTTGAGGCCAAAGGCAGAAAAGGAAATATCTTCGTATAAAAACTAGACAGAATCATTCTCAGAAACTGCTCTGCGATGTGTGCGTTCAACTCTCAGAGTTTAACTTTTCTTTTCATTCAGCAGTTTGGAAACACTCTGTTTGTAAAGTCTGCACGTGGATAATTTGACCACTTAGAGGCCTTCGTTGGAAACGGGTTTTTTTCCTGTAAGGCTAGACAGAAGAATTCTCAGTAACTTCCTTGTGTTGTGTGTATTCAACTCACAGAGTTGAACGATCCTTCACACAGAGCAGACTTGGAAAACTCTTTTTGTGGAATTTGCAAGTGGAGATTTCAGCCGCTTTGAAGTCAAAGGTAGAAAAGGAAATATATTCCTATAAAAAGTAGACAGAATCATTCCCACAAACTGCGTTGTGATGTTTTCGTTCAACTCACAGAGTTTAACCTTTCTTTTCATAGAGCAGTTAGGAAACACTCTGTTGGTAAATTCTGTAAGTGGATATTCTGACATCTTGTGGCCTTCGTTGGAAACGGGATTTCTTCATATTCTGCTAGACAGAAGAATTCTCAGTAACTTCCTTGTGTTGTGTGTATTCAACTCACAGAGTTGAACGATCCTTTACACAGAGCAGACTTGAAACACTCTTTTTGTGGAATTTGCAAGTGGAGATTTCAGCCGCTTTGAGCTCAATGGTAGAATAGGAAATATCTTCCTATAGAAACTAGACAGAACGATTCTCAGAAACTCCTTTGTGATGTGTGCGTTCAACTCACAGAGTTTAACTTTTCTTTTCATAGAGCAGTTAGTAAACACTCTGTTTATAAAGTCTGCAAGTGGATATTCAGACCCCTTTGAGGCCTTCGTTGGAAACGGGATTTCTTCATATTATGCTAGACAGAAGAATTCTCAGTAACTTCCTTGTGTTGTGTGTATTCAACTGACAGAGTTGAACTTTGATTTAGAGAGAGCAGATTTGAAACACTGTTTTTGTGGAATTTGCAAGTGGAGATTTCAAGCGCTTTGGGGCCAAAGGCAGAAAAGGAAATATCTTCGTATAAAAACTAGACAGAATCATTCTCAGAAACTCCTTTGTGATGTGTGCGTTCAACTCTCAGAGTTTAACTTTTCTTTTCATTCAGCGGTTTGGAAACACTCTGTTTGTAAAGTCAGCACGTGGAAATTTTGACCACTTAGAGGCCTTCGTTGGAAACGGGTTTTTTTCATGTAAGGCTAGACAGAAGAATTCCCAGGAACTTCCTTGTGTTGTGTACATTCAACTCACAGAGTTGAACGTTCCCTTAGACAGAGCAGATTTGAAACACTCTTTTTGTGCAATTGGCAAGTGGTGATTTCAGCCGCATTGAGGTCAATGGTAGAAAAGGAAATATCTTCGTATAAAAACTAGACAGATAATCATTCCCACAAACTGCGTTGTGATGTGTTCGTTCAACTCACAGAGTTTAACCTTTCTTTTCATAGAGCAGTTAGGAAACACTCTGTTGGTAAATTCTGTAAGTGGATATTCTGACATCTTGTGGCCTTCGTTGGAAACGGGATTTCTACATATTCTGCTAGACAGAAGAATTCTCAGTAACTTCCTTGTGTTGTGTGTATTCAACTCACAGAGTTGACCGATCCTTTACACAGAGCAGACTTGTAACACTCTTTTTGTGGAATTTGCAAGTGGAGATTTCAGCCGTTTTGAAGTCAAAGGTAGAAAAGGGAATATCTTCCTATAAAAACTAGACAGAATGATTCTCAGAAACTCCTTTGTGATGTGTGCGTTCAACTCACAGAGTTTAACTTTTCTTTTCATAGAGCAGTTAGGAAACACTCTGTTTGTAAAGTCTGCAAGTGGATATTCAGACCTCCTTGAGGCCTTCATTGGAAACGGGATTTCTTCATATTCTGCTAGACAGAAGAATTCTCAGTAACTTCCTTGTGTTGTGTGTATTCAGCTCACAGGGTTGAACGATCCTTTATACAGAGCAGACTTGAAACACTCTTTTTGTGGGACTTGCAAGTGGAGATTTCAGCCGCTTTGAGGTCAATAATTGAAAAGGAAATATCTTCGTAGAAAAACTAGACAGAATCATTCTCAGAAACTGCTGCGTGATGTGTGCGTTCAACTCTCAGAGTTTAACTTTTCTTTTCATTCAGCGGTTTGGAAACACTCTGTTTGTAAAGACTGCACGTGGATATTTTGACCACTTAGAGGCCTTCGTTGGAAACGGGTTTTTTTTCATGTAAGGCTAGACAGAAGAATTCCCAGTAACTTCCTTGTGTTGTGTGCATTCAACTCACAGAGTTGAACGTTCCCTTAGGCAGAGCAGATTTGAAACACTCTATTTGTGCAATTTGCAAGTGTAGATTTCAAGCGCTTTAAGGTCAACGGCAGAAAAGGAAATATCTTCGTTTCAAAACTAGACAGAATCATTCCCACAAACTGCGTTGTGATGTATTCGTTCAACTCACAGAGTTTAACCTTTCTGTTCATAGAGCAGTTAGGAAACACTCTGTTTGTAAAGTATGCAAGTGGATATTCAGACCTCCTTGAGGCCTTCGTTGGAAACGGGATTTCTTCATATTCTGCTAGACAGAAGAATTCTCAGTAACTTCCTTGTGTTGTGTGTATTCAACTCACAGGGTTGAACGATCCTTTATACAGAGCAGACTTGAAACACTCTTTTTGTGGGACTTGCAAGTGGAGATTTCAGCCGCTTTGAGGTCAATAATAGAAAAGGAAATATCTTCGTAGAAAAACTAGACAGAATGATTCTCAGAAACTTCATTGTGACGTGTGCGTTCAACTCACAGAGTTTAACATTTCTTTTCATAGAGCAGTTAGGAAACACTCTGTTTGTAAAGTCTGCAAGTGGATATTCAGACCTCTTTGAGGCCTTCGTTGGAAACGGGATTTTCTTCATACTGTGCTAGACAGAAGAATTCTCAGTAACTTCCTTGTGTTGTGTGTATTCCACTGACAGAGTTGAACTTTCATTTAGAGAGAGCAGATTTGAAACACTGTTTTTGTGGAATTTGCAAGTGGAGATATCAAGCGCTTTGGGGCCAAAGGCAGAAAAGGAAATATCTTCGTATAAAAACTAGACAGAATCATTCTCAGAAACTGCTGTGTGATGTGTGCGTTCAACTCTCAGAGTTTAACTTTTCTTTTCATTCAGCGGTTTGGAAACACTCTGTTTGTAAAGTCTGCACGTGGATATTTTGACCACTTAGAGGCCTTCGTTGGAAACGGGATTTTTTCATGTAAGGCTAGACAGAAGAATTCCCAGTAACTTCCTTGTGTTGTGTACATTCAACTCACAGAGTTGAACGTTCCCTTAGACAGAGCAGATTTGAAACACTCTTTTTGTGCAATTGGCAAGTGGAGATTTCAAGCGCTTTAAGGTCAATGGCAGAAAAGGAAATATCTTCGTTTCAAAACTAGACAGAATCATTCCCACAAACTGCGTTGTGATGTGTTCGTTCAACTCACAGAGTTTAACCTTTCTGTTCATAGAGCAGTTAGGAAACACTCTGTTTGTAAAGTCTGAAAGTGGATATTCTGACATCTTGTGGCCTTCGTTGGAAACGGGATTTCTTCATATTCTGCTAGACAGAAGAATTCTCAGTAACTTCCTTGTGTTGTGTGTATTCAACTCACAGAGTTGAACGATCCTTTACACAGAGCAGACTAGAAACACTCTTTTTGTGGAATTTGCAAGTGGAGATTTCAGCCGCTTTGAGGTCAATAGTAGAAAAGGAAATATCTTCGTAGAAAAACTAGACAGAATGATTCTCAGAAACTCCTTTGTGATGTGTGTGTTCAACTCACAGAATTTAACCTTTCTTTTCATAGAGCAGTTAGTAAACACTCTGTTTATAAAGTCTGCAAGTGGATATTCAGACCCCTTTGAAGCCTTCGTTGGAAACGGGATTTCTTCATATTATGCTAGACAGAAGAATTCTCAGTAACTTCCCTTGTGTTGTGTGTATTCAACTGACAGAGTTGAACTTTCATTTAGAGAGAGCAGATTTGAAACACTGTTTTTGTGGAATTTGCAAGTGGAAATTTCAAGCGCTTTGGGGTCAAAGGCAGAAAAGGAAATATCTTCGTATAAAAACTAGACAGAATCATTCTCAGAAACTGCTCTGCGATGTGTGCGTTCAACTCTCAGAGTTTAACTTTTCTTTTCATTCAGCAGTTTGGAAACACTCTGTTTGTAAAGTCTGCAGGTGGATATTTTGACCACTTAGAGGCCTTCGTTGGAAACGGGTATTTTTTCCTGTAAGGCTAGAAAGAATAATTCCCAGTAACTTCCTTGTGTTGTGTGCATTCAACTCACAGAGTTGAACGTTCCCTTAGACAGAGCAGATTTGAAACACTCTATTTGTGCAATTTGCAAGTGTAGATTTCAAGCGCTTTAAGGTCAATGGCAGAAAAGGAAATATCTTCGTTTCAAAACTAGACAGAATCATTCCCACAAACTGCGTTGTGATGTGTTCGTTCAACTCACAGAGTTTAACCTTTCTGTTCATAGAGCAGTTAGGAAACACTCTGTTTGTAAAGTCTGAAAGTGGATATTCTGACATCTTGTGGCCTTCGTTGGAAACGGGATTTCTTCATATTCTGCTAGACAGAAGAATTCTCAGTAACTTCCTTGTGTTGTGTGTATTCAACTCACAGAGTTGAACGATCCTTTACACAGAGCAGACTTCAAACATTCTTTTTGTGGAATTTGCAAGTGGAGATTTCAGCCGCTTTGAGGTCAATGGTAGAAAAGGAAACTATCTTCATATAAAGACTAGACAGAATGATTCTCAGAAACTCCTTTGTGATGTGTGCGTTCAACTCACAGAGTTTAACCTTTCTTTTCATAGAGCAGTTAGGAAACACTCTGTTTGTAAAGTCTGGAAGTGGATATTCAGACCTCCTTGAGGCCTTCGTTGGAAACGGGATTTCTTCATATTATGCTTGACAGAAGAATTCCCAGTAACTTCCTTGTGTTGTGTGTGTTCAACTCACAGAGTTGAACTTTCATTTACACAGAGCAGATTTGAAACACTCTTTTTGTGGAATTTGCAAATGGAGATTTCAAGCGCTTTGAGGCCAAAGGCAGAAAAGGAAATATCTTCGTTTCAAAACTAGACAGAATCATTCTCAGAAACTGCTCTGCGATGTGTGCGTTCAACTCTCAGAGTTTAACTTTTCTTTCCATTCTGCAGTTTGGAAACACTCTGGTTGTAAAGTCTGCACGTGGATAACTTGACCACTTAGAGGCCTTCGTTGGAAACGGGTTTTTTTCCTGTAAGGCTAGACAGAAGAATTCCCAGTAACTTCCTTGTGTTGTGTGCATTCAACTCACAGAGTTGAACGTTCCCTTAGACAGAGCAGATTTGGAACACTCTATTTGTGCAATTTGCAAGTGTAGATTTCAAGCGCTTTATGGTCAACGGCAGAAAAGGAAATATCTTCGTTTCAAAACTAGACAGAATCACTCCCACAAACTGCGTTGTGATGTGTTCGTTCAACTCACAGAGTTTAACCTTTCTGTTCATAGAGCAGTTAGGAAACACTCTGTTTGTAAAGTCTGCAAGTGAATATTCAGACCTCCTTGAGGCCTTCGTTGGAAACGGGATTTCTTCATATTCTGCTAGACCGAATAATTCTCAGTAACTTCCTTGTGTTGTGTGTATTCAACTCACAGAGTTGAACGATCCTTTACACAGAGCAGATTTGAAACACTCTTTTTGTGGAATTTGCAAGTGGAGATTTCAGCCGCTTTGAGGTCAATGGTAGAAAAGGAAACTACCTTCATATAAAGACTAGACAGAATGATTCTCAGAAACTCCTTTGTGATGTGTGTGTTCAACTCACAGAGTTTAACCTTTCTTTTCATAGAGCAGTTAGTAAACACTCTGTTTATAAAGTCTGCACGTGGATATTTTGACCACTTAGAGGCCTTCGTTGGAAACGGGTTTTTTTCATGTAAGGCTAGACAGAAGAATTCCCAGTAACTTCCTTGTGTTGTGTGTGTTCGACTCACAGAGTTGAACTTTCATTTACACAGAGCAGATATGAAACACTCTTTTTGTGGAATTTGCAAGTGGAGATTTCAAGCGCTTTGAGGCCAAAGGCAGAAAAGGAAATATCTTCGTTTCAAAACTAGACAGAATCATTCTCAGAAACTGCTGTGTGATGTGTGCGTTCAACTCTCAAAGTTTAACTTTTCTTTTCATTCAGCGGTTTGGAAACACTCTGTTTGTAAAGTCTGCACGTGGATATTTTGACCACTTAGAGGCCTTCGTTGGAAACGGGATTTTTTCATGTAAGGCTAGACAGAAGAATTCCCAGTAACTTCCTTGTGTTGTGTGCATTCAACTCACAGAGTTGAACGTTCCCTTAGACAGAGCAGATTTGAAACACTCTATTTGTGCAATTTGCAAGTGTAGATTTCAAGCGCTTTAAGGTCAATGGCAGAAAAGGAAATATCTTCGTTTCAAAACTAGACAGAATCATTCCCACAAACTGCGTTGTGATGTGTTCGTTCAACTCACAGAGTTTAACCTTTCTGTTCATAGAGCAGTTAGGAAACACTGTGTTTGTAAAGTCTGTAAGTGGATATTCTGACATCTTGTGGCCTTCGTTGGAAAAGGGATTTCTTCATATTCTGCTAGACAGAAGAATTCTCAGTAACTTCCTTGTGTTGTGTGTATTCAACTCACAGAGTTGAACGATCCTTTACAGAGAGCAGACTTTAAGGACTCTTTTTGTGGAATTTGCAAGTGGAGATTTCAGCCGCTTTGAGGTCAATGGTAGAAAAGGAAATATCTTCGTATAAAGACTAGACAGAATGATTCTCAGAAACTCCTTTGTGATGTGTGTGTTCAACTCACAGAGTTTAACATTTCTTTTCATAGAGCAGTTAGGAAACACTCTGTTTGTAAAGTCTCCAAGTGGATATTCAGACCTCTTTGAGGCCTTCGTTGGAAACGGGTTTTTTTCATATAAGGCTAGACAGAAGAATTCCCAGTAACTTCCTTGTGTTGTGTGTGTTCAACTCACAGAGTTGAACTTTCATTTACACAGAGCAGATTTGAAACACTCTTTTTGTGGAATTTGCAAGTGGAGATTTCAAGCGCTTTGAGGCCAAAGGCAGAAAAGGAAATATCTTCGTTTCGAAACTAGACAGAATCATTCTCAGAAACTGCTCTGCGATGTGTGCGTTCAACTCTCAGAGTTTAACTTTTCTTTTCATTCAGCAGTTTGGAAACACTCTGTTTGTAAAGTCTGCACGTGGATATTTTGACCACTTAGAGGCCTTCGTTGGAAACGGGTTTTTTTCCTGTAAGGGTAGACAGAAGAATTCCCAGTAACTTCCTTGTGTTGTGTGCATTCAACTCACAGAGTTGAACGTTCCCTTAGACAGAGCAGATTTGAAACACTCTATTTGTGTAATTTGCAAGTGTACATTTCAAGCGCTTTAAGGTCAACGGCAGAAAAGGAAATATCTTCGTTTCAAAACTAGACAGAATCATTCCCACAAACTGCGTTGTGATGTGTTCGTTCAACTCACAGAGTTTAACTTTTCCGTTCATAGAGCAGTTAGGAAACACTCTGTTTGTAAAGTCTGCAAGTGGATATTCAGACCTCCTTGAGGCCTTCGTTGGAAATGGGATTTCTTCATATTCTGCTAGACAGAAGAATTCTCAGTAACTTCCCTTGTGTTGTGTGTATTCAACTCACACAGTTGAACGATCCTTTACACAGAGCAGACTTGTAACACTCTTTTTGTGGAATTTGCAAGTGGAGATTTCAGCCGCTTTGAAGTCAAAGGTAGAAAAGGAAATATCTTCCTATAAAAACTAGACAGAATGATTCTCAGAAACTCCTTTGTGATGTGTGCGTTCAACTCACAGAGTTTAACCTTTCTTTTCATAGAGCAGTTAGGAAACACTCTGTTTGTAAAGTCTGCAAGTGGATATTCAGACCTCCTTTAGGACTTCGTTGGAAACGGGATTTCTTCATATTATGCTAGACAGAAAGAATTCCCAGTAACTTCCTTGTGTTGTGTGTGTTCAACTCACAGAGTTGAACTTTCATTTACACAGAGCAGATTTGAAACACTCTTTTTGTGGAATTTGCAAGTGGAGATTTCAAGCGCTTTGAGGCCAAAGGCAGAAAAGGAAATATCTTCGTTTCAAAACTAGACAGAATCATTCTCAGAAACTGCTGCGTGATGTGTGCGTTCAACTCTCAGAGTTTAACTTTTCTTTTCATTCAGCGGTTTGGAAACACTCTGTTTGTAAAGACTGCACGTGGATATTTTGACCACTTAGAGGCCTTCGTTGGAAACGGGTTTTTTTTCATGTAAGGCTAGACAGAAGAATTCCCAGTAACTTCCTTGTGTTGTGTGCATTCAACTCACAGAGTTGAACGTTCCCTTAGACAGAGCAGATTTGAAACACTCTATTTGTGCAATTTGCAAGTGTAGATTTCAAGCGCTTTAAGGTCAGTGGCAGAAAAGGAAATATCTTCGTTTCAAAACTAGACAGAGTGATTCTCAGAAACTCCTTTGGGATGTCTGCGTTCAACTCACAGAGTTTAACCTTTCTTTTCATAGAGCAGTTAGGAAACACTCTGTTTGTAAAGTCTGCAAGTGCATATTCAGACCTCCTTGAGGCCTTCGTTGGAAACGGGATTTCTTCATATTCTGCTATACAGAAGAATTCTCAGAAACTTCCTTGTGTTGTGTGTATTCAACTCACAGAGTTGAACGATCGTTTACACAGAGCAGACTTGAGAAACTCTTTTTGTGGAATTTGCAAGTGGAGATTTCAGCCGCTTTGAGGTCAATGGTAGAAAAGGAAATATCTTCATATAAAAACTAGACAGAATGATTCTCATAAACTCCTTTGTGATGTGTGCGTTCAACTCACAGAGTTTAACTTTTCTTTTCATAGAGCAGTTAGGAAACACTCTGTTTGTAAAGTCTGCAAGTGGATATTCAGACCTCTTTGGGGCCTTCGTTGGAAACGGGATTTCTTCATATTCTGCTAGACAGAATAATTCTCAGTAACTTCCTTGTGTTGTGTGTATTCAACTCACAGAGTTGAACGATCCTTTACAGAGAGCAGACTTGAAACACTCTTTTTGTGGAATTTGCAAGTGGAAATTGCAGCCGCTTTGAGGTCAATGGTAGAAAAGGAAATATCTTCCTATAGAAACTAGACAGAATCATTCTCAGAAACTGCTGCGTGATGTGTGCGTTCAACTCTCAGAGTTTAACTTTTCTTTTCATTCAGCGGTTTGGAAACACTCTGTTTGTAAAGTCTGCACGTGGAAATTTTGACCACTTAGAGGCCTTCGTTGGAATCGGGTTTTTTTCATGTAAGGCTAGACAGAAGAATTCCCAGTAACTTCCTTGTGTTGTGTGCATTCAACTCACAGAGTTGAACGTTCCCTTAGACAGAGCAGATTTGAAACACTCTATTTGTGCAATTTGCAAGTGTAGATTTCAAGCGCTTTAAGGTCAATGGCAGAAAAGGAAATAACTTCGTTTCAAAACTAGACAGAATCATTCCCACAAACTGCCTTGTGATGTGTTCGTTCAACTCACAGAGTTTAACCTTTCTATTCATAGAGCAGTTAGGAAACACTCTGTAACGTCTGTAAGTGGATATTCTGACATCTTGTGGCCTTCGTTGGAAACGGGATTTCTTCATATTCTGCTAGACAGAAGAATTCTCAGTAACTTCCTTGTGTTGTGTGTATTCAACTCACAGAGTTGAAGGATCCTTTACAGAGAGCAGGCTTCAAACACTCTTTTTGTCGAATTTGCAAGTGGAGATTTCAGCCGCTTTGAGGTCAATGGTAGAATAGGAAATATCTTCGTATAAAGAATAGACAGAATGATTCTCAGAAACTCCTTTGTGATGTGTGCGTTCAACTCACAGAGTTTAACCTTTCTTTTCATAGAGCAGTTAGGAAACACTCTGTTTGTAAAGTCTGCAAGTGGATATTCAGACCTCTTTGAGGCCTTCGTTGGAAACGGGTTTTTTTCATATAAGGCGAGACAGAAGAATTCTCAGTAACTTCCTTGTGTTGTGTGTATTCAACTGACAGAGTTGAACTTTCATTTAGAGAGAGCAGATTTGAAACACTCTTTTTGTGGAATTTGCAAGTGGAGATTTCAAGCGCTTTGGGGCCAAGGGCAGAAAAGGAAATATCTTCGTATAAAAACTAGACAGAATCATTCTCAGAAACTGCTGCGTGATGTGTGCGTTCAACTCTCAGAGTTTAACTTTTCTTTTCATTCAGCGGTTTGGAAACACTCTGTTTGTAAAGTCTGCACGTGGATATTTTGACCACTTAGAGGCTTCGTTGGAAACGGGTTTTTTTCATGTAAGGCTAGACAGAAGAATTCCCAGTAACTTCCTTGTGTTGTGTACATTCAACTCACAGAGTTGAACGTTCCCTTAGACAGAGCAGATTTGAAACACTCTTTTTGTGCAATTGGCAAATGGAGATTTCAAGCGCTTTAAGGTCAATGGCAGAAAAGGAAATATCTTCCTTTCAAAACTAGACAGAATCATTCCCACAAGCTGCGTTGTGATGTGTTCGTTCAACTCACAGAGTTTAACCTTTCTGTTCATAGAGCAGTTAGGAAACCCTCTGTTTGTAAAGTCTGCAAGTGGATATTCAGACCTCTTTGAGGCTTTCGTTGGAAACGGGATTTCCTCATATTCTGCTAGACAGAAGAATTCTCAGTAACTTCCTTGTATTGTGTGTATTCAACTCACAGAGTTGAACGATCCTTTACACAGAGCAGACTTGAAACACTCTTTTTGTGGAATTTGCAAGTGGAGATTTCAGCCGCTTTGTGATCAATGGTAGAATAGGAAATATCTTCCTATAGAAACTAGACAGAATGATTCTCATAAACTCCTTTGTGATGTGTGCGTTCAACTCACAGAGTTTAACTTTTCTTTTCATAGAGCAGTTAGGAAACACTCTGTTTGTAAAGTCTGCAAGTGGATATTCAGACCTCCTTGAGGCCTTCGTTGGAAACGGGATTTCTTCATATTATGCTAGACAGAAGAATTCCCAGTAACTTCCTTGTGTTGTGTGTGTTCAACTCACAGAGTTGAACTTTCATTTACACAGAGCAGATTTGAAACACTCTTTTTGTGGAATTTGCAAGTGGAGATTTCACGCGCTTTGAGGCCAAAGGCAGAAAAGGAAATATCTTCGTTTGAAAACTAGACAGAATCATTCTCAGAAACTGCTCTGCATTGTGTGCGTTCAACTCTCAGAGTTTAACTTTTCTTTTCATTCAGCAGTTTGAAAACACTCTGTTTGTAAAGTCTGTACGTGGATAATTTGACCACATAGAGGCCTTCGTTGGAAACGGGTTTTTTTCATGTAAGGCTAGACAGAAGAATTCCCAGTAACTTCCTTGTGTTGTGGACATTCAACTCACAAAGTTGAACGTTCCCTTAGACAGAGCAGACTTGTAACACTCTTTTTGTGGAATTTGCAAGTGGAGTTTTCAGCCGCTTTTAAGTCAATGGTAGAAAAGGTAATATCTTCCAATAAAAACTAGACAGAATCATTCCCACAAACTGCGTTGTGATGTGTTCGTTCAACTCACAGAGTTTAACCTTTCTGTTCATAGAGCAGTTAGGAAACACTCTGTTTGTAAAGTCTGCAAGTGGATATTCAGACCTCTTTGAAGCCTTCGTTGGAAACGGGATTTCTTCATATTCTGCTAGACAGAAGAATTCTCAGTAACTTCCTTGTGTTGTGTGTATTCAACTCACAGAGTTGAACGATCCTTTACACAGAGCAGACTTGAAACACTTTTTTTGTGGAATTTGCAAGTGGAGGTTTCAGCCGCTTTGAGGTCAATAGTAGAAAAGGAAATATCTTCGTAGAAAAAGTAGACAGAATGATTCTCAGAAACTCCTTTGTGATGTGTGCGTTCAACTCACAGAGTTTAACCTTTCTTTTCATAGAGCAGTTAGGAAACACTCTGTTTGTAAAGTCTGCAAGTGGATATTCAGACCTCCTTGAGGCCTTCGTTGGAAACGGTATTTCTTCATATTCTGCTAGACAGAAGAATTCCCAGTAACTTTCCTTGTGTTGTGTGTGTTCAACTCACAGAGTTGAACTTTCATTTACACAGAGCAGATTTGAAACACTCTTTTTGTGGAATTTGCAAGTGGAGATTTCAAGCGCTTTGAGGCCAAAGGCAGAAAAGGAAATAGTCTTCGTTTCAAAACTAGACAGAATCACTCTCAGAAACTGCTCTGCGATGTGTGCGTTCAACTCTCAGAGTTTAACTTTTCTTTTCATTCAGCAGTTTGGAAACACTCTGTTTGTAAAGTCTGCACGTGGATATTTTGACCACTCAGAGGCCTTCGTTGGAAACGGGTTTTTTTCCTGTAAGGCTAGACAGAAGAATTCCCAGTAACTTCCTTGTGTTGTGTACATTCAACTCACAGAGTTGAACGTTCCCTTAGACAGAGCAGATTTGAAACACTCTTTTTGTGCAATTGGCAAGTGGAGATTTCAAGAGATTTAAGGTCAATGGCAGAAAAGGAAATATCTTCGTTTCAAAACTAGACAGAATCATTCCCACAAACTGCGTTGTGATGTGTTCGTTCAACTCACAGAGTTTAACCTTTCTGTTCATAGAGCAGTTAGGAAACACTCTGTTTGTAAAGTCTGTAAGTGGATATTCTGACATCTTGTGGCCTTCGTTGGAAAGGGGATTTCTTCATATTCCGCTAGACAGAAGAATTCTCAGTAACTTCCTTGTGTTGTGTGTATTCAACTCACAGTAGTTGAACGACCCTTTACACAGAGCAGACTTGTAACACTCTTTTTGTGGAATTTGCAAGTGGAGATTTCAGCCACTTTGAAGTCAAAGGTAGAAAAGGAAATAACTTCCTATAAAAACTAGACAGAATGATTCTCAGAAACTCCTTTGTGATGTCTGCGTTCAACTCACAGAGTTTAACCTTTCTTTTCATAGAGCAGTTAGGAAACACTCTGTTTGTAAAGTCTGCAAGTGGATATTCAGACCTCCTTGAGGCCTTCGTTGGAAACGGGATTTCTTCATATTCTGCTATACAGAAGAATTCCCAGTAACTTCCTTGTGTTGTGTGTGTTCAACTCACAGAGTTGAACTTTCATTTACACAGAGCAGATTTGAAACACTCTTTTTGTGGAATTTGCAAGTGGAGATTTCAAGCGCTTTGAGGCCAAAGGCAGAAAAGGAAATATCTTCGTATATAAACTAGACAGAATCATTCTCAGAAACTGCTCTGTGATGTGTGCGTTCAACTCTCAGAGTTTAACTTTTCTTTTCATTCAGCAGTTTGGAAACACTCTGTTTGTAAAGTCTGCACGTGGATAATTTGATCACTTAGAGGCCTTCGTTGGAAACGGGTTTTTTTCATGTAAGGCTAGACAGAAGAATTCCCAGTAACTTCCTTGTGTTGTGTGCATTCAACTCACAGAGTTGAACGTTCCCTTAGACAGAGCAGATTTGAAACACTCTATTTGTGCAATTTGCAAGTGTAGATTTCAAGCGCATTAAGGTCAATGGCAGAAAAGGAAATATCTTCGTTTCAAAATTAGACAGAATCATTCCCACAAACTGCGTTGTGATGTGTTCGTTCAACTCACAGAGTTTAACCTTTCTGTTCATAGAGCAGTTAAGAAACACTCTGTTTGTAAAGTCTGCAAGTGGATATTCAGACCTCCTTGAGGCCTTCGTTGGAAACGGGATTTCTTCATATTCTGCTAGACAGAAGAATTCTCAGAAACTTCCTTGTGTTGTGTGTTTTCAACTCACAGAGTTGAACGATCCTTTACACAGAGCAGACTTGAAACACTCCTTTTGTGGAATTTGCAAGTGGAGATTTCAGCCGCTTTGAGGTCAATGATAGAATAGGAAATATCTTCCTATAGAAAGTAGACAGAGAACGATTCTCAGAAACTCCTTTGTGATGTGTGCGTTGAACTCACAGAGTTTAACCTTTCTTTTCATAGAGCAGTTAGGAAACACTCTGTTTGTAAAGTCTGCAAGTGGATATTCAGACCTCTTTGAGGCCTTCGTTGGAAACGGGATTTCTTCATATTCTGCTAGACAGAAGAATCCCCAGTAACTTCCTTGTGTTGTGTGTGTTCAACTCACAGAGTTGAACTTTGATTTACACAGAGCAGATTTGAAACACTCTTTTTGTGGAATTTGCAAGTGGAGATTTCAAGCGCTTTGAGGCCAAAGGCAGAAAAGGAAATATCTTCGTATAAAAACTAGACAGAATCATGCTCAGAAACTGCTCTGCGATGTGTGCGTTCAACTCTCAGAGTTTAACTTTTCTTTTCATTCAGCAGTTTGGAAACACTCTGTTTGTAAAGTCTGCACGTGGATAACTTGACCACTTAGAGGCCTTCGTTGGAAACGGGTTTTTTTCATGTAAGGCTAGACAGAAGAATTCCCAGTAACTTCCTTGTGTTGTGTGCATTCAACTCATAGAGTTGAACGTTCCCTTAGACAGAGCAGATTTGAAACACTCTATTTGTGCAATTTGCAAGTGTAGTTTTCAAGCTCTTTAAGGTCAACGGCAGAAAAGGAAATATCTTGGTTTCAAAACTAGACAGAATCATTCCCACAAACTGCGTTGTGATGTGTTCGTTCAACTCACAGAGTTTAACCTTTCTTTTCATAGAACAGTTAGGAAACAGTCTGTTTGTAAATTCTGTAAGTGGATATTCTGACATCTTGTGACCTTCGTTGGAAACGGGATTTCTTCATATTCTGCTAGACAGAAGAATTCTCAGAATCTTCCTTGTGTTGTGTGTATTCAACCCACAGTAGTTGAACGATAGTTTACACAGAGCAGATTTGAAACACTCATTTGGTGGAATTTGCAAGTGGAGATTTCAGCCGCTTTGAGGTCAATGGTAGAAAAGGAAATATCTTCGTATAACAACTAGACAGAATGATTCTCAGAAACTTCTTTGTGATGTGTGTGTTCAACTCACAGAGTTTAACCTTTCTTTTCATAGAGCAGTTAGGAAACACTGTGTTTTTAAACTCTGCAAGTGGATATTCAGACCTCTTTGAGGCCTTCGTTGGAAACGGGTTTCTTCATACTGTGCTAGACAGAAGAATTCCCAGTAACTTCCTTGTGTTGTGTGTGTTCAACTCACAGAGTTGAACTTTCATTTACACAGAGCAGATTTGAAACACTCTTTTTGTGGAATTTGCAAGTGGAGATTTCAAGAGCTTTGAGGCCAAAGGCAGAAAAGGAAATATCTTCGTATAAAAACTAGACAGAATGATTCTCAGAAACTGCTCTGCGATGTGTGCGTTCAACTCCCAGAGTTTAACTTTTCTTTTCATTCAGCAGTTTGGAAACACTCTGTTTGTAAAGTCTGCACGTGGATAACTTGACCACTTAGAGGCCTTCGTTGGAAACGGGTTTTTTTCATGTAAGGCTAGACAGAAGAATTCCCAGTAACTTCCTTGTGTTGGGTGCATTCAACTCACAGAGTTGAACGTTCCCTTAGACAGAGCAGATTTGAAACAGCCTATTTGTGCAATTTGCAAGTGTAGATTTCAAGCGCTTTAAGGTCAACGGCAGGAAAGGAAATATCTTCCTTTCAAAACTAGACAGAATCATTCTCAGAAACTGCTCTGCGATGTGTGCGTTCAACTCTCAGAGTTTAACTTTGCTTTTCATTCAGCAGTTTGGAAACACTCTGTTTCTAAAGTCTGCACGTGGATAATTTGACCACTTAGAGGCCTTCGTTGGAAACGGGTTTTTTTCATGTAAGGCTAGACAGAAGAATTCTCAGTAACTTCCTTGTGTTGTGTGTATTCAACTCACAGAGTTGAACGATCCTTTACACAGAGCAGACTTGTAACACTCTTTTTGTGGAATTTGCAAGTGGAGATTTCAGCCGCTTTGAAGTCAAAGGTAGAAAAGGAAATATCTTCCTATAAAAACTACACAGAATGATTCTCAGAAACTCCTTTGTGATGTGTGCGTTCAACTCACAGAGTTTAACCTTCCTTTTCATAGTGCAGTTAGGAAACACTCTGTTTGTAAAGTCTGCAAGTGGATATTCAGACCTCTTTGAGGCCTTCGTTGGAAACGGGTTTTTTTCATATAAGGCTAGACAGAAGAATTCCCAGTAACTTCCTTGTGTTGTGTGTGTTCAACTCACAGAGTTGAACTTTCATTTACACAGAGCAGATTTGAAACACTCTTTTTCTGGAATTTGCAAATGGAGATTTCAAGGGATTTGAGGCCAAAGGCAGAAATGGAAATATCTTCGTATAAAAACTAGACAGAATCATTCTCAGAAACTGCTGCGTGATGTGTGCGTTCAACTCTCAGAGTTTAACTTTTCTTTTCATTCAGCGGTTTGGAAACACTCTGTTTGTAAAGTCTGCACGTGGACATTTTGACCACTTAGAGGCCTTCGTTGGAAACGGGTTTTTTTCATGTAAGGCTAGACAGAAGAATTCCCAGTAACTTGCCTTGTGTTGTGTACATTCAACTCACAGAGTTGAACGTTCCCTTAGACAGAGCAGATTTGAAACACTCTTTTTGTGCAATTGGCAAATGGAGATTTCAAGCGCTTTAAGGTCAATGGCAGAAAAGGAAATTGTTCGTTTCAAAACTAGACAGAATGATTCTCAGAAACTCCTTTGTGATGTGTGCGTTCAACTCACAGAGTTTAACCTTTCTGTTCATAGAGCAGTTAGGAAACACTCTGTTTGTAAAGTCTGCAAGTGGATATTCAGACCACCTTGAGGCCTTCGGTGGAAACGGGATTTCTTCATATTCTGCTAGACAGAAGAATTCTCAGTAACTTCCTTGTGTTGTGTGTATTCAACTCACAGAGTTGAACGATCCTTTACACAGAGCAGAGTTGAAACACTCTTTTTGTGGAATTTGCAAGTGGAGATTTCAGCCGCTTTGAGGTCAATGGTAGAAAAGGAAATATCTTCGTATAAAGACTAGACAGAGTGTTTCTCAGAAACTCCTTTGTGATGTCTGCGTTCAACTCACAGAGTTTAACCTTTCTTTTCATAGAGCAGTTAGGAAACACTCTGTTTGTAAAGTCTGCAAGTGGATATTCAGACCTCCTTGAGGCCTTCGTTGGAAACGGGATTTCTTCATATTCTGCTATACAGAAGAATTCTCAGAAACTTCCTTCTATTGTGTGTATTCAACTCACAGAGTTGAACGATCGTTTACACAGAGCAGACTAGAGACACTCTTTTTGTGGAATTTGTAAGTGGAGATTTCAGCCGCTTTGAGGTCAATGGTAGAAAAGGAAATATCTTCGTATAAAAACTAGACAGAATCATTCTCAGAAACTGCTCTGCGATGTGTGCGTTCAACTCTCAGAGTTTAACTTTTCTTTTCATTCAGCAGTTTGGAAACACTCTGTTTGTAAAGTCTGCACGTGGATAACTTGACCACTTAGAGGCCTTCGTTGGAAACGGGTTTTTTTCATGTAACGCTAGACAGAAGAATTCCCAGTAACTTCCTTGTGTTGTGTACATTCAACTCACAGAGTTGAACGTTCCCTTAGACAGAGCAGATTTGAAACACTCTTTTTGTGCAATTGGCAAATGGAGATTTCAAGCGCTTTAAGGTCAATGGCAGAAAAGGAAATATCTTCGTTTCAAAACTAGACAGAATCATTCCCACAAACTGCGTTGTGATGTGTTCGTTCAACTCACAGAGTTTAACCTTTCTTTTCATAGAGCAGTTAGGAAACAGTCTGTTTGAAAATTCTGTAAGTGGATATTCTGACATCCTTGTGGCCTTCGTTGGAAACGGGATTTCTTCATATTCTGCTAGACAGAAGAATTCTCAGTAACTTCCTTGTGTTGTGTGTATTCAACTCACAGAGTTGAACGATCCTTTACACAGAGCATACTTGAAACACTCTTGTTGTGGAATTTGCAAGTGGAGATTTCAGCCGCTTTGAGGTCAATGGTAGAATAGGAAACATCTTCCTATAGAAACTAGACAGAATGATTCTCAGAAACTCCCTTGTGATGTGTGCGTTCAACTCACAGAGTTTAACCTTTCTTTTCATAGAGCAGTTAGGAAACACTCTGTTTGTAAAGTCTGCAAGTGGATATTCAGACCTCTTTGAGGCCTTCGTTGGAAACGGGATTTCTTCATATTATGCTAGACAGAAGAATTCTCAGTAACTTCCTTGTGTTGTGTGTTTTCAACTCACAGAGTTCAACGATCCTTTACATAGAGTAGACTTGAAACACTCTTTTTGTGGAATTGGCAAGTGGAGATTTCAGCCGCTTTGAGGTCAATGGTAGAAAAGGAAATATCTTCGTATAAAAAATAGACAGAAATGATTCTCAGAAACTCCTTTGTGATGTCTGCGTTCAACTCACAGAGTTTAACCTTTCTTTTCATAGAGCAGTTAGGAAACACTCTGTTTGTAAAGTCTGCAAGTGGATATTCAGACATCCTTGAGGCCTTCGTTGGAAACGGGATTTCTTCATGTTCTGCTAGACAGAAGAATTCCCAGTAACTTCCTTGTGTTGTGTGTGTTCAACTCACAGAGATGAACTCTCATTTACACAGAGCAGATTTGAAACACTCTTTTTGTGGAATTTGCAAATGGAGATTTCAAGCGCTTTGAGGCCAAAGGCAGAAGAGGAAATATCTTCGTATAAAAACTAGACAGAATCATTCTCAGAAACAGCTCTGCGATGTGTGCGTTCAACTCTCAGAGTTTAACTTTTCTTTTCATTCAGCAGTTTGGAAACACTCTGTTTGTAAAGTCTGCACGTACATAATTTCACCACTTAGAGGCCTTCGTTGGAAACAGGTTTTTTTCATGTAAGGCTAGACAGAAGAATTCTCAGTAACTTCCTTGTGTTGTGTGTATTCAACTCACAGAGTTGAACGATCCTTTACACAGAGCAGACTTGAAACACTCTATTTGTAGAATTTGCAAGTGGAGATTTCAGCTGCTTTGAGGTCAATAGTAGAAAAGGAAATATCTTCGTAGAAAAACTAGACAGAAAGATTCTCAGAAACTCCTTTGTGATGTGTGCGTTCAACTCACAGAGTTTAACCTTTCTTTTCATAGAGCAGTTAGGAAACACTCTGTTTGTAAAGTCTGCAAGTGGATATTAAGACCTCCTTGAGGCCTTCGTTGGAAACGGGATTTCTTCATATTCTGCTAGACAGAAGAATTCTCAGTAACTTCCTTGTGTTCTGTGTATTCAACTGACAGAGTTGAACTTTCATTTAGAGAGAGCAGATTTGAAACACTGTTTTTGTGGAATTTGCAAGTGGAGATTTCAAGCGCTTTGGGGCCAAAGGCAAAAAAGGAAATATCTTCGTATAAAAACTAGACAGAATGATTCTCAGAAACTCCTTTGTGATGTGTGCGTTCAACTCACAGAGTTTAACCTTTCTTTTCATAGAGCAGTTAGGAAACACTCTGTTTGTAAAGTCTGCACGTGGATATTTTGACCACTTAGAGGCCTTCGTTGGAAACGGGTTTTTTTCCTGTAAGGCTAGACAGAAGAATTCCCAGTAACTTCCTTGTGTTGTGTACATTCAACTCACAGAGTTGAACGTTCCCTTAGACAGAGCAGATTTGAAACACTCTTTTTGTGCAATTGGCAAATGGAGATTTCAAGCGCTTTAAGGTCAATGGCAGAAAAGGAAATATCTTCGTTTCAAAACTAGACAGAATGATTCTCAGAAACTCTTTTGTGATGTGTGCGTTCAACTCACAGAGTTTAACTTTTCTTTTCATAGAGCAGTTAGGAAACACTCTGTTTGTAAAGTCTGCAAGTGGATATTCAGACCTCCTTGTGGCCTTCGTTGGAAACGGGATTTCTTCATATTCTGCTAGACGGAAGAAATCTCAGTAACTTCCTTGTGTTGTGTGTATTCAACTCACAGAGTTGAACGATCCTTTACACAGAGCAGACTTGAAACACTCTTTTTGTGGAATTTGCAAGTGGAGATTTCAGCCGCTTTGAGGTCAATGGTAGAATAGGAAATATCTTCCTATAGAAACTAGACAGAATGATTCTCATAAACTCCTTTGTGATGTGTGCGTTCAACTCACAGAGTTTAACGTTTCTTTTCATAGAGCAGTTAGGAAAAACTCTGTTTGTAAAGTCTGCAAGTGGATATTCAGACCTCTTTGAGGCCTTCGTTGGAAACGGGATTTCTTCATATTATGCTAGACAGAACAATTCTCAGTAACTTCCTTGTGTTGTGTGTATTCAACTCACAGAGTTGAACGATCCTTTACACAGAGCAGACTTGAAACACTCTTTTTGTGGAATTTGCAAGTGGAGATTTCAGCCGCTTTGAGGTCAATGGTAGAAAAGGAAACTATCTTCGTATAAAGACTAGACAGAATCATTCTCAGAAACTGCTGCGTGATGTGTGCGTTCAACTCTCAGAGTTTAACTTTTCTTTTCATTCAGCGGTTTGGAAACACGCTGTTTGTAAAGTCTGCACGTGGAAATTTTGACCACTTAGAGGCCTTCGTTGGAAACGGGTTTTTTTCATGTAAGGCTAGACAGAAGAATTCCCAGTAACTTCCTTGTGTTGTGTGCATTCAACTCACAGAGTTGAACGTTCCCTTAGACAGAGCAGATTTGAAACACTCTATTTGTCCAATTTGCAAGTGTAGATTTCAAGCGCTTTAAGGTCAACGGCAGAAAAGGAAATATCTTCGTTTCAAAACTAGACAGAATCATTCCCACAAACTGCGTTGTGATGTGTTCGTTCAACTCACAGAGTTTAACCTTTCTGTTCATAGAGCAGTTAGGAAACACTCTGTTTGTACAGTCTGTAAGTGGATATTCTGACATCTTGTGGCCTTCGTTGGAAACTGGATTTCTCCATATTCTACTAGACAGAAGAATTCTCACAATCTTCCTTGTGTTGTGTGTATTCAACTCACAGAGTTGAACGATGGTTTACACAGAGAAGATTTGAAACACTCTTTTTGTGGAATTTGCAAGTGGAGATTTCACCCGCTTTGAGGTCAATGGTAGAAAAGGAAATATCTTCGTATAAAAACTAGACAGAATGATTCTCAGAAACTCCTTTGTGATGTGTGCGTTCAACTCACAGAGATTAACCTTTCTTTTCATAGAGCAGTTAGGAAACACTCTGTTTGTAAAGTCTGCAAGTGGATATTCAGACCTCTTTGAGGCCTTCGTTGGAAACGGGATTTCTTCATATTCTGCTAGACAGAAGAATTCCCAGTAACTTCCTTGTGTTGTGTGTGTTCAACTCACAGAGTTGAACTTTCATTTACACAGAGCAGATTTGAAACACTCTTTTTGTGGAATTTGCAACTGGAGATGTCAAGCGCTTTGAGGCCAAAGGCAGAAAAGGAAATATCTTCGTTTCAAAACTAGACAGAATCATTCTCAGAAAATGCTCTGTGATGTGTGCGTTCAACTCTCAGAGTTTAACTTTTCTTTTCATTCAGCAGTTTGGAAACACTCTGTTTGTAAAGTCTGCACGTGGATATTTTGACCACTTAGAGGCCTTCGTTGGAAACGGGTTTTTTTCATGTAAGGGTAGACAGAAGAATTCCCAGTAACTTCCTTGTGTTGTGTGCATTCAACTCACAGAGTTGAACGTTCCCTTAGACACAGCAGATTTGGAACACTCTATTTGTGCAATTTGCAAGTGTAGATTTCAAGCGCTTTAAGGTTAACGGCAGAAAAGGAAATATCTTCGTTTCAAAACTAGACAGAATGATTCTCAGAACCTCCTTTGTGATGTGTGCGTTCAACTCACAGAGTTGAACCTTTCTTTTCATAGAGCAGTTAGGAAACACACTGTTTGTAAAGTCTGCAAGTGGATATTCAGACATCCTTGAGGCTTTCGTTGGAAACGGGATTTCTTCATATTCTGCTAGAAAGAAGAATTCTCAGTAACTTCCTTGTGTTGTGTGTATTCAACTCACAGAGTTGAACGATCCTTTACACAGAGCAGACTTGAAACACTCTTTTTGTGGAATTTGCAAGTGGAGATTTCAGCCGCTTTGAGGTCAATGGAAGAATAGGAAATATCTTCCTATAGAAACTAGACAGAATGATTCTCAGAAACTCCTTTGTGATGTGTGTGTTCAACTCACAGAGTTTAACCTTTCTTTTCATAGAGCAGTTAGTAAACACTCTGTTTATAAAGTCTGCAAGTGGATATTCAGACCCCTTTGAGGCCTTCGTTGGAAACGGGATTTCTTCATATTCTGCTAGACAGAAGAATTCTCAGTAACTTCCTTGTGTTGTGTGTATTCAACTCACAGAGTTGAAGGATCCTTTACAGAGAGCAGCCTTGAAACACTCTTTTTGTCGAATTTGCAAGTGGAGATTTCAGCCGCTTTGAGGTCAATGGTAGAATAGGAAATATCTTATTATAGAAACTAGACAGAATCATTCTCAGAATCTGCTGCGTGATGTGTGCGTTCAACTCTCAGAGTTTAACTTTTCTTTTCATTCAGCGGTTTGGAAACACTCTGTTTGTAAAGTCTGCACGTGGATATTTTGACCACTTAGAAGCCTTCTTTGGAAACGGGTTTTCTTCATGTAAGGCTAGACAGAAGAATTCCCAGTAACTTCCTTGTGTTGTGTGCATTCAACTCACAGAGTTGAACGTTCACTTAGACAGAGCAGATTTGAAACACTCTATTTGTGCAATTTGCAAGTGTAGATTTCAAGCGCTTTAAGGTCAATGGCAGAAAAGGAAATTTCTTCGTTTCAAAACTAGACAGAAATCATTCTCAGAAACTGCTCTGCGATGTGTGCGTTCAACTCTCAGAGTTTAACTTTGCTTTTCATTCAGCAGTTTGGAAACACTCTGTTTGTAAAGTCTGCACGTGGATAATTTGACCACTTAGAGGCCTTCGTTGGAAACGGGTTTTTTTCATGTAAGGCTAGACAGAAGAATTCTCAGTAACTTCCTTGTGTTGTGTGTATTCAACTCACAGAGTTGAACGATCCTTTACACAGAGCAGACTTGGAACACTCTTTTTGTGGAATTTGCAAGTGGAGATTTCAGCCGCTTTGAAGTCAAAGGTAGAAAAGGAAATATCTTCCTATAAAAACTAGACAGAATGATTCTGAGAAACTCCTTTGTGATGTGTGCGTTCAACTCACAGAGTTTATCCTTTCTTTTCATAGAGCAGTTAGGAAACACTCTGTTTGTGAAGTCTGCAAGTGGATATTCAGACCTCTTTGAGGCCTTCGTTGGAAACGGGATTTCTTCATATTCTGCTAGACAGAAGAATTCCCAGTAACTTCCTTGTGTTGTGTGTGTTCAACTCACAGAGTTGAACTTTCATTTACACAGAGCAGATTTGAAACACTCTTTTTGTGGAATTTGCAATTGGAGATTTCAAGCGCTTTGAGGCCAAAGGCAGAAAAGGAAATATCTTCGGTATAAAAACTAGACAGAATCATTCTCAGAAACTGCTCTGCGATGTGTGCGTTCAACTCTCAGAGTTTAACTTTGCTTTTCATTCAGCAGTTTGGAAACACTCTGTTTGTAAAGTCTTCACGTGGATATTTTGACCACTTAGAGGCCTTCGTTGGAAACGGGTTTCTTTCCTGTAAGGCTAGACAGAAGAATTCCCAGTAACTTCCTTGTGTTGTGTACGGTTCAACTCACAGAGTTGAACGTTCCCTTAGACAGAGCAGATTTGAAACACTCTTTTTGTGCAATTGGCAAGTGGAGATTTCAAGCGCTTTAAGGTCAATGGCAGAAAAGGAAATATCTTCGTTTCAAAACTAGACAGAATCATTCCCACAAACTGCGTTGTGATGTGTTCGTTCAACTCACAGACTTTAACCTTTCTTTTCATAGAGCAGTTAGGAAACAGTCTGTTTGTAAATTCTGTAAGTGGATATTCTGACATACTTGTGGCCTTCGTTGGAAACGGGATTTCTTCATATTCTGCTAGACAGAAGAATTCTCAGTAACTTCCTTGTGTTGTGTGTATTCAACTCACAGAGTTGAACGATCCTTTACACAGAGCAGACTTGAAACACTCTTTTTGTGGAATTTGCAAGTGGAGATTTCAGCCGCTTTGAGGTCAATGGTAGAATAGGAAATATCATCCTATAGAAACTAGACAGAATGATTCTCAGAAACTCCTTTGTGATGTGGGCGTTCAACTCACAGAGTTTAACCATTCTTTTCATAGAGCAGTTAGGAAACACTCTGTTTGTAAAGTATGCATGTGGATATTTGGACTTCTTTGAGGCCTTCGTTGGAAACGGGTTTTTTTCATGTAAGGCTAGACAGAAGAATTCTCAGTAACTTCCTTGTGTTGTGTGTATTCAACTCACAGAGTTGAACGATCCTATACACAGAGCAGACTTGAAACACTCTTTTTGTGGAATTTGCAAGTGGAGATTTCAGCCGCTTTGAGGTCAATGGTAGAATAGGAAATATCTTCCTATAGAAACTAGACAGAATCATTCTCAGAAACTGCTGCGTGATGTGTGCGTTCAACTCTCAGAGTTTAACTTTTCTTTTCATTCAGCGGTTTGGAAACACTCTTTTTGTAAGTCTGCACGTGGATATTTTGACCACTTAGAGGCCTTCGTTGGAAACGGGTTTTTTTCATGTAAGGCTAGACAGAAGAATTCCCAGTAACTTCCTTGTGTTGTGTACATTCAACTCACAGAGTTGAACGTTCCCTTAGACAGAGCAGATTTGAAACACTCTTTTTGTGCAATTGGCAAATGGAGATTTCAAGCGCTTTAAGTTCAATGGCAGAAAAGGAAATATCTTCGTTTCAAAACTAGACAGAATCATTCCCACAAACTGCGTTGTGATGTGTTCGTTCAACTCACAGAGTTTAACCTTTCTGTTCATAGAGCAGTTAGGAAACACTCTGTTTGTAAAGTCTGAAAGTGGATATTCTGACATCTTGTGGCCTTCGTTGGAAACGGGATTTCTTCATATTCTGCTAGACAGAAGAATTGTCAGTAACTTCCTTGTGTTGTGTGTATTCAACTCACAGAGTTGAACGATCCTTTACACAGAGCAGACTTGAAACACTCTTTTTGTGGAATTTGCAAGTGGAGATTTCAGCCGCTTTGAGTTCAATGGTAGAATAGGAAATATCTTCCTATAGAAACTAGACAGAACGATTCTCAAAAACTCCTTTGTGATGTGTGCGTTCAACTCACAGAGTTTAACCTTTCTTTTCATAGAGCAGTTAGGAAACACTCTGTTTATAAAGTCTGCAAGTGGATATTCAGACCCCTTTGAGGCCTTCGTTGGAAACGGGATTTCTTCATATTATGCTAGACAGAAGAATTCTCAGTAACTTCCTTGTGTTGTGTGTATTCAACTGACAGAGTTGAACTTTCATTTAGAGAGAGCAGATTTGAAACACTGTTTTTGTGGAATTTGCAAGTGGAGATTTCAAGCGCCTTGGGGCCAAAGGCAGAAAAGGAAATATCTTCGTATAAAAACTAGACAGAATCATTCTCAGAAACTGCTCTGCGATGTGTGCGTTCAACTCTCAGAGTTTAACTTTTCTTTTCATTCAGCAGTTTGGAAACACTCTGTTTGTAAAGTCTGCACGTGGATAATTTGACCACTTAGAGACCTTCGTTGGAAACGGGTTTTTTTCATGGAAGGCTAGACAGAAGAATTCCCAGTAACTTCCTTGTGTTGTGTACATTCAACTCACAGAGTTGAAAGTTCCCTTAGACAGAGCAGATTTGAAACACTCTTTTTGTGCAATTGGCAAATGGAGATTTCAAGCGCTTTAATGTCAATGGCAGAAAAGGAAATATCTTCGTTTCAAAACTAGACAGAATCATTCCCACAAACTGCGTTGTGATGTGTTCGTTCAACTCACAGAGTTTAACCTTTCTTTTCATAGAGCAGTTAGGAAACAGTCTGTTTGTAAATTCTGTAAGTGGATATTCTGACATTTTGTGGCCTTCGTTGGAAACGGGATTTCTTCATATTCTGCTAGACAGAAGAATTCTCAGTAACTTCCTTGTGTTGTGTGTATTCAACTCACAGAGTTGAACGATCCTTTACACAGAGCAGACTTGTAACACTCTTTTTGTGGAATTTGCAAGTGGAGATTTCAGCCGCTTTGAGGTCAACGGTAGAAAAGGAAATCTCTTCGTATAAAAACTAGACAGAATGATTCTCAGAAACTTCTTTGTGATGTGTGTGTTCAACTCACAGAGTTTAACCTTTCTTTTCATAGAGCAGTTAGGAAACACTCTGCCTGTAAAGTCTGCAAGTGGATATTCAGACCTCGTTGAGGCCTTCGTTGGAAACGGGATTTCTTCATATTCTGCTAGACAGAAGAATTCTCAGTAACTTCCTTGTGTTGTGTGTATTCAACTGACAGAGTTGAACTTTCATTTAGAGAGAGCAGATTTGAAACACTGTTTTTGTGGAATTTGCAAGTGGAGATTTCAAGCGCTTTGGGGCCAAAGGCAGAAAAGGATATATCTTCGTATAAAAACTAGACAGAATCATTCTCAGAAACTGCTGCGTGATGTGTGCGTTCAACTCTCAGAGTTTAAAGTTTCTTTTCATTCAGCGGTTTGGAAACACTCTGTTTGTAAAGTCTGCAAGTGGATATTCAGACCTCTTGGAGGCTTTCGTTGGAAACGGGATTTCTTCATATTCTGCTAGACAGAAGTAATTCCCAGTAACTTCCTTGTGTTGTGTGCATTCAACTCACAGAGTTGAACGTTCCCTTAGACAGAGCAGATTTGAAACACTCTATTTGTGCAATTTGCAAGTGTAGATTTCAAGCGCTTTAAGGTCAATGGCAGAAAAGGAAATATCTTCGTTTCAAAACTAGACAGAATCATTCCCACAAACTGCGTTGTGATGTGTTCGTTGAACTCACAGAGTTTAACCTTTCTTTTCATAGAGCAGTTAGGAAACAGTCTGTTTGTCAATTCTGTAAGTGGATATTCTGACATCTTGTGGCCTTCGTTGGAAACGGGATTTCTTCATATTCTGCTAGACAGAAGAATTCTCAGTAACTTCCTTGTGTTGTGTGTATTCAACTCACAGAGTTGAACGATCTTTTACACAGAGCAGACTTGAAACACTCTTTTTGTGGAATTTGCAAGTGGAGATTTCAGCCGCTTTGAGGTCAATGGTAGAAAAGGAAATATCTTCGTATAAAGACTAGACAGAATGATTCTTAGAAACTCCTTTGTGATGTGTGCGTTCAACTCACAGAGTTTAACCTTTCTGTTCATAGAGCAGTTAGGAAACACTCTGTTTGTAAAGTCTGCAAGTGGATATTCAGACCTCCTTTAGGCCTTCGTTGGAAACGGGATTTCTTCATATTCTGCTAGACAGAAGAATTCTCAGTAACTTCCTTGTGTTGTGTGTATTCAACTCACAGAGTTGAACTATCCTTTACACAGAGCAGACTTGAAACACTCTTTTTGTGGAATTTGCAAGTGGAGATTTCAGCCGCTTTGAGGTCAATGGTAGAAAAGGAAATATCTTCGTATAAAAACTAGACAGAATCATTCTCAGAAACTGCTCTGTGATGTGTGCGTTCAACTCTCAGAGTTTACCTTTTCTTTTCATTCAGCAGTTTGGAAACACTCTGTTTGTAAAGTCTGCACGTGGATAATTTGACCACTTAGAGGCCTTCGTTGGAAACGGGTTTTTTTCATGTAAGGCTAGACAGAAGAATTCCCAGTAACTTCCTTGTGTTGTGTGCATTCAACTCACAGAGTTGAACGTTCCCTTAGACAGAGCAGATTTGAAACACTCTATTTGTGCAATTTGCAAGTGTAGATATCAAGCGCTTTAAGGTCAATGGCAGAAAAGGAAATGTCTTAGTTTCAAAACTAGACAGAATGATTCTCAGAAACTTCTTTGTGATGTGTGCGTTCAACTCACAGAGTTTAACCTTTCTTTTCATAGAGCAGTTAGGAAACACTCTGTTTGTAAACTCTGCAAGTGGATATTCAGACCTCTTGGAGGCCTTCGTTGGAAACGGGATTTCTTCATAGTATGCTAGACAGAAGAATTCTCAGTAACTTCCTTGTGTTGTGTGTATTCAACTCACAGAGTTGAAAGATCCTTTACACAGAGCAGACTTGAAACACTCTTTTTGTGGAATTTGCAAGTGGAGATTTCAGCCGCTTTGAGGTCAATAGTAGAAAAGGAAATATCTTCGTAGAAAAACTAGACAGAATGATTCTCAGAAACTCCTTTGTGATGTGTGCGTTCAACTCACACAGTTTAACCTTTCTTTTCATAGAGCAGTTGGGAAACACTCTGTTTGTAAAGTCTGCAAGTTGATATTCAGACCTCTTTGAGGCCTTCGTTTGAAACGGGATTTCTTCATATTCTGCTAGAAAGAAGAATTCTCAGTAACTTCCTTGTGTTGTGTGTATTCAACTGACAGAGTTCAACTTTCACTTAGAGAGAGCAGATTTGTAACACTGTTTTTGTGGAATTTGCAAGTGGAGATTTCAAGCGCTTTGGGGCCAAAGGCAGAAAACGAAATATCTTCGTATAAAAACTAGACAGAATCATTCTCAGAAAATCCTCTGTGATGTGTGGGTTCAACTCTCAGAGTTTAACTTTTCTTTTCATTCAGCAGTTTGGAAACACTCTGTTTGTAAAGTCTGCACGTGGATATTTTGACCACTTAGAGGCCTTCGTTGGAAACGGGTTTTTTTCATGTAAGGGTAGACAGAAGAATTCCCAGTAACTTCCTTGTGTTGTGTGCATTCAACTCACAGAGTTGAACGTTCCCTTAGACAGAGCAGATTTGAATCACTCTATTTGTGCAATTTGCAAGTGTAGATTTCAAGCGATTTAAGGTCAATGGCAGAAAAGGAAATATCTTCGTTTCAAAACTAGACAGAAATCATTCCCACAAACTGCGTTGTGATGTGTTCGTTCAACTCACAGAGTTTAACCTTTCTGTTCATAGAGCAGTTAGGAAACACTCTGTTTGTAAAGTCTGTAAGTGGATATTCTGACATCTTGTGGCCTTCGTTGGAAACGGGATTTCTTCATATTCTGCTAGACAGAAGAATTCTCAGTAACTTCCTTGTGTTGTGTGTATTCAACTCACAGAGTTGAACGATCCTTTACACAGAGCAGACTTGAAACACTCTTCTTGTGGAATTTGCAAGTGGAGATTTCAGCCGCTTTGAGGTCAATGGTAGAAAAGTAAATATCTTCGTATAAAGACTAGACAGAATGATTCTCAGAAACTCCTTTGTGATGTGTGCGTTCAACTCACAGAGTTTAACCTTTCTTTTCATAGAGCAGTTAGGAAACACTCTGCTTGTAAAGTCTGCAAGTGGATATTCAGACCTCTTTGAGGCCTTCGTTGGAAACGGGTTTTTTTCATATAAGGCTACACAGAAGAATTCCCAGTAACTTCCTTGTGTTGTGTGTGTTCAACTCACAGAGTTGAACTTTCATTTACACAGAGCAGATTTGAAACACTCTTTTTGTGGAATTTGCAAGTGGAGATTTCAAGGGCTTTGAGGCCAAAGGCAGAAAAGGAAATATCTTCGTATAAAAACTAGACAGAATCATTCTCAGAAACTGCTCTGCGATGTGTGCGTTCAACTCTCAGAGTTTAACTTTTCTTTTCATTCAGCAGTTTGGAAACACTCTGTTTCTAAAGTCTGCACGTGGATAATTTGACCACTTAGAGGCCTTCGTTGGAAACGGGTTTTTTTCCTGTAAGGCTAGACAGAAGAATTCCCAGTAACTTCCTTGTGTTGTGTACATTCAACTCACAGAGTTGAACGTTCCCTTAGACAGAGCAGATTTGAAACACTCTTTTTGTGCAATTGGCAAGTGGAGATTTCAAGCGCTTTAAGGTCAATGGCAGAAAAGGAAATATCTTCGTTTCAAAACTAGACAGAATCATTCCCACAAACTGCGTTGTGATGTGTTCGTTCAACTCACAGAGTTTAACCTTTCTGTTCATAGAGCAGTTAGGAAACACTCTGTTTGTAAAGTCTGCAAGTGGATATTCAGACCTCCTAGAGGCCTTCGTTGGAAACGGGATTTCTCCATATTCTGCTAGACAGAAGAATTCTCAGTAACTTCCTTGTGTTGTGTGTATTCAACTCACAGAGTTGAACGATCCTTTACAAAGAGCAGACTTGAAACATTCTTTTTGTGGAATTTGCAAGTGGAGATTTCAGCCGCTTTGAGGTCAATGGTAGAATAGGAAATATGTTCCTATAGAAACTAGACAGAATGATTCTCAGAAACTCCATTGTGATGTGTGCGTTCAACTCAAAGAGTTTAACTTTTCTTTTCATAGAGCAGTTAGGAAACACTCTGTTTGTAAAGTCTGCAAGTGGATATTCAGACCCCTTTGAGGCCTTCGTTGGAAACGGGATTTCTTCATATTATGCTAGACAGAAGAATTCCCAGTAACTTCCTTGTGTTGTGTGTGTTCAACTCACAGCAGTTGAACTTTCATTTACACAGAGCAGATTTGAAACACTCTTTTTGTGGAATTTGCAAGTGGAGATTTCAAGCGCTGTGAGGCCAAAGGCAGAAAAGGAAATATCTTCGTATAAAAACTAGACAGAATCATTCTCAGAAACTGCTCTGCGATGTGTGCGTTCAACTCTCAGAGTTTAACTTTTCTTTTCATTCAGCAGTGTGGAAACACTCTGTTTGTAAAGTCTGCACGTGGATATTTTGACCACTTATAGGCCTTCGTTGGAAACGGGTTTTTTTCCTGTAAGGCTAGACAGAAGAATTCCCAGTAACTTCCTTGTGTTGTGTACATTCAACTCACAGAGTTGAACGTTCCCTTAGACAGAGCAGATTTGAAACACTCTTTTTGTGCAATTGGCAAATGGAGATTTCAAGCGCTTTAAGGTCAATGGCAGAAAAGGAAATATCTTCGTTTCAAAACTAGACAGAATCATTCCCACAAACTGCGTTGTGATGTGTTCGTTCAACTCACAGAGTTTAACCTTTCTGTTCATAGAGCAGTTAGGAAACACTCTGTTTGTAAAGTCTGTAAGTGGATATTCAGACATCTTGTGGCCTTCGTTGGAAACGGGATTTCTTCATATTCTGCTAGACAGAAGAATTCTCAGTAACTTCCTTGTGTTGTGTGTATGCAACTCACAGAGTTGAACGATCCTTTACACAGAGCAGACTTGAAACACTCTTTTTGTGGAATTTGCAATTGGAGATTTCAGCCGCTTTGAGGTCAATGGTAGAAAAGGAAACTATCTTCATATAAAGACTAGACAGAATGATTCTCAGAAACTCCTTTGTGATGTGTGCGTTCAACTCACAGAGTTTAACCTTTCTTTTCATAGACCAGTTAGGAAACACTCTGTAAAGTCTGCAAGTGGATATTCAGACATCCTTGAGGCCTTCGTTGGAAGCGGGATTTCTTCATATTCTGCTACAAAGAAGAATTCTTAGTAACTTCCTTGTGTTGTGTGTATTCAACTCACAGAGTTGAACGATCCTTTACACAGAGCAGACTTGAAACATTCTTTTTGTGGAATTTGGAAGTGGAGATTTCAGCCGCTTTGAGGTCAATGGTAGAATAGGAAATATCTTCCTATAGAAACTAGACAGAATCATTCTCAGAAACTGCTGCGTGATGTGTGCGTTCAACTCTCAGAGTTTAACTTTTCTTTTCATTCAGCGGTTTGGAAACACTCTGTTTGTAAAGTCTGCACGTGGATATTTTGACCACTTAGAGGCCTTCGTTGGAAACGGGTTTTTTTCATGTAAGGCTCGACAGAAGAATTCCCAGTAAATTCCTTGTGTTGTGTACATTCAACTCACAGAGTTGAACGTTCCCTTAGACAGAGCAGATTTGAAACACTCTTTTTGTGCAATTGGCAAGTGGAGATTTCAAGCGCTTTAAGGTCAATGGCAGAAAAGGAAATATCTTCGTTTCAAAACTGGACAGAATCATTCCCACAAACTGCGTTGTGATGTGTTCGTTCAACTCACAGAGTTTAACCTTTCTTTTCATAGAGCAGTTAGGAAAGAGTCTGTTTGTAAATTCTGTAAGTGGATATTCTGACATCTTGTGGCCTTCGTTGGAAACGGGATTTCTTCATATTCTGCTAGACAGAAGAATTCTCAGAAACTTCCTTGTGTTGTGTGTTTTCAACTCACAGAGTTGAACGATCCTTTACACAGAGCAGACTTGAAACACTCTTTTTGTGGAATTTGCAAGTGGAGATTTCAGCCGCTTTGAGGTCAATGGTAGAATAGGAAATATCTTCCTATAGAAACTAGACAGAACGATTCTCAGAAACTCCTTTGTGATGTGTGCGTTCAACTCACAGAGTTTAACCTTTCTTTTCATAGAGCAGTTAGGAAACACTCTGTTTGTAAAGTCTGCAAGTGGATATTCAGACCTCTTTGAGGCCTTCGTTGTAACGGGATTTCTTCCTATTCTGCTAGACAGAAGAATTCCCAGTAACTTCCATGTGTTGTGTGTGTTCAACTCACAGAGTTGAACTTTCATTTACACAGAGCAGATTTGAAACACTCTTTTTGTGGAATTTGCAAATGGAGATTTCAAGCGCTTTGAGGCCAGAGGCAGAAAAGGAAATATCTTCGTATAAAAACTAGACAGAATCATTCTCAGAAACTGCTCTGCGATGTGTGCGTTCAACTCTCAGAGTTTAACTTTTCTTTTCATTCAGCAGTTTGGAAACACTCTGTTTGTAAAGTCTGCATGTGGATAATTTGACCACTTAGAGGTCTTCGTTGGAAACGGGTTTTTTTCATGTAAGGCTAGACAGAAGAATTCCCAGTAACTTCCTTGTGTTGTGTGCATTCAACTCACAGAGTTGAACGTTCCCTTAGACAGAGCAGATTTGAAACACTCTATTTGTGCAATTTGCAAGTGTAGTTTTCAAGCTCTTTAAGGTCAACGGCAGAAAAGGAAATATCTTGGTTTCAAAACTAGACAGAATCATTCCCACAAACTGCGTTGTGATGTGTTCGTTCAACTCACAGAGTTTAACCTTTCTGTTCATAGAGCAGTTAGGAAACACTCTGTTTGTAAAGTCTGCAAGTGGATATTCAGACCTCCTTGAGGCCTTCGGTGGAAACGGGATTTCTTCATATTCTGCTAGACAGAAGAATTCTCAGTAACTTCCTTGTGTTGTGTGTATTCAACTCACAGAGTTGAACGATCCTTTACACAGACCAGACTTGAAACACTCTTTTTGTGGAATTTGCAAGTGGAGATTTCAGCCGCTTTGAGGTCAATGGTAGAAAAGGAAATATCTTCGTATAAAGACTAGACAGAATGATTCTCAGAAACTCCTTTGTGATGTGTGTGTTCAACTCACAGAGTTTAACCTTTCTTTTCATAGAGCAGTTAGGAAACACTCTGTTTGTAAAGTCTGCAAGTGGATATTCAGACCTCTTTGAGGCCTTCGTTGGAAACAGTTTTTTTTCATATAAGGCTAGACAGAAGAATTCCCAGTAACTTCCTTGTGTTGTGTGTGTTCAACTCACAGAGTTGAACTTTCATTTACACAGAGCAGATTGGAAACACTCTTTTTGTGGAATTTGCAAGTGGAGATTTCAAGCGCTTTGAGGCCAAAGACAGAAAAGGAAATATCTTCGTATAAAAACTAGACAGAATCATTCTCAGAAACTGCTCTGCGATTTGTGCGTTCAACTCTCAGAGTTTAACTTTGCTTTTCATTCAGCAGTTTGGAAACACTCTGTTTGTAAAGTCTGCACGTGGATATTTTGACCACTTAGAGGCCTTCGTTGGAAACGGGTTTCTTTCCTGTAAGGCTAGACAGAAGAATTCTCAGTAACTTCCTTGTGTTGTGTGTATTCAACTCACAGAGTTGAACGATCCTTTACAGAGAGCAGACTTGAAACACTCTTTTTGTGGAATTTGCAAGTGGAGATTTCAGCCGCTTTGTGGTCAATGGTAGAATAGGAAATATCTTCCTATAGAAACTAGACAGAATGATTCTCAGAAACTCCTTTGTGATGTGTGCGTTCAACTCACAGAGTTTAACCTTTCTTTTCATAGAGCAGTTAGGAAACACTCTGTTTGTAAAGTCTGCAAGTGGATATTCAGACCTCTTTGAGGCCTTCGTTGGAAACGGGATTTCTTCATGTTCTGCTACACAGAAGAATTCTCAGTAACTTCCTTGTGTTGTGTGTATTCAACTCACAGAGTTGAACGATCCTTTACACAGAGCAGACTTGAAACACTCTTTTTGTAGAATTTCCAAGTGGAGATTTCAGCCGCTTTGAGGTCAATAGTGGAAAAGGAAATATCTTCGTAGAAAAACTAGACAGAATGATTCTCAGAAACGCCTTTGTGATGTGTGCGTGCAACTCACAGAGTTTAACCTTTCTTTTCATAGAGCAGTTAGGAAACACTCTGTTTGTAAAGTCTGCAAGTGGATATTCAGACCTCTTTGAGGCCTTCGTTGGAAACGGGTTTTTTTCATATAAGGCTAGACAGAAGAATTCTCAGTAACTTCCTTGTGTTGTGTGTATTCAACTGACAGAGTTGAACTTTCATTTAGAGAGAGCAGGTTTGAAACACTGTTTTTGTGGAATTTGCAAGTGGAGATTTCAAGCGCTTTGGGGCCAAAGGCAGAAAAGGAAATATCTTCGTATAAAAACTAGACAGAATCATTCTCAGAATCTGCTGCGTGATGTGTGCGTTCAACTCTCAGAGTTTAACTTTTCTTTTCATTCAGCGGTTTGGAAACACTCTGTTTGTAAAGTCTGCACGTGGATATTTTGACCACTTAGAGGCCTTCGTTGGAAACGGGTTTTTTTCATGTAAGGCTAGACAGAAGAATTCCCAGTAACTTCCTTCTGTTGTGTGCATTCCACTCACAGAGTTGAACGTTCCCTTAGACAGAGCAGATTTGAAACACTCTATTTGTGCAATTTGCAAGTGTAGATTTCAAGCGCTTTAAGGTCAATGGCAGAAAAGGAAATATCTTCGTTTCAAAACTAGACAGAATCATTCCCACAAACTGCGTTGTGATGTGTTCGTTCAACTCACAGAGTTTAACCTTTCTGTTCATAGAGCAGTTAGGAAACACTCTGTTTGTAAAGTCTGTAAGTGGATATTCTGACATTTTTTGGCCTTCGTTGGAAAAGGGATTTCTTCATATTCTCCTAGACAGAAGAATTCTCAGTAACTTCCTTGTGTTGTGTGTATTCAACTCACAGAGTTGAACGATCCTTTACACAGAGTAGACTTGAAACACTCTTTTTGTGGAATTTGCAAGTGGAGATTTCAGCCGCTTTCAGGTCAATAGTAGAAAAGGAAATATCTTCGTAGAAAAACTAGACAGAATGATTCTCAGAAACTCCTTTGTGATGTGTGCGTTCAACTCACAGAGTTTAACCTTTCTTTTCATAGCGCAGTTGGGAAACACTCTGTTTGTAAAGTCTGCAAGTGGATATTCAGACCTCCTTGAGGCTTTCGTTGGAAACGGGATTTCTTCATATTCTGCTAGAAAGAAGAATTCCCAGTAACTTCCTTGTGTTGTGTGTGTTCAACTCACAGAGTTGAACTTTCATTTACACAGAGCAGACTTGAAACACTCTTTTTGTGGAATTTGCAAGTGGAGATTTCAAGCGCTTTGAGGCCAAAGGCAGAAAAGGAAATATCTTCGTTTCAAAACTAGACAGAATCATTCTCAGAAACTGCTCTGCGATGTGTGCGTTCAACTCTCAGAGTTTAACTTTTCTTTTCATTCAGCAGTTTGGAAACACTCTGTTTGTAAAGTCTGCACGTGGATATTTTGACCACTTAGAGGCCTTCATTGGAAACGGGTTTTTTTCCTGTAAGGCTAGACAGAAGAATTCCCAGTAACTTCCTTGTGTTGTGTGCATTCAACTCACAGAGTTGAACGTTCCCTTAGACAGAGCAGATTTGAAACACTCTATTTGTGCAATTTGCAAGTGTAGTTTTCAAGCGCTTTAAGGTCAACGGCAGAAAAGGAAATTCTTCGTTTCAAAACTAGACAGAATGATTCTCAGAAACTCCTTTGTGATGTGTGCGTTCAACTCACAGAGTTCAACCTTTCTTTTAATAGAGCAGTTGGGAAACACTCTGTTTGTAAAGTCTGCAAGTGGATATTCAGACCTCCTTGAGGCCTTCGTTGGAAACGGGATTTCTTCATATTATGCTAGACAGAATAATTCTCAGTAACTTCCTTGTGTTGTGTGTATTCAACTCACAGAGTTGAACGATCCTTTACACAGAGCAGACTTGAAACATTCTTTTTGTGGAATTTGCTAGTGGAGATTTCAGCCGCTTTGAGGTCAATGGTAGAATAGGAAATATCTTCCTATAGAAACTAGACAGAATGATTCTCAGAAACTCCTTTGTGATGTGTGCGTTCAACTCACAGAGTTTAACCTTTCTTTTCATAGAGTAGTTAGGAAACACTCTGTTTGTAAAGTCTGCAAGTGGATATTCAGACATCCTTGAGGCTTTCGTTGGAAACGGGATTTCTTCATATTCTGTTAGAAAGAAGAATTCCCAGTAACTTCCCTTGTGTTGTGTGTGTTCAACTCACAGAGTTGAACTTTCATTTACACAGAGCAGATTTGAAACACTCTTTTTGTGGAATTTGCAAATGGAGGTTTCAAGCGCTTTGAGGCCAAAGGCAGAAAAGGAAATATCTTCGTATAAAAACTAGACAGAATCATTCTCAGAAACTGCTGCGTGATGTGTGCGTTCAACTCTCAGAGTTTAACTTTTCTTTTCATTCAGCGGTTTGGAAACACTCTGTTTGTAAAGTCTGCACGTGGATATTTTGACCACTTAGAGGCCTTCGTTGGAAACGGGTTTTTTGCATGTAAGGCTAGACAGAAGAATTCCCAGTAACTTCCTTGTGTTGTGTACATTCAACTCACAGAGTTGAACGTTCCCTTAGACAGAGCAGATTTGAAACACTCTTTTTGTGCAATTGGCAAATGGAGATTTCAAGCGCTTTAAGGTCAATGGCAGAAAAGGAAATATTCTTCGTTTCAAAACTAGACAGAATGATTCTCAGAAAATCTTTTGTGATGTGTGCGTTCAACTCACAGAGTTTAACTTTTCTTCTCATAGAGCAGGTAGGAAACACTCTGTTTGTAAAGTCTGCAAGTGGATATTCAGACCTCTTTGAGGCCTTCGTTGGAAACGGGATTTCTTCATATTATGCTAGACAGAATAATTCTCAGAAACTTCCTTGTGTTGTGTGTATTCAACTCACAGAGTTGAAGGATCCTTTACAGAGAGCAGGCTTGAAACACTCTTTTTGTCGAATTTGCAAGTGGAGATTTCAGCCGCTTTGAGGTCAATGGTAGAATAGGAAATATCTTCTTATAGAAACTAGACAGAATGATTCTCAGAAACTCCCTTGTGATGTGTGCGTTCAACTCACAGAGTTTAAGCTTTCTTTTCATAGAGCAGTTAGGAAACACTCTGTTTGTAAAGTCTGCAAGTGGATATTCAGACCTCCTTGAGGCCTTCGTTGGAAACAGGATTTCTTCATATGATGCTAGACAGAAGAATTCCCAGTAACTTCCTTGTGTTGTGTGTGTTCAACTCACAGAGTTGAACTTTCATTTACCCAGAGCAGATTTGAAACACTCTTTTTGTGGAATTTGCAAGTGGAGATTTCAAGCGCTTTGAGGCCAAAGGCAGAAAAGGAAATATCTTCGTTTCAAAACTAGACAGAATCATTCTCAGAAACTGCTCTGCGATGTGTGCGTTCAACTCTCAGAGTTTAACTTTTCTTTTCATTCAGCAGTTTGGAAACACTCTGTTTGTAAAGTCTGCACGTGGATATTTTGACCACTTAGAGGCCTTCGTTGGAACCGGGTTTTTTTCCTGTAAGGCTAGACAGAAGAATTCCCAGTAACTTCCTTGTGTTGTGTACATTCAACTCACAGAGTTGAACGTTCCCTTAGACAGAGCAGATTTGAAACACTCTTTTTGTGCAATTGGCAAATGGAGATTTCAAGCGCTTTAAGTTCAATGGCAGAAAAGGAAATATCTTCGTTTCAAAACTAGACAGAATGATTCTCAGAAACTCCTTTGTGATGTGTGCGTTCAACTCACAGAGTTTAACCTTTCTGTTCATAGAGCAGTTAGGAAACACTCTGTTTGTAAAGTCTGCAAGTGGATATTCAGACCTCCTTGAGGCTTTCGTTGGAAACGGGATTTCTTCATATTCTGCTAGACAGAAGAATTCTCAGAAACTTCCTTGTGTTGTGTGTATTCAACTCACAGAGTTGAACGATCGTTTACACAGAGCAGACTTGAGACACTCTTTTTGTGGAATTTGTAAGTGGAGATTGCAGCCGCTTTGAGGTCAATGGTAGAAAAGAAAATATCTTCATATAAAAACTAGACAGAATGATTCTCAGAAACTCCTTTGTGATGTGTGCGTTCAACTCACAGAGTTTAACTTTTGTTTTCATAGAGCAGTTAGGAAACACTCTCTTTGTATAGTCTTCAAGTGGATATTCAGACCTCTTTGAGGCCTTCGTTGGAAACGGGATTTCTTCATATTCTGCTAGACAGAAGAATTCCCAGTAACTTCCTTGTGTTGTGTGTGTTCAACTCACAGAGTTGAACTTTCATTTACACAGAGCAGATTTGAAACACTCTTTTTGTGGAATTTGCAAGTGGAGATTTCAAGCGCTTTGAGGGCAAAGGCAGAAAAGGAAATATCTTCGTTTCAAAACTAGACAGAATCATTCTCAGAAACTGCTGCGTGATGTGTGCGTTCAACTCTCAGAGTTTAAATTTTCTTTTCATTCAGCGGTTTGGAAACACTCTGTTTGTAAAGTCTGCACGTGGAAATTTTGACCACTTAGAGGCCTTCGTTGGAAACGGGATTTTTTCATGTAAGGCTAGACAGAAGAATTCCCAGTAACTTCCTTGTGTTGTGTGCATTCAACTCACAGAGTTGAACGTTCCTTAGACACAGCAGATTTGAAACACTCTATTTGTGCAATTTGCAAGTGTAGATTTCAAGCGCTTTAAGGTCAATGGCAGAAAAGGAAATATCTTCGTTTCAAAACTAGACAGAATGATTCTCAGAAACTCCTTTGTGATGTGTGTGTTCAACTCACAGAGTTTAACTTTTCTTCTCATAGAGCAGTTAGGAAACACTCTGTTTGTAAAGTCTGTAAGTGGATATTCTGACATCTTGTGGCCATCGTTGGAAACGGGATTTCTTCATATTCTGCTAGACAGAAGAATTCTCAGTAACTTTCCTTGTGTTGTGTGTATTCAACTCACAGAGTTGAACGATCCTTTACACAGAGCAGACTTGAAACACTCTTTTTGTGGAATTTGCAAGTGGAGATTTCAGCCGCTTTGAGGTCAATGGTAGAAAAGGAAACTATCTTCATATAAAGACTAGACAGAATGATTCTCAGAAACTCCTTTGTGATGTGTGCGTTCAACTCACAGAGTTTAACCTTTCTTTTCATAGAGCAGTTAGGAAACACTCTGTTTGTAAAGTCTACAAGTGGATATTCAGACCTCCTTGAGGCCTTCGTTGGAAACGGGATTTCTTCATATTATGCTAGACAGAATAATTCTCAGTAACTTCCTTGTGTTGTGTGTATTCAACTCACAGAGTTGAAGGATCCTTTACAGAGAGCAGGCTTGAAATACTCTTTTTGTCGAATTTGCAAGTGGAGATTTCAGCCGCTTTGAGGTCAATGGTAGAATAGGAAATATCTTCTTATAGAAACTAGACAGAATCATTCTCAGAAACTGCTGCGTGATGTGTGCGTTCAACTCTCAGAGTTTAACTTTTCTTTTCATTCAGCGGTTTGGAAACACTCTGTTTGTAAAGTCTGCACGTGGGTATTTTGACCACTTAGAGGCCTTCGTTGGAAACGGGTTTTTTTCATGTAAGGCTAGACAGAAGAATTCCCAGTAACTTCCTTGTGTTGTGTGCATTCAACTCACAGAGTTGAACGTTCCCTTAGACAGAGCAGATTTGAAACACTCTATTTGTGCAATTTGCAAGTGTAGATTTCAAGCGCTTTAAGGTCAATGGCAGAAAAGGAAATATCTTCGTTTCAAAACTAGACAGAATGATTCTCAGAAAATCCTTTGTGATGTGTGCGTTCAACTCACAGAGTTTAACTTTTCATATAGCAGTTAGGAAACACTTTGTTTGTAAAGTCTGCAAGTGGATATTCAGACCTCTTTGAGGCATTCGTTGGAAACGGGATTTCTTCATATTCTGCTAGACAGAAGAATTCTCAGAAACTTCCTTGTGTTGTGTGTATTCAACTCAGAGAGTTGAACGATCCTTTACACAGAGCAGACTTGAAACACACTTTTTTTGGTATTTTCAAGTGGAGATTTCAGCCACTTTGAGGTCAATGGTAGAAAAGGAAATATCTTCGTATAAAAACTAGACAGAATGATTCTCAGAAACTCCTTTGTGATGTGTGCGTTCAACTCACAGAGTTTAACTTTTCTTTTCATAGAGCAGTTAGGAAACACTCTGTAAAGTCTGCAAGTGCATATTCAGACCTCTTTGAGGCCTTCGTTGGAAACGGGATTTCTTCATATTATGCTAGACAGAATAATTCTCAGTAACTTCCTTATGTTGTGTGTATTCAACTCACAGAGTTGAACGATCCTTTACAAAGAGCAGACTTGAAACACTCTTTTTGTGGAATTCGCAAGTGGAGATTTCAGCCGCTTTGAGGTCAACAGTAGAAAAGGAAATATCTTCGTAGAAAAACTAGACAGAATCATTCTCAGAAACTGCTGTGTGATGTGTGCTTTCAACTCAGAGAGTTTAACTTTTCTTTTCATTCAGCAGTTTGGAAACACTCTGTTTGTAAAGTCTGCAAGTGGATATATTGACCTCTTAGGGTCCTTCGTTGGAAACGGGTTTTTTTTCATGTAAGGCTAGACAGAAGAATTCTCAGTAACTTCCTTGTGTTGTGTGTATTCAACTCACAGAGTTGAACGATCCTTTACACTGAGCAGACTTGTAACACTCTTTTTGTGGAATTTGCAAGTGGAGATTTCAGCCGCTTTGAAGTCAAAGGTAGAAAAGGAAATATCTTCCTATAAAGACTAGACAGAACGATTCTCAGAAACTCCTTTGTGATGTGTGCGTTCAACTCACAGAGTTTAACCTTTCTTTTCATAGAGCAGTTAGGAAACACTCTGTTTGTAAAGTCTGCAAGTGGATATGCAGACCTCTTTGAGGCCTTCGTTGGAAACGGGATTTCTTCATATTCTGCTAGACAGAAGAATTCTCAGTAACTTACCTTGTGTTGTGTGTATTCAACTCACAGAGTTCAACGATCCTTTACACAGAGCAGACTTGAAACACTCTTTTTGTGGAATTTGCAAGTGGAGATTTCAGCCGCTTTGAGGTCAATGGTAGAAAAGGAAATATCTTCGTATAAAAACTAAACAGAACGATTCTCAGAAACTCCTTTGTGATGTGTGCGTTCAACTCACAGAGTTTAACCTTTCTTTTCATAGAGCAGTTAGGAAACACTCTGTTTGTAAAGTCTGCAAATGGATATTCAGACCTCTTTGAGGCCTTCGGTGGAAACGGGATTTCTTCATATTCTGCTAGACAGAAGAATTCTCAGTAACTTTCCTTGTGTTGTGTGTATTCAACTGACAGAGTTGAACTTTCATTTAGAGAGAGCAGATTTGAAACACTGTTTTTGTGGAATTTGCAAGTGGTGATTTCAAGCGCTTTGGGGCCAAAGGCAGAAAAGGAAATATCTTCGTATAAAAACTAGACAGAATCATTCTCAGAAACTGCTGCGTGATGTGTGCGTTCAACTCTCAGAGTTTAACTTTTCTTTTCATTCAGCGGTTTGGAAACACTCTGTTTGTAAAGTCTGCACGTGGAAATTTTGACCACTTAGAGGCCTTCGTTGGAAACGGGATTTTTTCATGTAGGGCTAGACAGAAGTATTCTCAGTAACTTCCTTGTGTTGTGTGTATTCAACTCACAGAGTTAAACGATCCTTTACACAGAGCAGACTTGTAACACTCTTTTTGTGGAATTTGCAAGTGGAGATTTCAGCCGCTTTGAAGTCAAAGGTAGAAAAGGAAATAACTTCCTATAAAAACTAGACAGAATGATTCTCAGAAACTTCTTTGTGATGTGTGCGTTCAACTCACAGAGTTTAACATTTCTTTTCATAGAGCAGTTAGGAAACACTCTGTTTGTAAACTCTGCAAGTGGATATTCAGACCTCTTTGAGGCCTTCGTTGGAAACGGGATTTCTTCATACTGTGCTAGACAGAAGAATTCTCAGTAATTTCCTTGTGTTGTGTGTATTCAACTCACAGAGTTCAACGATCCTTTACACAGAGCAGACTTGAAACACTCTTTTTGTGGAATTTGCAAGTGGAGATTTCAGCCGCTTTGAGGTCAATGGTAGAAAAGTAAATATCTTCGTATAAAAACTAGACAGAATGATTCTCAGAAACTCCTTTGTGATGTGTGCGTTCAACTCACAGAGTTTAACTTTTCTTTTCATAGAGCAGTTAGTAAACACTCTGTTTATAAAGTCTGCAAGTGGATATTCAGACCCCTCTGAGGACTTCGTTGGAAACGGGATTTCTTCATATTATGCTAGACAGAAGAATTCCCAGTAACTTCCTTGTGTTGTGTGTGTTCAACTCACAGAGTTGAACTTTCATTTACACAGAGCAGATTTAGAACACACTTTTTGTGGAATTTGCAAGTGGAGATTTCAAGCGCTTTGAGGCCAAAGGCAGAAAAGGAAATATCTTCGTATAAAAACTAGACAGAATAATTCTCAGAAACTGCTGCGTGATGTGTGCGTTCAACTCTCAGAGTTTAACTTTTCTTTTCATTCAGCAGTTTGGAAACACTCTGTTTGTAAAGTCTGCACGTGGATAATTTGACCACTTAGAGGTCTTCGTTGGAAACGGGTTTTTTTCATGTAAGGCTAGACAAAAGAATTCTCAGTAACTTCCTTGTGTTGTGTTTATTCAACTCACAGAGTTGAACGATCCTTTACACAGAGCAGACTTGTAACACTCTTTTTGTGGAATTTGCAAGTGGAGATTTCAGCCGCTTTGAAGTCAAAGGTAGAAAAGGAAATATCTTCCTATAAAAACTAGACAGAATGATTCTGAGAAACTCCTTTGTGATGTGTGCGTTAAACTCACACAGTTTAACCTTTCTTTTCATAGAGCAGTTAGGAAACACTCTGTTTGTAAAGTCTGCAAGTGGATATTCAGACCTCCTTGAGGCCTTCGTTGGAAACGGGATTTCTTCATATTATGCTAGACAGAAGTAATTCTCAGTAACTTCCTTGTGTTGTGTGTATTCAACTCACAGAGTTAAACGATCCTTTACACAGAGCAGACGTGAAACACTCTTTTTGTGGAATTTGGAAGTGGAGATTTCAGCCGCTTTGAGGTCAATGGTAGAAAAGGAAACTATCTTCATATAAAGACTAGACAGAATGATTCTCAGAAACTCCTTTGTGATGTGTGCGTTCAACTCACAGAGTTTAACCTTTCTTTTCAGAGAGCAGTTAGGAAACACTCTGTTTGTAAAGTCTGCAAGTGGATATTCAGACATCTTTGAGGCTTTCGTTGGAAACGGGATTTCTTCATATTCTGCTAGACAGAAGAATTCCCAGTAACTTCCTTGTGTTGTGTGTGTTGAACTCACAGAGTTGAACTTTCATTTACACAGAGCAGATTTGAAACACTCTTTTTGTGGAATTTGCAAGTGGAGATTTCAAGCGCTTTGAGGCCAAAGGCAGAGAAGGAAATATCTTCGTTTGAAAACTAGACAGAATCATTCTCAGAAACTGCTCTGCGATGTGTGCGTTCAACTCTCCGAGTTTAACTTTTCTTTTCATTCAGCAGTTTGAAAACACTCTGTTTGTAAAGTCTGCACGTGGATAATTTGACCACTTAGAGGCCTTCGTTGGAAACGGTTTTTTTTTCATGTAAGGCTAGACAGAAGAATTCCCAGTAACTTCCTTGTGTTGTGTACATTCAACTCACAGAGTTGAACGTTCCCTTAGACAGAGCAGATTTGAAATACTCTTTTTGTGCAATTGGCAAGTGGAGATTTCAAGCGCTTTAAGGTCAATGGCAGAAAAGGAAATATCTTAGTTTCAAAACTAGACAGAATCATTCCCACAAACTGCGTTGTGATGTGTTCGTTCAACTCACAGAGTTTAACCTTTCTTTTCATAGAGCAGTTAGGAAACACTCTGTTTGTAAAGTCTGTAAGTGGATATTCTGACATCTTGTGGCCTTCGTTGGAAACGGGATTTCTTCATATTCTGCTAGACAGAAGAATTCTCAGTAACTTCCTTGTGTTGTGTGTATTCAACTCACAGAGTTGAACGATCCTTTACACAGAGCAGACTTGGAACACTCTTTTTGTGGAATTTGCAAGTGGAGATTTCAGCCGCGTTGAAGTCAATGGTAGAAAAGGAAATATCTTCGTATAAAAACTAGACAGAATGATTCTCAGAAACTCCTTTGTGATGTGTGCGTTCAACTCACAGAGTTTAACTTTTCTTTTCATAGAGCAGTTAGGAAACACTCTGTTTATAAAGTCTGCAAGTGGATATTCAGACCTCTTTGTGGCCTTCGTTGGAAACGGGATTTCTTCATATTATACTAGACAGAAGAATTCTCAGTAACTTCCTTGTGTTGTGTGTATTCAACTGACAAAGTTGAACTTTCATTTAGAGGGAGCAGATTTGAAACACTGTTTTTGTGGAATTTGCAAGTGGAGATTTCAAGCGCTTTGGGGCCAAAGGCAGAAAAGGATATATCTTCGTATAAAAACTAGACAGAATCATTCTCAGAAACTGCTGCGTGATGTGTGCGTTCAACTCTCAGAGTTTAACTTTTCTTTTCATTCAGCGGTTTGGAAACACTCTGTTTGTGAAGTCTGCCCGTGGATATTTTGACCCCTTAGAGGCCTTCGTTGGAAACGGGTTTTTTTCATGTAAGGCTAGACAGAAGAATTCCCAGTAACTTCCTTGTGTTGTGTACATTCAACTCACAGAGTTGAACGTTCCCCTTAGACAGAGCAGATTTGAAACACTCTTTTTGTGCAATTGGCAAGTGGAGATTTCAAGCGCTTTAAGGTCAATGGCAGAAAAGGAAATATCTTCGTTTCAAAACTAGACAGAATGATTCTCAGAAACTACTTTGTGATGTGTGCGTTCAACTCACAGAGTTTAACCTTTCTTTTCATAGAGCAGTTAGGAAACACTCTGTTTGTAAAGTCTGCAAGTGGATATTCAGACCTCCTTGAGGCCTTCGTTGGAAACGGGATTTCTTCATATTATGCAAGACAGAAGAATTCTCAGTAACTTCCTTGTGTTGTGTGTATTCAACTCACAGAGTTGAACGATCCTTTACACAGAGCAGACTTGAAACACTCTTCTTGTGGAATTTGCAAGTGGAGATTTCAGCCGCTTTGAGGTCAATGGTAGAATAGGAAATATCTTCGTATAGAAACTAGACAGAATGATTCTCAGAAACTCCTTTGTGATGTGTGCGTTCAACTCACAGACTTTAACCTTTCTTTTCATAGAGCAGTTAGGAAACACTCTGTTTGTAAAGTCTGCAAATGGATATTCAGACCTCTTTGAGGCCTTCGTTGGAAACGGGTTTTTTTCATATAAGGCTAGACAGAAGAATTCCCAGTAACTTCCTTGTGTTGTGTGTGTTCAACTCACAGAGTTGAACTTTCATTTACACAGAGCAGATTTGAAACACTCTTTTTGTGGAATTTGCAAGTGGAGATTTCAAGCGCTTTGAGGCCAAAGGCAGAAAAGGAGATATCTTCGTATAAAAACTAGACAGAATCATTCTCAGAAACTGCTGCGTGATGTGTGCGATCAACTCTCAGAGATTAACTTTTCTTTTCATTCAGCGGTTTGGAAACACTCTGTTTGTAAAGTCTGCACGTGGAAATTTTGACCACTTAGAGACCTTCGTTGGAAACGGGATTTTTTCATGTAAGGCTAGACAGAAGAATTCCCAGTAACTTTCCTTGTGTTGTGTGCATTCAACTCACAGAGTTGAACGTTCCCTTAGACAGAGCAGATTTGAAACACTCTATTTGTGCAATTTGCAAGTGTAGATTTCAAGCGCTTTAAGGTCAATGGCAGAAAAGGAAATGTCTTCGTTTCAAAACTAGACAGAATCATTCCCAAAAACTGCGTTGTGATGTGTTCGTTCAACTCACAGCAGTTTAACCTTTCTTTTCATAGAGCAGTTAGGAAACAGTCTGTTTGTAAATTCTGTAAGTGGATATTCTGACATCTTGTGGCCTTCGTTGGAAACGGGATTTCTTCATATTCTGCTAGACAGAATAATTCTCAGTAACTTCCTTGTGTTGTGTGTATTCAACTCACAGAGTTGAACGATCCTTTACACAGAGCAGACTTGAAACACTGTTTTTGTGGAATTTGCAAGTGGAGATTTCAGCCGCTTTGAGCTCAATGGTAGAATAGGAAATATCTTCCTATAGAAACTAGACAGAATGATTCTCAGAAACTCCTTTGTGATGTGTGCGTTCAACTCACAGAGTTTAACCTTTCTTTTCATAGAGCAGTTAGGAAACACTCTGTTTGTAAAGTCTGCAAGTGGATATTCAGACCTCTTTGAGGCCTTCGTTGGAAACGGGATTTCTTCATATTCTGCCAGACAGAAGAATTCCCAGTAACTTCCTTGTGTTGTGTGTGTTCAACTCACAGAGTTGAACTTTCATTTACACAGAGCAGATTTGAAACACTCTTTTTGTGGAATTTGCAAGTGGAGATTTCAAGCGCTTTGAGGCCAAAGGCAGAAAAGGAAATATCTTCGTATAAAAACTACACAGAATCATTCTCAGAAACTGCTGCGTGATGTGTGCGTTCAACACTCAGAGTTTAACTTTTCTTTTCATTCAGCGGTTTGGAAACACTCTGTTTGTAAAGTCGGAACGTGCATATTTTGACCACTTAGAGGCCTTCGTTGGAAACGGGTTTTTTTCATGTAAGGCTAGACAGAAGAATTCCCAGTAACTTCCTTGTGTTGTGTACATTCAACTCACAGAGTTGAACGTTCCCTTAGACAGAGCAGATTTGAAACACTCTTTTTGTGCAATTGGCAAGTGGAGATTTCAAGCGCTTTAAGGTCAATGGCAGAAAAGGAAATAACTTCGTTTCAAAACTAGACAGAATCATTCCCACAAACTGCGTTGTGATCTGTTAGGTAAACTCACAGAGTTTAACCATTCTTTTCATAGAGCAGTTAGGAAACAGTCTGTTTGTAAATTCTGTAAGTGGATATTCTGACATCTTGTGGCCTTCGTTGGAAACGGGATTTCTTCATATTCTGCTAGACAGAAGAACTCTCAGAATCTTCCTTGTGTTGTGTGTATTCAACTCACAGAGTTGAACGATGGTTTACACAGAGCAGATTTGAAACACTCTTTTTGTGGAATTTGCAAGTGGAGATTTCAGCCGCTTTGAGGTCAATGGTAGAAAAGGAAATATCTTCGTATAAAAACTAGACAGAATGATTCTCAGAAACTCCTTTGTGATGTGTGTGTTCAACTCACAGAGTTTAACCTTTCTATTCATAGAGTAGTTAGGAAACACTCTGTTTGTAATGTCTGCAAGTGGATATTTTGACCTCTTTGAGGCCTTCGTTGGAAACGGGTTTTTTTCATGTAAGGCTAGACAGAAGAATTCTCAGTAACTTCCTTGTGTTGTGTGTATTCAACTGACAGAGTTGAACTTTCATTTAGAGAGAGCAGATTTGAAACACTGTTTTTGTGGAATTTGCAAGTGGAGATTTCAAGCGCTTTGGGGCCAAAGGCAGAAAACGAAATATCTTCGTATAAAAACTAGACAGAATCATTCTCAGAAACTGCTGCGTGATGTGTGCGTTCAACTCTCAGAGTTTAACTTTTCTTTTCATTCAGCGGTTTGGAAACACTCTCGTTTGTAAAGCCTGCACGTGGATATTTTGACCACTTAGAGGCCTTCGTTGGAAACGGGTTTTTTTCATGTAAGGCTAGACAGAAGAATTCCCAGTAACTTCCTTGTGTTGTGTGCATTCAACTCACAGAGTTGAACGTTCCCTTAGACAGAGCAGATTTGAAACACTCTATTTGTGCAATTTGTAAGTGTAGTTTTCAAGCTCTTTAAGGTCAACGGCAGAAAAGGAAATATCTTCGTTTCAAAACTAGATCAGAATCATTCCCACAAACTGCGTTGTGATGTGTTCGTTCAACTAACAGAGTTTAACCTTTCTTTTCATAGAGCAGTTAGGAAACACTCTGTTGGTAAATTCTGTAAGTGGATATTCTGACATCTTGTGGCCTTCGTTGGAAACGGGATTTCTACATATTCTGCTAGACAGAGGAATTCTCAGTAACTTCCTTGTGTTGTGTGTATTCAACTCACGGAGTTGAACGATCCTTTACACAGAGCAGACTTGAAACACTCTTTTTGTGGAATTTGCAAGTGGAGATTTCAGCCGCTTTGAGGTCAATAGTAGAAAAGGAAATATCTTCGTAGAAAAACTAGACAGAATGATTCTCAGAAACTCCTTTGTGATGTGTGTGTTCAACTCACAGAGTTTAACCTTTCTTTTCATAGAGCAGTTAGTAAACACTCTGTTTATAAAGTCTGCAAGTGGATATTCAGACCCATTTGAGGCCTTCGTTGGAAACGGGATTTCTTCATATTCTGCTAGACAGAAGAATTCCCAGTAACTTCCTTGTGTTGTGTGTGTTCAACTCACAGAGTTGAACTTTCATTTACACAGAGCAGATTTGAAACACTCTTTTTGTGGAATATGCAAGTGGAGATTTCAAGCGCTTTGAGACCAAAGGCAGAAAAGGAACTATCTTCGTTTGAAAACTAGACAGAATCATTCTCAGAAACTGCTCTGCGATGTGTGCGTTCAACTCTCAGAGTTTAACTTTTCTTTTCATTCAGCAGTTTGGAAACACTCTGTTTGTAAAGTCTGCACGTGGATATTTTGACCACTTAGAGGCCTTCGTTGGAAACGGGTTTTTTTCCTATAAGGCTAGACAGAAGAATTCCCAGTAACTTCCTTGTGTTGTGTACATTCAACTCACAGAGTTGAACGTTCCCTTAGACAGAGCAGATTTGAAACACTCTTTTTGTGCAATTGGCAAGTGGAGATTTCAAGCGCTTTAAGGTTAATGGCAGAAAAGGAAATATCTTCGTTTCAAAACTAGACAGAATCATTCCCACAAACTGCGTTGTGATGTGTTCGTTCAACACACAGAGTTTAACCTTTCTTTTCATAGAGCAGTTAGGAAACAGTCTGTTTGTAAATTCTGTAAGTGGATATTCTGACATCTTGTGGCCTTCGTTGGAAACGGGATTTCTTCATATTCTGCTAGACAGAAGAATTCTCAGTAACTTCCTTGTGTTGTGTGTATTCAACTCACAGAGTTGAACGATCCTTTACACAGAGCAGATTTGAAACACTCTTTTTCTGGAATTTGCAAGTGGAGATTTCAGCCGCTTTGTGGTCAATGGTAGAAAAGGAAATATCTTCATATAAAAACTAGACAGAATGATTCTCAGAAACTCCTTTGAGATGTGTGTGTTCAACTCACAGAGTTTAACCTTTCTTTTCATAGAGCAGTTAGGAATCACTCTGTTTGTAAAGTCTGCAAGTGGATATTCAGACCTCTTTGAGGCCTTCGTTGGAAAAGGGTTTTTTTCATATAAGGCTAGAGAGAAGAATTCCCAGTAACTTCCTTGTGTTGTGTGTGTTCAACTCACAGAGTTGAACTTCCATTTACACAGAGCAGATTTGAAACACTCTTTTTGTGGAATTTGCAAGTGGAGATTTCAAGCGCTTTGAGGCCAAAGGCAGAAAAGGAAATATCTTCGTTTCAAAACTAGACAGAATCATTCTCAGAAACTGCTCTGCGATGTGTGCGTTCAACTCTCAGAGTTTAACTTTTCTTTTCATTCAGCAGTTTGGAAACACTCTGTTTGTAAAGTCTGCACGTGGATATTTTGACCACTTAGAGGCCTTCGTTGGAAACGGGTTTTTTTCCTGTAAGACTAGACAGAAGAATTCCCAGTAACTTCTTTGTGTTGTGTACATTCAACTCACAGAGTTGAACGTTCCCTTAGACAGAGCAGATTTGAAACACTCTTTTTGTGCAATTGGCAAGTGGAGATTTCAAGCGCTTTAAGGTCAATGGCAGAAAAGGAAATATCTTCGTTTCAAAACTAGACAGAATGATTCTCAGAAACTCCTTTGTGATGTGTGCGTTCAACTCACAGAGTTTAACCTTTGTTTTCATAGAGCAGTTAGGAAACACTCTGTTTGTAAAGTCTGAAAGTGGATATTCAGACCTCTTTGAGGCCTTCGTTGGAAACGGGTTTTTTTCATATAAGGCTAGAGAGAAGAATTCCCAGTAACTTCCTTGTGTTGTGTGTATTCAACTCACAGAGTTGAACGATCCTTTACACAGAGCAGACTTGTAACACTCTTTTTGTGGAATTTGCAAGTGGAGATTTCTGCCGCTTTGAAGTCAAAGGTAGAAAAGGAAATATCTTCCTATAAAAACTAGACAGAATGATTCTCAGAAACTCCTTTGTGATGTGTGCGTTCAACTCACAGAGTTTACCCTTTCTTTTCATAGAGCAGTTAGGAAACACTCTGTTTGTAAAGTTTGCAAGTGGATATTCAGACATCCTTGAGGCTTTCGTTGGAAACGGGATTTCTTCATATTCTGCCAGAAAGAAGAATTCCCAGTAACTTCCTTGTGTTGTGTGTGTTCAACTCACAGAGTTGAACATTCATTTACACAGAGCAGATTTGAAACACTCTTTTTGTGGAATTTGCAAGTGGAGATTTCAAGCGCTTTGAGGCCAAAGGCAGAAAAGGAAATATCTTCGTTTCAAAACTAGACAGAATCATTCTCAGAAACTGCTCTGCGATGTGTGCGTTCAACTCTCAGAGTTTAACTTTTCTTTTCATTCAGCAGTTTGGAAACACTCTGTTTGTAAAGTCTGCACGTGGATATTTTGACCACTTAGAGGCCTTCGTTGGAAACGGTTTTTTTTCCTGTAAGGCTAAAAAGAAGAATTCTCAGTAACTTCCTTGTGTTGTGTGTATTCAACTCACACAGTTGAACGATCCTTTACACAGAGCAGACTTGTAACACTCTTTTTGTGGAATTTGCAAGTGGGGATTTCAGCCGCTTTGAAGTCAAAGGTAGAAAAGGAAATATCTTCCTATAAAAACTAGACAGAATGATTCTCAGAAACTCCTTTGTGATGTGTGCTTTCAACTCACAGAGTTTAACCTTTCTTTTCATAGAGCAGTTAGGAAACACTCTGTTTGTAAAGTCTGCAAGTGGATATTCAGACCTCTTTGAGGCCTTCGTTGGAAACGGGTTTTTTTCATATAAGGCTAGACAGAAGAATTCTCAGTAACTTCCTTGTGTTGTGTGTATTCAACTCACAGTGTTGAACGATCCTTTACACAGAGCAGACTTGAAACACTCTTTTTGTGGAATTTGCAAGTGGAGATTTCAGCCGCTTTGAGGTCAATAGTAGAAAAGGAAATATCTTCGTAGAAAAACTAGACAGAATGATTCTCAGAAACTCCTTTGTTATGTGTGCGTTCAACTCACAGAGTTTAACCTTTCTTTTCATAGAGCAGTTAGGAAACACTCTGTTTGTAAAGTCTGCAAGTGGATATTCAGACATCCTTGAGGCTTTCGTTGGAAACGGGATTTCTTCATATTCTGCTAGAAAGAAGAATTCCCAGTAACTTCCTTGTGTTGTGTGTGTTCAACTCACAGAGTTGAACTTTCATTTACACAGAGCAGATTTGAAACACTCTTTTTGTGGAATTTGCAAATGGAGATTTCAAGCGCTTTGAGGCCAAATGCAGAAAAGAAAATATCTTCGTATAAAAACTAGACAGAATCATTCTCAGAAACTGCTCTGCGATGTGTGCGTTCAACTCTCAGAGTTTAACTTTTCCTTTCATTCAGCAGTTTGGAAACACTCTGTTTGTAAAATCTGCACGTGCATAATTTGACCACTTAGAGGCCTTCGTTGGAAACGGGTTTTTTCCATGTAAGGCTAGACAGAAGAATTCCCAGTAACTTCCTTGTGTTGTGTTCATTCAACTCACAGAGTTGAACGTTCCCTTAGACAGAGTAGATTTGAAACACTCTTTTTGTGCAATTGGCAAGTGGAGATTTCAAGCGATTTAAGGTCAATGGCAGAAAAGGAAATATCTTCGTTTCAAAACTAGACAGAATCATTCCCACAAACTGCGTTGTGATGTGTTCGTTCAACTCACAGAGTTTAACCTTTCTGTTCATAGAGCAGTTAGGAAACACTCTGTTTGTAAAGTCTCTAAGTGGATATTCTGACATCTTGTGGCCTTCGTTGGAAACGGGATTTCTTCATATTCTGCTAGACAGAAGAATTCTCAGTAACTTCCTTGTGTTGTGTGTATTCAACTCACAGAGTTGAACGATCCTTTACACAGAGCAGACTTGAAACACTCTTTTTGTGGAATTTGCAAGTGGAGATTTCAGCCGCTTTGAGGTCAATGGTAGAAAAGGAAATCTCTTCGTATAAAGACTAGACAGAATGATTCTCAGAAACTCCTTTGTGATGTGTGCGTTCAACTCACAGAGTTTAACCTTTCTTTTCATAGAGCAGTTAGGAAACACTCTGTTTGTAAAGTCTGCAAGTGGATATTCAGACTTCTTTGAGGCTTTCGTTGGAAACGGGATTTCTTCATATTCTGCTATACAGAAGAATTCCCAGTAACTTCCTTGTGTTGTGTGTGTTCAACTCACAGAGTTGAACTTTCATTTACACAGAGCAGATTTGAAACACTCTTTTTGTGGAATTTGCAAATGGAGATTTCAAGCGCTTTGAGGCCAAAGGCAGAAAAGGAAATATCTTCGTATAAAAACTCGACAGAATCATTCTCAGAAACTGCTCTGCGATGTGTGCGTTCAACTCTCAGAGTTTAACTTTTCTTTTCATTCAGCAGTTTGGAAACACTCTGTTTGTAAAGTCTGCACATGGAAAACTTGACCACTTAGAGGCCTTCGTTGGAAACGGGTTTTTTTTATGTAAGGCTAGACAGAAGAATTCTCAGTAACTTCCTTGTGTTGTGTGTATTCAACTCAAAGAGTTGAACGATCCTTTACACAGAGCAGACTTGTAACACTCTTTTTGTGGAATTTGCAAGTGGAGATTTCAGCCGCTTTGAAGTCAAAGGTAGAAAATGAAATATCTTCCTATAAAAACTAGACAGAATCATTCCCACAAACTGCGTTGTGATGTGTTCGTTCAACTCACAGAGTTTAACCTTTCTGTTCATAGAGCAGTTAGGAAACACTCTGTTTGTAAAGTCTGTAAGTGGATATTCTGACATCTTGTGGCCTTCGTTGGAAACGGGATTTCTTCGTATTCTGCTAGACAGAAGAATTCTCAGTAACTTCCTTGTGTTGTGTGTATTCAACTCACAGGATTTGAACGATCCTTTACACAGAGCGGACTTGAAACACTCTTTTTGTGGAATTTGCAAGTGGAGATTTCAGCCGCGTTGAGGTCAATGGTAGAAAAGGAAATATCTTCGTATAAAAACTAGACAGAGTGATTCTCAGAAACTCCTTTGTGATGTCTGCGTTCAACTGACAGAGTTTAACCTTTCTTTTCATAGAGCAGTTAGGAAACACTCTGTTTGTAAAGTCTGCAAGTGGATATTCAGACCTCCTTGAGGCCTTCGTTGGAAACGGGATTTCTTCATATTCTGCTATACAGAAGAATTCCCAGTAACTTCCTTGTGTTGTGTGTGTTCAACTCACAGAGATGAACTCTCATTTACACAGAGCAGATTTGAAACACTCTTTTTGTGGAATTTGCAAGTGGAGATTTCAAGCGCTTTGAGGCCAAAGGCAGAAAAGGAAATATCTTCGTATAAAAACTAGACAAAATCATTCTCAGAAACTGCTCTGCGATGTGTGTGTTCAACTCTCAGAGTTTAACTTTTCTTTTCATTCAGCAGTTTGGAAACACTCTGTTTGTAAAGTCTGCACGTGGATAATTTGACCACTTAGAGGCCTTCGTTGGAAACGGGTTTTTTTCATGTAAGGCTAGACAGAAGAATTCCCAGTAAATTCCTTGTGTTGTGTACATTCAACTCACAGAGTTGAACGTTCCCTTAGACAGAGCAGATTTGATACACTCTTTTTGTGCAATTGGCAAGTGGAGATTTCAAGCGCTTTAAGGTCAATGGCAGAAAAGGAAATATCTTCGTTTCAAAACTAGACAGAATGATTCTCAGAAACTCCTTTGTGATGTGTGCGTTCAACACACAGAGTTTAACTTTTCTTTTCATAGAGCAGTTAGGAAACACTCTGTTTGTAAAGTCTGCAAGTGGATATTCAGACCTCTTTGAGGCCTTCTTTGGAAACGGGATTTCTTCATATTATGCTAGACAGAATAATTCTCAGTAACTTCCTTGTGTTGTGTGTATTCAAGTCACAGAGTTGAACGATCCTTTACAGAGAGCAGACTTGAAACACTCTTTTTGTGGAATTTGCAAGTGGAGATTTCAGCCGCTTTGAGGTCAATAGTAGAAAAGGAAATATCTTCGTAGAAAAACTAGAAAGAATGATTCTCAGAAACTCCTTTGTGATGTGTGTGTTCAACTCACAGAGTTTAACCTTTCTTTTCATAGAGCAGTTTGGAAACACTCTGTTTGTAAAGTCTGCAAGTGGATATTCAGACCTCGTTGAGGCCTTCGTTGGAAACGGGATTTCTTCATATTCTGCTAGACAGAAGAATTCCCAGTAACTTCCTTGTGTTGTGTGTGTTCAACTCACAGAGTTGAACTTTGATTTACACAGAGCAGATTTGAAACACTCTTTTTGTGGAATTTGCAAGTGGAAATTTCAAGCGCTTTGAGGCCAAAGGCAGAAAAGGAAATATCTTCGTATAAAAACTAGACAGAATCATTCTCAGAAACTGCTGTGTGATGTGTGCGTTCAACTCTCAGAGTTTAACTTTTCTTTTCATTCAGCGGTTTGGAAACACTCTGTTTGTAAAGTCTGCACGTGGATATTTTGACCACTTAGAGGCCTTCGTTGGAAACGGGTTTTTTTCATGTAAGGCTAGACAGAAGAATTCCCAGTAACTTCCTTGTGTTGTGTGCATTCAACTCACAGAGATGAACGTTCCCTTAGACAGAACAGATTTGAAACACTCTATTTGTGCAATTTGCAAGTGTAGATTTCAAGCGCTTTAAGGTCAATGGCAGAAAAGGAAATATCTTCGTTTCAAAACTAGACAGAATCATTCCCACAAACTGCGTTGTGATGTGTTCGTTCAACTCACAGAGTTTAACCTTTCTGTTCATAGAGCAGTTAGGAAACACTCTGTTTCTAAAGTCTGTAAGTGGATATTCTGACATATTGTGGCCTTCGTTGGAAACGGGATTTCTTCATATTCTGCTAGACAGAAAAATTCTCAGTAACTTCTTTGTGTTGTGTGTATTCAACTCACAGAGTTGAACGATCCTTTACACAGAGCAGACTTGAAACACTCTTTTTGTGGAATTTGCAAGTGGAGATTTCAGCCGCTTTGAGGTCAACGGTAGAATAGGAAATATCTTCCTATAGAAACTAGACAGAATTATTCTCAGAAACTCCTTTGTGATGTGTGCGTTCAACTCACAGAGTTTAACCTTTCTTTTCATAGAGCAGTTAGGAAACACTCTGTTTGTAAGGTCTGCAAGTGGATATTCAGAGCTCCTTGAGGCCTTCTTTGGAAACGGGATTTCTTCATATTATGCTGGACAGAAGAATTCTCAGTAATTTCCTTGTGTTGTGTGTATTCAACTCACAGAGTTGAACGATCCTTTACACAGAGCAGACTTGAAACACTCTTTTTGTGGAATTTGCAAGGAGATTTCAGCCGCTTTGAGGTCAATGGTAGAATAGGAAATATGTACCTATAGAAACTAGACAGAATGATTCTCAGAAACTCCTTTGTGATGTGTGCGTTCAACTCACAGAGGTTAACCTTTCTTTTCATAGAGCAGTTAGGAAACACTCTGTTTGTAAAGTCTGCAAGTGGATATTCAGACCTCCTTGAGGCCTTCGTTGGAAACGGGATTTCTTCATATTATGCTAGACAGAAGAATTCCCAGTAACTTCCTTGTGTTGTGTACATTCAGCTCACAGAGTTGAACGTTCCCTTAGACAGAGCAGATTTGAAACACTCTTTTTGTGCAATTGGCAAATGGAGATTTCAAGCGCTTTAAGGTCAATGGCAGAAAAGGAAATATCTTCGTTTCAAAACTAGACAGAAGCATTCCCACAAACTGCGTTGTGATGTGTTCGTTCAACTCACAGAGTTTAACCTTTCTTTTCATAGAGCAGTTAGGAAACAGTCTGTTTGTCAATTCTGTAAGTGGATATTCTGACATCTTGTGGCCTTCGTTGGAAACGGGATTTCTTCATATTCTGCTAGACAGAAGAATTCTCAGTAACTTCCTTGTGTTGTGTGTATTCAACTCACAGAGTTGAACGATCCTTTACACAGAGCAGACTTGAAACACTCTTTTTGTGGAATTTGCAAGTGGAGATATCAGCCGCTTTGAGGTCAATGGTAGAATAGGAAATATCTTCCTATAGAAAATAGACAGAATGATTCTCAGAAACTCCTTTGTGATGTGTGTGTTCAACTCACAGCAGTTTAACCTTTCTTTTCATAGAGCAGTTAGTAAACACTCTGTTTATAAAGTCTGCAAGTGGATATTCAGACCCCTTTGAGGCCTTCGTTGGAAACGGGATTTCTTCATATTATGCTAGACAGAAGAATTCCCAGTGACTTCCTTGTGTTGTGTGTGTTCAACTCACAGAGTTGAACTTTCATTTACCCAGAGCAGATGTGAAACACTCTTTTTGTGGAATTTGCAAGTGGAGATTTCAAGCGCTTTGAGGCCAAAGGCAGAAAAGGAAATATCTTCGTTTCAAAACTAGACAGAATCATTCTCAGAAACTGCTGCGTGATGTGTGCGTTCAACTCTCAGAGTTTAACTTTTCTTTTCATTCAGCGGTTTGGAAACACTCTGTTTGTAAAGTCTGCACGTGGATATTTTGACCACTTAGAGGCCTTCGTTGGAAACGGAATTTTTTCATGTGAGGCTAGACAGAAGAATTCCCAAGTAACTTCCTTGTGTTGTGTACATTCAACTCACAGAGTTGAACGTTCCCTTAGACAGAGCAGATTTGAAACACTCTTTTTGTGCAATTGGCAAATGGAGATTTCAAGCGCTTTAAGGTCAATGGCAGAAAAGGAAATATCTTCGTTTCAAAACTAGACAGAATCATTCCCACAAACTGCGTTGTGATGTGTTCGTTCAACTCACAGAGTTTAACCTTTCTGTTCATAGAGCAGTTAGGAAACACTCTGTTTGTAAAGTCTGTAAGTGGCTATTCTGACATCTTGTGGCCTTTGTTGGAAACGGGATTTCTTCATATTCTGCTAGACAGAAGAATTCTCAGTAACTTCCTTGTGTTGTGTGTATTCAACTCACAGAGTTGAACGATCCTTTACACAGAGCAGACTTGAAACACACTTTTTGTGGAATTTGCAAGTGGAGATTTCAGCCGCTTTGAGGTCAATGGTAGAAAAGGAAATATCTTCGTATAAAGACTAGACAGAATGATTCTCAGAAACGCCTTTGTGATGTGTGCTTTCAACTCACAGAGTTTAACTTTTCTTTTCATAGAGCAGTTAGGAAACACTCTGTTTATAAAGTCTGCAAGTGGATATTCAGACCTCTTTGAGGTCTTCGTTGGAAACGGGATTTCTCCATACTATGCTAGACAGAAGAATTCCCAGTAACTTCCTTGTGTTGTGTGTGTTCAACTCACAGAGTTGAACTTTCATTTACACAGAGCAGATTTGAAACACTCTTTTTGTGGAATTTGCAAGTGGAGATGTCAAGCGCTTTGAGGCCAAAGGCAGAAAAGGAAATATCTTCGTTTCAAAACTAGACAGAATCATTCTCAGAAACTGCTCTGCGATGTGTGCGTTCAACTCTCAGAGTTTAACTTTTCTTTTCATTCAGCAGTTTGGAAACACTGTGTTTGTAAAGTCTGCACGTGGATAATTTGACCACTTAGAGGTCTTCGTTGGAAACGGGTTTTTTTCATGTAAGGCTAGACAGAAGAATTCTCAGTAACTTCCTTGTGTTGTGTGTATTCAACTCACAGAGTTGAACGATCCTTTACACAGAGCAGACTTGTAACACTCTTTTTGTGGAATTTGCAAGTGGAGATTTCATCCGCTTTGAAGTCAAAGGTAGAAAAGGAAATCTCTTCGTATAAAAACTAGACAGAATGATTCTCAGAAACTTCTTTGTGATGTGTGCGTTCAACACATAGAGTTTAACCTTTCTTTTCATAGAGCAGTTAGGAAACACTCTGTTTGTAAAGTCTGCAAGTGGATATTCAGACCTCTTTGGGGCCTTCGTTGGAAAAGAGATTTCTTCATACTGTGCTAGACAGAAGAATTCTCAGTAACTTCCTTGTGTTGTGTGTATTCAACTCACAGAGTTGAACGATCCTTTACACAGAGCAGACTTGTCACACTCTTTTTGTGGAATTTGCAAGTGGAGATTTCAGCCGCTTTGAAGTCAAAGGTAGAAAAGGAAATATCTTCCTATAAAAACTAGACAGAATGATTCTCAGAAACTCCTTTGTGATGTGTGCGTTCAACTCACAGAGTTTAACCTTTCTTTTCATACAGCAGTTAGGAAACACTCTGTTTCTAAAGTCTGCAAGTGGATATTCAGACCTCCTTGAGGCCTTCGTTGGAAACGGGATTTCTTCATATTATGCTAGACAGAAGAATTCTCAGTAACTTCCTTGTGTTGTGTGTATTCAACTGACAGAGTTGAACTATCATTTACAGAGAGCAGATTTGAAACACTGTTTTTGTGGAATTTGCAAGTGGAGATTTCAAGCGCTTTGGGGCCAAAGGAAGAAAAGGAAATATCTTCGTATAAAAACTAGACAGAATCATTCTCAGAAACTGCTCTGCGATGTGTGCGTTCAACTCTCAGAGTTTAACTTTTCTTTTCATTCAGCAGTTTGGAAACACTCTGTTTGTAAAGTCTGCACGTGGATATTTTGACCACTTAGAGGCCTTCGTTGGAAACGGGTTTTTTTCTTGTAAGGCTAGACAGAAGAATTCCTAGTAACTTCCTTGTGTTGTGTACATTCAACTCACAGAGTTGAACGTTCCCTTAGACAGAGCAGATTTGAAACACTCTTTTTGTGCAATTGGCAAGTGGAGATTTCAGCCGCTTTGAGGTCCATGGTAGAAAAGGAAATATCTTCGTATAAAAACTAGACAGAATCATTCCCACAAACTGCGTTGTGATGTGTTCGTTCAACTCACAGAGTTTAACCTTTCTGTTCATAGAGCAGTTAGGAAACACTCTGTTTGTAAAGTCTGTAAGTGGATATTCTGACATCTTGTTGCCTTGTTGGAAAAGGGATTTCTTCATATTCTGGTAGACAGAAGAATTCTCAGTAACTTCCCTTGTGTTGTGTGTATTCAACTCACAGAGTTGAACGATCCTTTACACAGAGCAGACTTGAAACACTCTTTTTGTGGAATTTGCAAGTGGAGATTTCAGCCGCTTTGAGGTCAATGGTAGAATAGGAAATATCTTCCTATAGAAACTAGACAGAATGATTCTCAGAAACTCCTTTGTGATGTGTGCGTTCAACTCAAAGAGTTTAACCTTTCTTTTCATAGAGCAGTTAGGAAACACTCTGTTTGTAAAGTCTGCAAGTGGATATTCAGACATCCTTGAGGCTTTCGTTGGAAACGGGATTTCTTCATATTCTGCTAGAAAGAAGAATTCCCAGTAACTTCGTTGTGTTGTGTGTGTTCAACTCACAGAGTTGAACTTCCATTTACACAGAGCAGATTTGAAACACTCTTTTTGTGGAATTTGCAAGTGGAGATTTCAAGCACTTTGAGGCCAAAGGCAGAAAAGGAAATATCTTCGTTTCAAAACTAGACAGAATCATTCTCAGAAACTGCTGCGTGATGTGTGCGTTCAACTCTCAGAGTTTAACTTTTCTTTTCATTCAGCGGTTTGGAAACACTCTGTTTGTAAAGTCTGCACGTGGATATTTTGACCACTTAGAGGCCTTCGTTGGAAACGGGTTTTTTTTATGTAAGGCTAGACAGAAGAATTCCCAGTAACTTCCTTGTGTTGTGTGCATTCAACTCACAGAGTTGAACGTTCCCTTAGACAGAGCAGATTTGAAACACTCTATTTGTGTAATTTGCAAGTGTAGATTTCAAGCGCTTTCAGGTCAACGGCAGAAAAGGAAATATCTTCGTTTCAAAACTAGACAGAATCATTCCCACAAACTGCGTTGTGATGTGTTCGTTCAACTCACAGAGTTTAACCTTCCTGTTCATAGAGCAGTTAGGAAACACTCTGTTTGTAAAGTCTGCAAGTGGATATTCAGACCTCCTTGAGGCCTTCGTTGGAAACGGGATTTCTTCATATTCTGCTAGACAGAAGAATTCTCAGTAACTGCCGTCTGTTGTGTGTATTCAACTCACAGAGTTGAACGATCCTTTACACAGAGCAGACTTGAAACACTCTTTTTGTGGAATTTGCAAGTGGAGATTTCAGCCGCTTTGAGGTCAATGGTAGAATAGGAAATATCTTCCTATAGAAACTAGACAGAATGATTCTCAGTAAACTCCTTTGTGATGTGTGTGTTCAACTCACAGAGTTTAACCTTTCTTTTCATAGAGCAGTTAGGAAACACTCTGTTTGTAAAGACTGCAGGTGGATATTCAGGCCTCTTTGAGGCCTTCGTTGGAAACGGGTTTTTTTCATATAAGGCTAGACAGAAGAATTCCCAGTAACTTCCTTGTGTGTGTTCAACTCACAGAGTTGAACTTTCATTTACACAGAGCAGATTTGAAACACTCTTTTTGTGGAATTTGCAAATGGAGATTTCAAGCGCTTTGAGGCCAAAGGCAGAAAAGGAAATATCTTCGTATAAAAACGAGACAGAATCATTCTCAGAAACTCCTTTGTGATGTGTGCGTTCAACTCTCAGAGTTTAACTTTTCTTTTCATTCAGCGGTTTGGAAACACTCTGTTTGTAAAGTCTGCACGTGGAAATTTTGACCACTTAGAGGCCTTCGTTGGAAACGGGTTTTTTTCATGTAAGGCTAGACAGAAGAATTCCCAGTAACTTCCTTGTGTTGTGTGCATTCAACTCACAGAGTTGAACGTTCCCTTAGACAGAGCAGATTTGAAACACTCTATTTGTGCAATTTGCAAGTGTAGTTTTCAAGCTCTTTAAGGTCAACGGCAGAAAAGGAAATATCTTCGTTTCAAAACTAGACAGAATGATTCTCAGAAACTCCTTTGTGCTGTGTGCGTTCAGCTCACAGAGTTTAACCTTTCTTTTCATAGAGCAGTTAGGAAACACTCTGTTTGTAAAGTCTGCAAGTGGATATTCAGACATCTTTGAGGCCTTCGTTGGAAACGGGATTTCTTCATATTCTGCTAGACAGAAGAATTCTCAGAAACTTCCTTGTGTTGTGTGTTTTCAACTCACAGAGTTGAACGATGCTTTACACAGAGTAGACTTGAAACACTCTTTTTGTGTAATTTGCAAGTGGAGATTTCAGCCGCTTTGAGGTCAATGCTAGAAAAGGAAATATCTTCGTATAAAAACTAGACAGAATGATTCTCAGAAACTCCTTTGTGATGTGTGCGTTCAACTCACAGAGTTTAACCTTTCTTTTCATAGAGCAGTTAGGAAACACTCTGTAAAGTCTGCAAGTGGATATTCAGACCTCCTTGAGGCCTTCGTTGGAAACGGGATTTCTTCATATTTTGCTAGACAGAAGAATTCCCAGTAACTTCCTTGTGTTGTGTGCGTTCAACTCACAGAGTTGAACTTTCATTTACACAGAGCAGATTTGAAACACTCTTTTTGTGGAATTTGCAAGTGGAGATTTCAAGCGCTTTGAGGCCAAAGGCAGAAAAGGAAATATCTTGGTATAAAAACTAGACAGAATGATTCTCAGAAACTCCTTTGTGATGTGTGCGTTCAACTCATCAGAGTTTAACTTTTCTTTTCATTCAGCAGTTTGGAAACACTCTGTTTGTAAAGTCTGCACGTGGATATTTTGACCACTTAGAGGCCTTCGTTGGAAACGGGTTTTTTTCATGTAAGGCTAGACAGAAGAATTCCCAGTAACTTCCTTGTGTTGTGTACATTCAACTCACAGAGTTGAACGTTCCCTTAGACAGAGCAGATTTGAAACACTCTTTTTGTGCAATTGGCAAATGGAGATTTCAAGCGCTTTAAGGTCAATGGCAGAAAAGGAAATATCTTCGTTTCAAAACTAGACAGAATCATTCCCACAAACTGCGTTGTGATGTGTTCGTTCAACTCACAGAGTTTAACCTTTCTTTTCATACAGCAGTTAGGAAACAGTCTGTTTGTCAATTCTGTAAGTGGATATTCTGACATCTTGTGGCCTTCGTTGGAAACGGGATTTCTTCATATTCTGCTAGACAGAAGAATTCTCAGTAACTTCCTTGTGTTGTGTGTATTCAACTCACAGAGTTGAATGATCCTTTACACAGAGCAGACTTGAAACACTCTTTTTGTGGAATTTGCAAGTGGAGATTTCAGCCGCTTTGAAGTCAATGGTAGAAAAGAAAATATCTTCGTATAAAGACTAGACAGAATGATTCTGAGAAATCCTTTGTGATGTGTGCGTTCAACTCACAGAGTTTAACCTTTCTTTTCATAGAGCAGTTAGGAAACACTCTGTTTGTAAAGTCTGCAAGTGGATATTCAGACCTCCTTGAGGCCTTCGTTGGAAACGGGATTTCTTCATATTATGCTAGACAGAAGAATTCTCAGTAACTTCCTTGTGTTGTGTGTATTCAACTGACAGAGTTGAACTTTCATTTAGAGAGAGCAGGTTTGAAACACTGTTTTTGTGGAATTTGCAAGTGGAGATTTCAAGCGCTTTGGGGCCAAAGGCAGAAAACGAAATATCTTCGTTTAAAAACTAGACAGAATCATTCTCAGAAACTGCTCTGCGATGTGTGCGTTCAACTCTCAGAGTTTAACTTTTCTTTTCATTCAGCAGTTTGGAAACACTCTGTTTGTAAAGTCTGCAGGTGGATATTTTGACCACTTAGAGGCCTTCGTTGGAAACGGGTTTTTTTCCTGTAAGGCTAGACAGAAGAATTCCCAGTAACTTCCTTGTGTTGTGTGCATTCAACTCACAGAGTTGAACGTTCCCTTAGACAGAGCAGATTTGAAACACTCTATTTGTGCAATTTGCAAGTGTAGATTTCAAGCGCTTTAAGGTCAATGGCAGAAAAGGAAATATCTTCGTTTTAAAACTAGACAGAATCATTCCCACAAACTGCGTTGTGACGTGTTCGTTCAACTCACAGAGTTTAACCTTTCTGTTCATAGAGCAGTTAGGAAACACTCTGTTTGTAAAGTCTGCAAGTGGATATTCAGACCTCCTTGAGGCCTTCGTTGGAAACGGGATTTCTTCATATTCTGCTAGACAGAATAATTCTCAGTAACTTCCTTGTGTTTTGTGTTTTCAACTCACCGAGTTGAAGGATCCTTTACAGAGAGCAGGCTTGAAACACTCTTTTTCTCGAATTTGCAAGTGGAGATTACAGCCGCTTTGAGGTCAATGGTAGAAAAGGAAATATCTTCGTATAAAGACTAGACAGAATGATTCTCAGAAACTCCTTTGTGATGTGTGCGTTCAACTCACAGAGTTTAACCTTTCTTTTCATAGAGCAGTTAGGAAACACTCTGTTTGTGAAGTCTGCAAGTGGATATTCAGACATCCTTGAGGCTTTCGTTGGAAACGGGATTTCTTCATATTCTGCTAGAAAGAAGAATTCTCAGTAACTTCCTTGTGTTGTGTGTATTCAACTGACAGAGTTGAACTTTCATTTAGAGTGAGCAGATTTGAAACACTGTTTTTGTGGAATTTGCAAGTGGAGATTTCAAGCGCTTTGGGGCCAAAGGCAGAAAAGGAAATATCTTCGTATAAAAACTAGACAGAATCATTCTCAGAAACTGCTGCGTGATGTGTGCGTTCCACTCTCAGAGTTTAACTTTTCTTTTCATTCAGCGGTTTGGAAACACTCTGTTTGTAAAGTCTGCACGTGGATATTTTGACCACTTAGAGGCCTTCGTTGGAAACGGGTTTTTTTTCATGTAAGGCTAGACAGAAGAATTCCCAGTAACTTCCTTGTGTTGTGTGCATTCAACTCACAGAGATGAACATTCCCTTAGACAGAGCAGATTTGAAACACTCTATTTGTGTAATTTGCAAGTGTAGATTTCAATCGCTTTAAGGTCAATGGCAAAAAAGGAAATATCTGCGTTTCAAAACTAGACAGACTCATTCCCAAAAACTGCGTTGTGATGTGTTCGTTAAACTCACAGAGTTTAACCTTTCTGTTCATAGAGCAGTTAGGAAACACTCTGTTTGTGAAGTCTGTAAGTGGATATTCAGACCTCCTTGAGGCCTTCGTTGGAAACGGGATTTCTTCATATTCTGCTAGACAGAAGAATTCTCAGAATCTTCCTTGTGTTGTGTGTATTCAACTCACAGAGTTGAACGATCCTTTACACAGAGCAGACTTGAAACACTCTTTTTGTGGAATTTGCAAGTGGAGATTTCAAGCGCTTTGAGGCCAAAGGCAGAAAAGGAAATATCTTCGTTTCAAAACTAGACAGAATGATTCTCAGAAACTCCTTTGTGATGTGTGCGTTCAACTCACAGAGTTTAACCTTTCTTTTCATAGAGCAGTTAGGAAACACTCTGTTTGTAAAGTCTGCAAGTGGATATTCAGACATCCTTGAGGCTTTCGTTGGAAACGGGATTTCTTCATATTCTGCCAGAAAGAAGAATTCCCAGTAACTTCCTTGTGTTGTGTGTGTTCAACTCACAGAGTTGAACTTTCATTTACACAGAGCACATTTGAAACACTCTTTTTGTGGAATTTGCAAGTGGAGATTTCAAGCGCTTTGAGGCCAAAGGCAGAAAAGGAAATATCTTCGTATAAAAACTAGACAGAATCATTCTCAGAAACTGCTCTGCGATGTGTGCGTTCAACTCTCAGAGTTTAACTTTTCTTTTCATTCAGCAGTTTGGAAACACTCTGTTTGTAAAGTCTGCACGTGGATATTTTGACCACTTAGAGGCCTTCGTTGGAAAGGGGTTTTTTTCCTATAAGGCTAGCCAGAAGAATTCCCAGTAACTTCCTTGTGTTGTGTGCATTCAACTCACAGAGTTGAACGTTCCCTTAGACAGAGCAGATTTGAAACACTCTATTTGTGCAATTTGCAAGTGTAGTTTTCAAGCTCTTTAAGGTCAACGGCAGAAAAGGAAATATCTTGGTTTCAAAACTAGACAGAATCATTTCCACAAACTGCGTTGTGATGTGTTCGTTCAACTCACAGAGTTTAACCTTTCTGTTCATAGAGCAGTTAGGAAACACTCTGTTTGTAAAGTCTGTAAGTGGATATTCTGACATCTTGTGGCCTTCGTTGGAAACGGGATTTCTTCATATTCTGCTAGACAGAAGAATTCTCAGTAACTTCCTTGTGTTGTGTGTATTCAACTCACAGAGTTGAACGATCCTTTACACAGAGCGGACTTGAAACACTCGTTTTGTGGAATTTGCAAGTGCAGATTTCAGCCGCGTTGAGGTCAATGGTAGAAAAGGAAATATCTTCGTATAAAAACTAGACAGAATGATTCTCATAAACTCCTTTGTGATGTGTGCGTTCAACTCACAGAGTTTAACCTTTCTTTTCATAGAGCAGTTAGGAAACACTCTGTTTGTAAAGTCTGCAAGTGGATATTCAGACCTCCTTGAGTCCTTCGTTGGAAACGGGATTTCTTCATATTCTGCTAGACAGAAGAATTCTCAGTAACTTCCTTCTGTTGTGTGTATTCAACTGACAGAGTTGAACTTTCATTTAGAGAGAGCAGATTTGAAACACTGTTTTTGTGGAATTTGCAAGTGGAGATTTCAAGCGCTTTGGGGCCAAAGGCAGAAAAGGAAATAACTTCGTATAAAAACTTGACAGAATCATTCTCAGAAACTGCTGCGTGATGTGTGCGTTCAACTCTCAGAGTTTAACTTTTCTTTTCATTCAGCGGTTTGGAAACACTCTGTTTGTAAAGTCTGCACGTGGATATTTTGACCACTTAGAGGCCTTCGTTGGAAACGGGTTTTTTTCATGTAGGGCTAGACAGAAGAATTCCCAGTAACTTCCTTGTGTTGTGTACATTCAACTCACAGAGTTGAACGTTCCCTTAGAGCAGATTTGAAACACTCTTTTTGTGCAATTGGCAAGTGGAGATTTCAAGCGCTTTAAGGTCAATGGCAGAAAAGGAAATATCTTCGTTTCAAAACTAGACAGAATCATTCCCACAAACTGCGTTGTGAGGTGTTCGTTCAACTCACAGAGTTTAACCTTTCTTTTCATAGAGCAGTTAGGAAACAGTCTGTTTGTAAATTCTGTAAGAGTATATTCTGAAATATTGTGGCCTTCGTTGGAAACGGGATTTCTTCATATTCTGCTAGACAGAAGAATTCTCAGTAACTTCCTTGTGTTGTGTGTATTCAACTCACAGAGTTGAACGATCCTTTCCAGAGAGCAGACTTGAAACACTTTTTGTGGAATTTGCAAGTGGAGATTTCTGTCGCTTTGAGGTCAAAGGTAGAATAGGAAATATCTTCCTATAGAAACTAGACAGAGTGATTCTCAGAAACTCCTTTGTGATGTCTGCGTTCAACTCACAGAGTTTAACCTTTCTTTTCATAGAGCAGTTAGGAAACACTCTGTTTGTAAAGTCTGCAAGTGGATATTCAGACCTCCTTGAGGCCTTCGTTGTAAACGGGATTTCTAAATATTATGCTAGACAGAAGAATTCTCAGTAAATTCCTTGTGTTGTGTGTATTCAACTGACAGAGTTGAACTTTCATTTGGAGAGAGCAGATTTGAAACACTGTTTTTGTGGAATTTGCAAGTGGAGATTTCAAGCGCTTTGGGGCCAAAGGCAGAAAAGGAAATATCTTCGTATAAAAACTAGACAGAATCATTCTCAGAAAATGCTCTGTGATGTGTGCGTTCAACTCTCAGAGTTTAACTTTTGTTTTCATTCAGCAGTTTGGAAACACTCTGTTTGTAAAGTCTGCACGTGGATATTTTGACCACTTAGAGGCCTTCGTTGGAAACGGGTTTTTTTCATGAAAGGGTAGACAGAAGAATTCCCAGTAACTTCCTTGTGTTGTGTGCATTCAACTCACAGAGTTGAACGTTCCCTTAGACAGAGGAGATTTGAAACACTCTATTTGTGCAATTTGCAATTGTAGATTTCAAGCGCTTTAAGGTCAATGGCAGAAAAGGAAATATCTTCGTTTCAAAACTAGACAGAATCATTCCCACAAACTGCATTGTGATGTGTTCGTTCAACTCACAGAGTTTAACCTTTCTTTTCATAGAGCAGTTAGGAAACAGTCTGTTTGTCAATTCTGTAAGTGGATATTCTGACATCTTGTGGCCTTCGTTGGAAACGGGATTTCTTCATATTCCGCTAGACAGAAGAATTCTCAGTAACTTCCTTGTGTTGTGTGTATTCAACTCACAGAGTTGAACGATCCTTTACACAGAGCAGACTTGTAACACTCTTTTTGTGGAATTTGCAAGTGGAGAATTCAGCCGCTTTGAAGTCAAAGGTAGAAAAGGAAATAACTTCCTATAAAAACTAGACAGAAGAATTCCCAGTAACTTCCTTGTGTTGTGTGTGTTCAACTCACAGAGTTGAACTTTCATTTACACAGAGTAGATTTGAAACACTCTTTTTGTGGAATTTGCAAGTGGAGATTTCAAGCGCTTTGAGGCCAAAGGCAGAAAAGGAAATATCTTCGTATAAAAACTAGACAGAATCATTCTCAGAAACTGCTGCGTGATGTGTGCGTTAAACTCTCAGAGTTTAACTTTTCTTTTCATTCAGCGGTTTGGAAACACTCTGTTTGTAAAGTCTGCACGTGGATATTTTGACCACTTAGAGGCCTTCGTTGGAAACGGGTTTTTTTCATGTAAGGCTAGACAGAAGAATTCCCAGTAACTTCCTTGTGTTGTGTGCATTCCACTCACAGAGTTGAACGTTCCCTTAGACAGAGCAGATTTGAAACACTCTATTTGTGCAATTTGCAAGTGTAGATTTCAAGCGCTTTAAGGTCAATGGCAGAAAAGGAAATATCTTCGTTTCAAAACTAGACAGAATCATTCCCACAAACTGCGTTGTGATGTGTTCGTTCAACTCACAGAGTTTAACCTTTCTTTTCATAGAGCAGTTAGGAAACAGTCTGTTTGTAAATTCTCTAAGTGGATATTCTGACATCTTGTGGCCTTCGTTGGAAACGGGATTTCTTCATATTCTGGTAGACAGAAGAATTCTCAGTAACTTCCTTGTGTTGTGTGTATTCAACTCACAGAGTTGAATGATCCTTTACACAGAACAGACTTGAAACACTCTTTTTGTGGAATTTGCAAGTGGAGATTTCAGCCGCTTTGAGGTCAATGGTAGAATAGGAAATATCTTCCTATAGAAACTAGACAGAATGATTCTCAGAAACTCCTTTGTGATGTGTGCGTTCAACTCACAGAGTTTAACCTTTCTGTTCATAGAGCCGTTAGGAAACACACTGTTTGTAAAGTCTGCAAGTGGATATTCAGACCTCTTTGAGGCCTTCGTTGGAAACGGGATTTCTTCATATTATGCTAGACAGAAGAATTCTCAGTAACTTCCTTGTGTTGTGTGTATTCAACTGACAGAGTTGAACTTTCATTTAGAGAGAGAAGATTTGAAACACTGTTTTTGTGGAATTTGCAATTGGAGATTTCAAGCGCTTTGGGGCCAAATGCAGAAAAGGATATATCTTCGTATAAAAACTAGACAGAATGATTCTCAGAAACTTCTTTGTGATGTGTGCGTTCAACTCACAGAGTTTAAACTTTCTTTTCATAGAGTAGTTAGGAATCACTCTGTTTGTAAAGTCTGCAAGTAGATATTTTGACCTCTTTGAGGCCTTCGTTGGAAACGGGTTTTTTTCCAGTAAGGCTAGACAGAAGAATTCCCAGTAACTTCCTTGTGTTGTGTACATTCAACTCACAGAGTTGAACGTTCCCTTAGACAGAGCTGATTTGAAACACTCTTTTTGTGCAATTGGCAAGTGGAGATTTCTAGCGCTTTAAGGTCAATGGCAGAAAAGGAAATATCTTCGTTTCAAAACTAGACAGATAATCATTCCCACAAACTGCGTTGTGATGTGTTCGTTCATCTCACAGAGTTTAACCTTTCTTTTCGTAGAGCAGTTAGGAAACAGTCTGTTTGTAAATTCTGTAAGTGGATATTCTGACATCTTGTGGCCTTCGTTGGAAACGGGATTTCTTCATATTCTGCTAGACAGAAGAATTCTCAGAATCTTCCTTGTGTTGTGTGTATTCAACTCACACAGTTGAACGATGGTTTACACAGAGCAGATTTGAAACACTCTTTTTGTGGAATTTGCAAGTGGAGATTTCAGCCGCTTTGAGGTCAATGGTAGAAAAGGAAATATCTTCGTATAAAAACTAGACAGAATGATTCTCAGAAACTCCTTTGTGATGTGTGTGTTCAACTCACAGAGTTTAACCTTTCTTTTCATAGAGCAGTTAGTAAACACTGTTTATAAAGTCTGCAAGTGGATATTCAGACCCCTTTGAGGCCTTCGTTGGAAACGGGATTTCTTCATATTATGCTAGACAGAAGAATTCCCAGTAACTTTCCTTGTGTTGTGTGTGTTCAACTCACAGAGTTGAACTTTCATTTACACAGAGCAGATTTGAAACACTCTTTTTGTGGAATTTGCAAGTGGAGATTTCAAGCGCTTTGAGGCCAAAGGCAGAAAAGGAAATAGTCTTCGTTTCAAAACTAGACAGAATCATTCTCAGAAACTGCTCTGCGATGTGTGCGTTCAACTCTCAAAGTTTAACTTTTCTTTTCATTCAGCAGTTTGGAAACACTCTGTTTGTAAAGTCTGCACGTGGATAACTTGACCACTTAGAGGCCTTCGTTGGAAACAGGTTTTTTTCCTGTAAGGCTAGACAGAATAATTCCCAGTAACTTCCTTGTGTTGTGTACATTCAACTCACAGAGTTGAACGTTCCCTTAGAGAGAGCAGATTTGAAACACTCGTTTTGTGAAATTGGCAAGTGGAGATTTCAAGGGCTTTAAGGTCAATGGCAGAAAAGGAAATATCTTCGTTTCAAAACTAGACAGAATCATTCCCACAAACTGCGTTGTGATGTGTTCGTTCAACTCACAGAGTTTAACCTTTCTTTTCATAGAGCAGTTAGGAAACACTCTGTTTGTAAATTCTGTAAGTGGATATTCTGACATCTTGTGGCCTTCGTTGGAAACGGGATTTCTTCATATTCTGCTAGACAGAAGAATTCTCAGTAACTGCCTTGTGTTGTGTGTATTCAACTCACAGAGTTGAACGATCCTTTACACAGAGCAGACTTGAAACACTCTTTTTGTGGAATTTGCAAGTGGAGATTTCAGCCGCTTTGACGTCAATGGTAGAATAGGAAATATCTTCCTATAGAAACTAGACAGAATGATTCTCAGAAACTCCTTTGTGGTGTGTGTGTTCAACTCACAGAGTTTAACCTTTCTTTTCATAGAGCAGTTAGTAAACACTCTGTTTATAAAGTCTGCAAGTGGATATTCAGACCCCTTTGAGGCCTTCGTTGGAAACGGGATTTCTTCATATTATGCTAGACAGAAGAATTCTCAGTAACTTCCTTGTGTTGTGTGTATTCAACTGACAGATTTGAACTTTCATTTAGAGAGAGTAGATTTGAAACACTGTTTTTGTGGAATTTGCAAGTGGAGATTTCAAGCGCTTTGGGGCCAAAGGCAGAAAAGGAAATATCTTCGTATAAAAACTAGACAGAATCATTCTCAGAAACTGCTGCGTGATGTGTGCGTTCACCTCTCAGAGTTTAACTTTTCTTTTCATTCAGCGGTTTGGAAACACTCTGTCTGTAAAGTCTGCACGTGGATATTTTGACCACTTAGAGGCCTTCGTTGGAAACGGGTTTTTTTCATGTAAGGCTAGACAGAAGAATTCTCAGTAACTTCCTTGTGTTGTGTGTATTCAACTCACACAGTTGAACGATCCTTTACACAGAGCAGACTTGTAACACTCCTTTTGTGGAATTTGCAAGTGGAGATTTCAGCCGCTTTGAAGTCAAATGTAGAAAAGGAAATATCTTCCTATAAAAACTAGACAGAATGATTCTCAGAAACCCCTTTGTGATGTGTGCGTTCAACTCACAGAGTTTAACCTTTCTGTTCATAGAGCAGTTAGGAAACACTCTGTTTGTAAAGTCTGTAAGTGGATATTCTGACATCTTGTGGCCTTCGTTGGAAAAGGGATTTCTTCCTATTCTGCTAGACAGAAGAATTCTCAGAATCTTCCTTGTGTTGTGTGTATTCAACTCACAGAGTTGAACGATCCTTTACACAGAGCAGACTTGAAACACTCTTTTTGTGGAATTTGCAAGTGGAGATTTCAGCCGCTTTGAGGTCCATGGTAGAAAAGGAAATATCTTCGTACAAAAACTAGACAGAAATGATTCTCAGAAACTCCTTTGTGATGTGTGTGTTCAACTCACAGAGTTTCACCTTTCTTTTCATAGAGCAGATAGGAAACACTCTGTTTGTAAAGTCTGCAAGTGGATATTCAGACCTCTTTGAGGCCTTCGTTGGAAACGGGTTTTTTTCATATAAGGCTAGACAGAAGAATTCCCGGTAACTTCCTTGTGTTTTGTGTGTTCAACTCACAGAGTTGAACTTTCATTTACACAGAGCAGATTTGAAACACTCTTTTTGTGGAATTTGCAAGTGGAGATTTCAAGCGCTTTGAGGCCAAAGGCAGAAAAGGAAATATCTTCGTTTCAAAACTAGACAGAATCATTCTCAGAAACTGCTCTGCGATGTGTGCGTTCAACTCTCAGAGTTTAACTTTTCTATTCATTCAGCAGTTTGGAAACACTCTGTTTGTAAAGTCTGCACGTGGATATTTTGACCACTTAGAGGCCTTCGTTGGAAACGGGTTTCTTTCCTGTAAGGCTAGACAGAAGAATTCCCAGTAACTTCCTTGTGTTGTGTACATTCAACTCACAGAGTTGAACGTTCCCTTAGACAGAGCAGATTTGAAACACTCTTTTTGTGCAATTGGCAAGTGGTGATTTCAGCCGCTTTGAGGTCAATGGTAGAAAAGGAAATATCTTCGTATAAAAACTAGACAGAATGATTCTCAGAAACTCCTTTGTGATGTGTGCGTTCAACTCACAGAGTTTAACCTTTCTTTTCATAGAGCAGTTAGGAAACACTCTGTTTGTAAAGTCTGCAAATGGATATTCAGACCTCCTTGAGGCCTTCGTTGGAAACGGGATTTCTTCATATTATGCTAGACAGAAGAATTCTCAGTAACTTCCTTGTGTTGTCTGTATTCAACTCACAGAGTTCAACGATTCTTTACACAGAGCAGACTTGAAACAGTCTTTTTGTGGAATTTGCAAGTGGAGATTTCAGCCGCTTTGAGGTCAATTGTAGAAAAGGAAATATCTTCGTATAAAAACTGGACAGAATGATTCTCATAAACTCCTTTGTGATGTGTGCGTTCAACTCACAGAGTTTAACCTTTCTTTTCATAGAGCAGTTAGTAAACACTCTGTTTATAAAGTCTGCAAGTGGATATTCAGACCCCTTTGAGGCCTTCGTTGGAAACGGGATTTCTTCATATTATGCTAGACAGAAGAATTCTCAGTAACTTCCTTGTGTTGTGTGTATTCAACTGACAGAGTTGAACTTTCATTTAGAAAGAGCAGATTTGAAACACTGTTTTTGTGGAATTTGCAAGTGGAGATTTCAAGCGCTTTGGGGCCAAAGGCAGAAAAGGAAATATCTTCGTATAAAAACTAGACAGAATCATTCTCAGAAACTGCTGCGTGATGTGTGCGTTCAACTCTCAAGAGTTTAACTTTTCTTTTCATTCAGCGGTTTGGAAACACTCTGTTTGTAAAGTCTGCACGTGGATATTTTGACCACTTAGAGGCCTTCGTTGGAAACGGGTTTTTTTCATGTAAGGCTAGACAGAAGAATTCCCAGTAACTTCCTTGTGTTGTGTACATTCAACTCACAGAGTTGAACGTTCCCTTAGACAGAGCAGATTTGAAACACTCTTTTTGTGCAATTGGCAAATGGAGATTTCAAGCGCTTTAAGGTCAATGGCAGAAAAGGAAATATCTTCGTTTCAAAACTAGACAGAATGATTCTCAGAAACTCCTTTGTGATGTGTGGGTTCAACTCACAGAGTTTAACCTTTCTTTTCATAGAGCAGTTAGGAAACACTCTGTTTGTAAAGTCTGCAAGTGGATATTCAGACATCCTTGAGGCTTTCGTTGGAAACGGGATTTCTTCATATTCTGCTAGAAAGAAGAATTCTCAGTAACTTCCTTGTGTTGTGTGTATTCAACTCACAGAGTTGAACGATCCTTTACACAGAGCAGACTTGAAACACTCTTTTTGTGGAATTTGCAAGTGGATATTTCAGCCGCTTTGAGTTCAATGGTAGAATAGGAAATATCTTCCTATAGAAACTAGACAGAATGATTCTCAGAAACTCCTTTGTGATGTGTGTGTTCAACTCACAGAGTTTAACCTTTCTTTTCATAGAGCAGTTAGTAAACACTCTGTTTATAAAGTCTGCAAGTGGATATTCAGACCCATTTGAGGCCTTCGTTGGAAACGGGATTTCTTCATATTATGCTAGACAGAAGAATTCCCAGTAACTTCCCTTGTGTTGTGTGTGTTCAACTCACAGAGTTGAACTTTCATTTACACAGAGCAGATTTGAAACACTCTTTTTGTGCAATTTGCAAGTGGAGATTTCAAGCGCTTTGAGGCCAAAGGCAGAAAAGGAAATATCTTCGTTTCAAAACTAGACAGAATCATTCTCAGAAACTGCTGCGTGATGTGTGCGTTCAACTCTCAGAGTTTAACTTTTCTTTTCATTCAGCGGTTTGGAAACACTCTGTTTGTAAAGTCTGCACGTGGATATTTTGACGACTTAGAGGCCTTCGTTGGAAACGGGTTTTTTTCATGTAAGGCTAGACAGAAGAATTCCCAGTAACTTCCTTGTGTTGGGTGCATTCAACTCACAGAGTTGAACGTTCCCTTAGACAGAGCAGATTTGAAACACTCTATTTGTGCAATTTGCAAGTGTAGATTTCAAGCGCTTTAAGGTCAATGGAAGAAAAGGAAATATCTTCGTTTCAAAACTAGACAGAATCATTCCCACAAACTGCGTTGTGATGTGTTCGTTCAACTCACAGAGTTTAACCTTTCTGTTCATAGAGCAGTTAGGAAACACTCTGTTTTTAAAGTCTGTAAGTGGATATTCTGACATCTTGTGGCCATCGTTGGAAACGGGATTTCTTCATATTCTGCTAGACAGAAGAATTCTCAGTAACTTCCTTGTGTTGTGTGTATTCAACTCACAGAGTTGAACGATCCTTTACACAGAGCAGACTTGAAACACTCGTTTTGTGGAATTTGCAAGTGGAGATTTCAGCTGCTTTGAGGTCAATGGTAGAAAAGGAAATATCTTCGTATAAAAACTAGACAGAATGATTCTCAGAAACTCCTTTGTGATGTAAGCGTTCAACTCACAGAGTTTAACCTTTCTTTACATAGAGCAGTTAGGAAACACTCTGTTTGTAAAGTCTGCAAGTGGATATTCAGACCTCCTTGAGGCCTTCGTTGGAAACGGGATTTCTTCATATTATGCTAGACAGAAGAATTCCGAGTAACTTCCTTGTGTTGTGTGTGTTCAACTCACAGAGTTGAACTTTCATTTACACAGAGCAGATTTGAAACACTCTTTTTGTGGAATTTGCAAGTGGAGATTTCAAGCGCTTTGAGGCCAAAGGCAGAAAAGGAAATATCTTCGTATAAAAACTAGACAGAATCACTCTCAGAAACTGCTCTGCGATGTGTGCGTTCAACTCTCAGAGTTTAACTTTTCTTTTCATTCAGCAGTTTGGAAACACTCTGTTTGTAAAGTCTGCACGTGGATAACTTGACCACTTAGAGGCCTTCGTTGGAAACGGGTTTTTTTCCTGTAAGGCTAGACAGAAGAATTCCCAGTAACTTCCTTGTGTTGTGTACATTCAACTCACAGAGTTGAACGTTCCCTTAGACAGAGCAGATTTGAAACACTCTTTTTGTGCAATTGGCAAATGGAGATTTCAAGCGCTTTAAGGTCAATGGCAGAAAAGGAAATATCTTCGTTTCAAAACTAGACAGAATCATTCCCACAAACTGCGTTGTGATGTGTACGTTCAACTCACAGAGTTTAACCTTTCTGTTCATAGAGCAGTTAGGAAACACGCTGTTTGTAAAGTCTGTAAGTGGATATTCTGACATCTTGTGGCCTTCGTTGGAAACGGGATTTCTTCATATTCTGCTAGACAGAAGAATTCTCAGTACCTTCCTTGTGTTGTGTGTATTCAACTCACAGAGTTGAACGATCCTTTACACAGAGCAGACTTGTAACACTCTTTTTGTGGAATTTGCAAGTGGAGATTTCAGCCGCTTTGAAGTCAAAGGTAGAAAAGGAAATATCTTCCTATAAAAACTAGACAGAATGATTCTGAGAAACTCGTTTGTGATGTGTGCGTTCAACTCACAGAGTTTAACCTTTCTTTTCATAGAGCAGTTAGGAAACACTCTGTTTGTAAAGTCTGCAAGTGGATATTCAGACCTCCTTGAGGCCTTCGTTGGAAACGGGATTTCTTCATATTATGCTAGACAAAAGAATTCTCAGTAACTTCCTTGTGTTGTGTGTATTCAACTGAAAGAGTTGAACTTTCATTTAGAGAGAGCAGATTTGAAACACTGTTTTTATGGAATTTGCAAGTGGAGATTTCAAGCGCTTTGGGGCCAAAGGCAGAAAAGGAAATATCTTCGTATAAAAACTAGACAGAATCATTCTCAGAAACTGCTGCGTGATGTGTGCGTTCAACTCTCAGAGTTTAACTTTTCTTTTCATTCAGCGGTTTGGAAACACTCTGTTTGTAAAGACTGCAGGTGGATATTTTGACCACTTAGAGGCCTTCGTTGGAAACGGGTTTTTTTTCATGTAAGGCTAGACAGAAGAATTCCCAGTAACTTCCTTGTGTTGTGTGCATTCAACTCACAGAGTTGAACGTTCCCTTAGACAGAGCAGATTTGAAACACTCTATTTGTGCAATTTGCAAGTGTAGATTTCAAGCGCTTTAAGGTCAATGGCAGAAAAGGAAATATCTTCGTTTCAAAACTAGACAGAATCATTCCCACAAACTGCGTTGTGATGTGTTCGTTCAACTCACAGAGTTTAACCTTTCCGTTCATAGAGCAGTTAGGAAACACTCTCTAAAGTCTGTAAGTGGATATTCAGACCTCCTTGAGGTCTTCGTTGGAAACGGGATTTCTTCATATTCTGCTAGACAGAAGAATTCTCAGTAACTTCCTTGTGTTGTGTGTATTCAACTCACAGAGTTGAACGATCCTTTACACAGAGCAGACTTGAAACACTCTTTTTGTGGAATTTGCAAGTGGAGATTTCAGCCGCTTTGAGGTCAATGGTAGAAAAGAAAATATCTTCGTATAAAGACTAGACAGAATGATTCTCAGAAACTCCTTTGTGATGTGTGCGTTGAACTCACACAGTTTAACCTTTCTTTTCATAGAGCAGTTAGGAAACACTCTGTTTGTAAAGTCTGCAAGTGGATATTCAGACCTCCTTGAGGCCTTCGTTGGAAACGGGATTTCTTCATATTATGCTAGACAGAAGAAATCCCAGTAACTTCCTTGTGTTGTGTGTGTTCAACTCACAGAGTTGAACTTTCATTTACACAGAGCAGATTTGAAACACTCTTTTTGTGGAATTTGCAAGTGGAGATTTCAAGCGCTGTGAGGCCAAAGGCAGAAAAGGAAATATCTTCGTATAAAAACTAGACAGAATCATTCTCAGAAACTGCTCTGCGATGTGTGCGTTCAACTCTCAGAGTTTAACTTTTCTTTTCATTCAGCAGTTTGGAAACACTCTGTTTGTAAAGTCTGCACGTGGATATTTCGACCACTTAGAGGCCTTCGTTGGAAACGGGTTTCTTTCCTGTAAGGCTAGACAGAAGAATTCCCAGTAACTTCCTTGTGTTGTGTACATTCAACTCACAGAGTTGAACGTTCCCTTAGACAGAGCAGATTTGAAACACTCTTTTTGTGCAATTGGCAAGTGGAGATTTCAAGCGCTTTGAGGTCAATGGCAGAAAAGGAAATATCTTCGTTTCAAACTAGACAGAATCATTCCCACAAACTGCGTTGTGATGTGTTCGTTCAACTCACAGAGTTTAACCTTTCTTTTCATAGATCAGTTAGGAAACAGTCTGTTTGTCAATTCTGTAAGTGGATATTCTGACATCTTGTGGCCTTCGTTGGAAACGGGATTTCTTCATATTCTGCTAGACAGAATAATTCTCAGTAACTTCCTTGTGTTGTGTGCATTCAACTCACAGAGTTGAACGATCCTTTACAGAGAGCAGAGTTGAAACACTTTTTGTGGAATTTGCAAGTGGAGATTTCAGCCGCTTTGAGGTCAAAAGTAGAATAGGAAATATCTTCCTATAGAAACTAGACAGAATGATTCTCAGAAACTCCTTTGTGATGTGTGTGTTCAACTCACAGAGTTTAACCTTTCTTTTCATAGAGCAGTTAGTAAACACTCTGTTTATATAGTCTGTAAGTGGATATTCTGACATTTTGTGGCCTTGGTTGGAAATGGGATTTCTTCATATTCTCCAAGACAGAAGAATTCCCAGTAACTTCCTTGTGTTGTGTGTGTTCAACTCTGTGAGTTGAACTTTCATTTACACAGAGCAGATTTGAAACACTCTTTTTGTGGAATTTGCAAGTGGAGATTTCAAGCGCTTTGAGGCCAAAGGCAGAAAAGGAAATATCTTCGTATAAAAACTAGACAGAATCATTCTCAGAAACTGCTGCGTGATGTGTGCGTTCAACTCTCAGAGTTTAACTTTTCTTTTCATTCAGCGGTTTGGAAACACTCTGTTTGTAAAGTCTGCACGTGGATATTTTGACCACTTAGAGGCCTTAGTTGGAAACGGGTTTTTTGCATGTAAGGCTAGACAGAAGAATTCCCAGTAACTTCATTGTGTTGTGTGAATTCAACTCACAGAGTTGAACGTTCCCTTAGACAGAGCAGATTTGAAACACTCTATTTGTGCAATTTGCAAGTGTAGATTTCAAGCGCTTTAAGGTCAATGGCAGAAAAGGAAATATCTTCGTTTCAAAACTAGACAGAATCATTCCCACAAACTGCGTTGTGATGTGTTCGTTCAACTCACAGAGTTTAACCTTTCTGTTCATAGAGCAGTTAGGAAACACTCTGTTTGTAAAGTCTGCAAGTGGGTATTCAGACCTCCTTGAGGCCTTCGTTGGAAACGGGATTTCTTCATATTCTGCTAGACAGAAGAACTCTCAGTAACTTCCTTGTGTTGTGTGTATTCAACTCACAGAGTTGAACGATCCTTTACACAGAGCAGACTTGAAACACTCTATTTGTGGAATTTGCAAGTGGAGATTTCAGCCGCTTTGAGTTCAATGGTAGAATAGGAAATATCTTCCTATAGAAACTAGACAGAATGATTCTCAGAAACTCCTTTGTGATATGTGCGTTCAACTCACAGAGTTAAACCTTTCTTTTCATAGAGCAGTTGGGAAACACTCTGTTTGTAAAGTCTGCAAGTGGATATTCAGACTTCTTTGAGGCCTTCGTTGGAAGCGGGATTTCTTCATATTCTGCTAGACAGAAGAATTCTCAGTAACTTCCTTGTGTTGTGTGTATTCAACTCACAGAGTTGAACGATCCTTTACACAGAGCGGACTTGAAACACACTTTTTGAGGAATTTGCAAGTGGAGATTTCAGCCGCGTTGAGGTCAATGGTAGAAAAGGAAATATCTTCGTATAAAAACTAGACAGAATCATTCTCAGAAACTGCTGCGTGATGTGTGCGTTCAACTCTCAGAGTTTAACTTTTCTTGTCATTCAGCGGTTTGGAAACACTCTGTTTGTAAAGTCTGCACGTGGATATTTTGACCACTTAGTGGCCTTCGTTGGAAACGGGTTTTTTTTCATGTAAGGCTAGACAGAAGATTTCCCAGTAAATTCCTTGTGTTGTGTACATTCAACTCACAGAGTTGAACGTTCCCTTAGACAGAGCAGATTTGAAACACTCTTTTTGTGCAATTGGCAAGTGGAGATTTCAAGCGCTTTAAGGTCAATGGCAGAAAAGGAAATATCTTCGTTTCAAAACTAGACAGAATCATTCCCACAAACTGCGTTGTGATGTGTTTGTTCAACTCACAGAGTTTAACCTTTCTGTTCATAGAGCAGTTAGGAAACACTCTGTTTGTAAAGTCTGCAAGTGGATATTCAGACCTCCTTGAGGCCTTCGTTGGAAACGGGATTTCTTCATATTCTGCTAGACAGAAGAATTCTCAGAATCTTCCCTTGTGTTGTGTGTATTCAACTCACAGAGTTGAACGATCCTTTACACAGAGCAGACTTGAAACACTCTTTTTGTGGAATTTGCAAGTGGAGATTTCAGCCGCTTTGAGGTCCATGGTAGAAAAGGAAATATCTTCGTATAAAAACTAGACAGAATGATTCTCAGAAACTCCTTTGTGATGTGTGCGTTCAACTCACAGAGTTTAACCTTTCTTTTCATAGAGCAGTTAGGAAACACTCTGTTTGTAAAGTCTGCAAGTGGATATTCAGACCTCTTTGAGGCCTTCGTTGGAAACGGGTTTTTTACATATAAGGCTTGACAGAAGAATTCCCAGTAACTTCCTTGTGTTGTGTGTGTTCAACTGACAGAGTTGAACTTTCATTTACACAGAGCAGATTTGAAACACTCTTTTTGTGGAATTTGCAAGTGGAGATTTCAAGCGCTTTGAGGCCAAAGGCAGAAAAGGAAATATCTTCGCATAAAAACTAGACAGAATCATTCTCAGAAAATCCTCTGTGATGTGTGCGTTCAACTCTCAGAGTTTAACATTTCTTTTCATTCAGCAGTTTGAAAACACTCTGTTTGTAAAGTCTGCACGTGGATATTTTGACCACTTAGAGGCCTTCGTTGGAAACGGGTTTTTTTCATGTAAGTGTAGACAGAAGAATTCCCAGTAACTTCCTTGTGTTGTGTGCATTCAACTCACAGAGTTGAACGTTCCCTTAGACAGAGCAGATTTGAAACAGTCTATTTGTGTAATTTGCAAGTGTAGATTTCAAGCGCTTTCAGGTCAACGGCAGAAAAGGAAATATCTTCGTTTCAAAACTAGACAGAATCATTCCCACAAACTGCGTTGTGATGGGTTCGTTCAACTCACAGAGTTTAACCTTTCTTTTCATAGAGCAGTTAGGAAACAGTCTGTTTGTCAATTCTGTAAGTGGATATTCTGACATCTTGTGGCCTTCGTTGGAAACGGGATTTCTTCATATTCTGCTAGACAGAAGAATTCTCAGTGACTTCCTTGTGTTGTGTGTATTCTACTCACAGAGTTGAACGATCCTTTACACAGAGCAGACTTGAAACACTCTTTTTGTGGAATTTGAAAGTGGAGATTTCAGCCGCTTTGAGGTCAATGGTAGAAAAGGAAATATCTTCGTATAAAGACTAGACAGAATGATTCTCATAAACTCCTTTGTGATGTGTGCGTTCAACTCACAGAGTTTAACTTTTCTTTTCATAGAGCAGTTAGGAAACACTCTGTTTGTAAAGTCTGCAAGTGGATATTCAGACCTCTTTGAGGCCTTCGTTGGAAACGGGATTTCTTCATATTATGCTAGACAGAAGAATTCCCAGTAACTTCCTTGAGTTGTGTGTGTTCAACTCACAGAGTTGAACATTCATTTACCCAGAGCAGATTTGAAACACTCTTTTTGTGGAATTTGCAAGTGGAGATTTCAAGCGCTTTGAGGCCAAAGGCAGAAAAGGAAATATCTTCGTTTCAAAACTAGACAGAATCATTCTCAGAATCTGCTCTGCGATGTGTGCGTTCAACTCTCAGAGTTTAACTTTTCTTTTCATTCAGCAGTTTGGAAACACTCTGTTTGTAAAGTCTGCACGTGGATATTTTGACCACTTAGAGGCCTTCGTTGGAAACGGGTTTTTTTCCTGTAAGGCTAGACAGAAGAATTCCCAGTAACTTCCTTGTGTTGTGTACGGTTCAACTCACAGAGTTGAACGTTCCCTTAGACAGAGCAGATTTGAAACACTCTTTTTGTGCAATTGGCAAGTGGAGATTTCAAGCGCTTTAAGGTCAATGGCAGAAAAGGAAATATCTTCGTTTCAAAACTAGACAGAATCATTCCCACAAACTGTGTTGTGATGTGTTCGTTCAACTCACAGAGTTTAACCTTTCTGTTCATAGAGCAGTTAGGAAACACTCTGTTTGTAAAGTCTGTAAGTGGATATTCTGACATCTTGTGGCCTTCGTTGGAAACGGGATTTCTTCATATTCTGCTAGACAGAAGAATTCTCAGTAACTTCCTTGTGTTGTGTGTATTCAACTCACAGAGTTGAACGATCCTTTACACAGAGCAGACTTGAAACACTCTTTTTGTGGAATTTGCAAGTGGAGATTTCAGCCGCTTTGAGGTCAATAGTAGAAAAGGAAACTATCTTCATATAAAGACTAGACAGAATGATTCTCAGAAACTCCTTTGTGATGTGTGCGTTCAACTCACAGAGTTTAACTTTTCTTTTCATAGAGCAGTTAGGAAACACTCTGTTTGTAACGTCTGCAAGTGGATATTCAGACCTCTTTGAGGCCTTCGTTGGAAACGGGATTTCTTCATATTATGCTAGACAGAAGAATTCTCAGTAACTTCCTTGTGTTGTGTGTATTCAACTCACAGAGTTGAACGATCCTTTACACGAGAGCAGAGCTTGAAACACTCTTTTTGTGGAATTTGCAAGTGGAGATTTCATGCCGCTTTGAGGTCAGTGGTAGAAAAGGAAATATCTTCGTATAAAGACTAGACAGAATCATTCTCAGAAACTGCTCTGCGATGTGTGCGTTCAACTCTCAGAGTTTAACTTTGCTTTTCATTCAGCAGTTTGGAAACACTCTGTTTGTAAAGTCTGCACGTGGATATTTTGACCACTTAGAGGCCTTCGTTGGAAACGGGTTTCTTTCCTGTAAGGCTAGACAGAAGAATTCCCAGTAACTTCCTTGTGTTGTGTACATTCAACTCACAGAGTTGAACGTTCCCTTAGACAGAGCAGATTTGAAACACTCTTTTTGTGCAATTGGCAAGTGGTGATTTTAGCCGCTTTGAGGTCAATGGTATAAAAGGAAATATCTTCGTATTAAAACTAGACAGAATCATTCCCACAAACTGCGTTGTGAGGTGTTCGGTAAACTCACAGAGTTTAACCTTTCTTTTCATAGAGCAGTTAGGAAACAGTCTGTTTGTAAATTCTGTAAGTGGATATTCTGACATCTTGTGGCCTTCGTTGGAAACGGGATTTCTTCATATTCTGCTATACAGAATAATTCTCAGTAACTTCCTTGTGTTGTGTGTATTCAACTCACAGAGTTGAACGATCCTTTACAGAGAGCAGACTTGAAACACTCTTTTTGTGGAATTTGCAAGTGGAGATTTCAGCCGCTTTGAGGTCAAAGGTAGAATAGGAAATATGCTTCCTACAGAAAATAGACAGAATGATTCTCATAAACTCCTTTGTGATGTGTGCGTTCAACACACAGAGTTTAACCTTTCTGTTCATAGAGCAGTTAGGAAACACTCTGTTTGTAAAGTCTGTAAGTGCATATTCTGACATCTTGAGGCCTTCGTTGGAAACGGGATTTCTTCATATTCTGCTAGACAGAAGAATTCCCAGTAACTTCCTTGTGTTGTGTGTGTTCAACTCACAGAGTTGAACTTTCATTTACACAGAGCAGATTTGAAACACTCTTTTTGTGGAATTTGCAAGTGGAGATTTCAAGCGCTTTGAGGCCACAGGCAGAAAAGGAAATATCTTCGTTTCAAAACTAGACAGAATCATTCTCAGAAACTGCTGCGTGATGTGTGCGTTCAACTCTCAGAGTTTAACTTTTCTAGTCATTCAGCGGTTTGGAAACACTCTGTTTGTAAAGTCTGCACGTGGATATTTTGACCACTTAGAGGCCTTCGTTGGAAACGGGATTTTTTCATGTAAGGCTAGACAGAAGAATTCTCAGTAACTTCCTTGTGTTGTGTGTATTCAACTCACAGAGTTGAACGAATCCTTTACAGAGAGCAGACTTGAAACACTCTTTTTGTGGAATTTGCAAGTGGAGATTTCAGCCGCTTTGAGGTCAATGGTAGAATAGGAAATATCTTCCTATAGAAAATAGACAGAATGATTCTCAGAAACTCCTTTGTGATGTGTGCGTTCACCTCACAGAGATTAACCTTTCTTTTCATAGAGCAGTTAGGAAACACTCTGTTTGTAAAGTCTGCAAGTGGATATTCAGACCTCTTTGAGGCCTTCGTTGGAAACGGGATTTCTTCATATTCTGCTACACAGAAGAATTCTCAGTAACTTCCTTGTGTTGTGTGTATTCAACTCACAGAGTTGAACGATCCTTTACACAGAGCAGTCTTGAAACACTCTTTTTGTGGAATTTGCAAGTGGAGATTTCAGCCGCTTTGAGGTCAATAGTAGAAAAGGAAATATCTTCGTAGAAAAACTAGACAGAATGATTCTCAGAAACTCCTTTGTGATGTGTGCGTTCAACTCACAGAGTTTAACCTTTCTTTTCATAGAGCAGTTAGGAAACACTCTGTTTGTAAAGTCTCTAAGTGGATATTCAGACCTCTTTGAGGCCTTCGTTGGAAACGGGTTTTTTTCATATAAGGCTAGACAGAAGAATTCCCAGTAACTTCCATGTGTTGTGTGTGTTCAACTCACAGAGTTGAACTTTCATTTACACAGAGCAGATTTGAAACACTCTTTTTGTGGAATTTGCAAATGGAGATTTCAAGCGCTTTGAGGCCAAAGGCAGAAAAGGAAATATCTTCGTATAAAAACTAGACAGAATCATTCTCAGAAACTGCTATGCGATGTGTGCGTTCAACTCTCTGAGTTTAACTTTTCTTTTCATTCAGCAGTTTGGAAACACTCTGTTTGTAAAGTCTGCACGTGGATAATTTGACCACTTAGAGGTCTTCGTTGGAAACGGGTTTTTTTCATGTAAGGGTAGACAGAAGAATTCCCAGTAACTTCCTTGTGTTTTGTGCATTCAACTCACAGAGTTGAACGTTCCCTTAGACAGAGCAGATTTGAAACACTCTATTTGTGCAATTTGCAAGTGTAGATTTCAAGCGCTTTAAGGTCAATGGCAGAAAAGGAAATATCTTCGTTTCAAAACTAGACAGAATCATTCCCACAAACTGTGTTGTGATGTGTTCGTTCATCTCACAGAGTTTAACCTTTCTTTTCATAGAGCAGTTAGGAAACACTATGTTTGTAAATTCTGTAAGTGGATATTCTGACATCTTGTGGCCTTCGTTGGAAACGGGATTTCTTCATATTCTGCTAGACAGAAGAATTCTCAGTAACTTCCTTGTGTTGTGTGTATTCAACTCACAGAGTTGAACGATCCTTTACAGAGAGCAGACTTGAAACACTCTTTTTGTGGAATTTGCAAGTGGAGATTTCAGGGGTTTTGAGGTCAATGGTAGAAAAGGAAATATCTTCGTATAAAGACTAGACAGAATGATTCTCAGAAACTCCTTTGTGATGTGTGCGTTCAACTCAAAGAGTTTAACTTTTCTTTTCATAGAGCAGTTAGGAAACACTCTGTTTGTAAAGTCTGCAAGTGGATATTCAGACCTCTTTGAAGCCTTCGTTGGAAACGGGATTTCTTCATATTATGCTAGACAGAAGAATTCCCAGTAACTTCCTTGTGTTGTGTGTGTTCAACTCACAGAGTTGAACTTTCATTTACACAGAGCAGATTTGAAACACTCTTTTTGTGGAATTTGCAAATGGAGATTTCAAGCGCTTTGAGGCCAAAGGCAGAAAAGGAAATATCTTTGTATAAAAACTAGACAGAATCATTCTCAGAAACTGCTCTGCGATGTGTGCGTTCAACTCTCAAAGTTTAACTTTGCTTTTCATTCAGCAGTTTGGAAACACTCTGTTTGTAAAGTCTGCACGTGGATAATTTGACCACTTAGAGGCCTTCGTTGGAAACGGGTTTTTTTCATGTAAGGCTAGACAGAAGAATTCCCAGTAACTTCCTTGCGTTGTGTACATTCAACTCACAGAGTTGAACGTTCCCTTAGACAGAGCAGATTTGAAACACTCTTTTTGTGCAATTGGCAAGTGGAGATTTCAAGCGCTTTAAGGTCAATGGCAGAAAAGGAAATATCTTCGTTTCAAAACTAGACAGAATGATTCTCATAAACTCCTTTGTGATGTGTGCGTTCAACTCACAGAGTTTAACCTTTCTTGTCATAGAGCAGTTAGGAAACACTCTGTTTGAAAAGTCTGCAAGTGGATATTCAGACCTCCTTGAGGCCTTCGTTGGAAACGGGATTTCTTCATATTCTGCTAGACAGAAGAATTCTCAGTAACTTCCTTGTGTTGTGTGTATTCAACTCACAGAGTTGAACGATCCTTTACACAGAGCAGACTTGAAACACTCTTTTTGGGGAATTTGCAAGTGGAGATTTCAGCCGCTTTGAGGTCAATGGTAGAAAAGGAAATATCTTCGTATAAAGACTAGACAGAATGATTCTCAGAAACTCCTTTGTGATGTGTGCGTTCAACTCACAGAGTTTAACTTGTCTTTTCATAGAGCAGTTAGGAAACACTCTGTAAAGTCTGCAAGTGGATATTCAGACCTCTTTGAGGCCTTCGTTGGAAACGGGATTTCTTCATATTATGCTAGACAGAAGAATTCTCAGTAACTTCCTTGTGTTGTGTGTATTCAACTGACAGAGTTGAACCTTCATTTAGAGAGAGCAGATTTGAAACACTGTTTTTGTGGAATTTGCAAGTGGAGATTTCAAGCGCTTTGGGGCCAAAGGCAGAAAAGGAAATATCTTCGTATAAAAACTAGACAGAATCATTCTCAGAAACTGCTCTGCGATGTGTGCGTTCAACTCTCAGAGTTTAACTTTTCTTTTCATTCAGCAGTTTGGAAACACTCTGTTTGTAAAGTCTGCACGTGGATATTTTGACCTCTTAGAGGCCTTCGTTGGAAACGGGTTTTTTTCCTGTAAGGCTAGACAAGAAGAATTGCCAGTAACTTCCTTGTGTTGTGTGCATTCAACTCACAGAGTTGAACGTTCCCTTAGACAGAGCAGATATGAAACACTCTATTTGTGCAATTTGCAAGTGTAGATTTCAAGCGCTTTAAGGTCAATGGCAGAAAAGGAAATATCTTCGTTTCAAAACTAGACAGAATCATTCTCAGAAACTGCTCTGCGATGTGTGCGTTCAACTCTCAGAGTTTAACTTCTCTTTTCATTCAGTAGTTTGGAAACACTCTGTTTGTAAAGTCTGCACGTGGATAACTTGACCACTTAGAGGCCTTCGTTGGAAACGAGTTTTTTTCATGTAAGGCTAGACAGAAGAATTCTCAGTAACTTCCTTGTGTTGTGTGTATTCATCTCACAGAGTTGAACGATCCTTTACACAGAGCAGACTTGTAAAACTCTTTTTGTGGAATTTGCAAGTGGAGATTTCAGCCGCTTTGAAGTCAAAGGTAGAAAAGGAAATATCTTCCTATAAAAACTAGACAGAATGATTCTCAGAAACTCCTTTGTGATGTGTGTGTTCAACTCACAGAGTTTAACCTTTCTTTTCATAGAGCAGTTAGGAAACACTCTGTTTGTAAAGTCTGCAAGTGGATATTCTGACCTCTTTGAGGCCTTCTTCGGAAACGGGTTTTTTTCATATAAGGCTAGACAGAAGAATTCCCAGTAACTTCCTTGTGTTGTGTGTGTTCAACTGACAGAGTTGAACTTTCATTTACACAGAGCAGATTTGAAACACTCTTTTTGTGGAATTTGCAGGTGGAGATTTCAAGCGCTTTGAGGCCAAAGGCAGAAAAGGAAATATCTTCGTATAAAAACTAGACAGAATCATTCTCAGAAACTGCTGCGTGATGTGTGCGTTCAACTCTCAGAGTTTAACTTTTCTTTTCATTCAGCGGTTTGGAAACACTCTCTTTGTAAAGTCTGCACGTGGATATTTTGACCACTTAGAGGCCTTCGTTGGAAACGGGTTTTTTTCATGTAAGGCTAGACAGAAGAATTCCCAGTAACTTCCTTGTGTTGTGTACATTCAACTCACAGAGTTGAACGTTCCCTTAGACAGAGCAGATTTGAAACACTCTTTTTGTGCAATTGGCAAATGGAGATTTCAAGCGCTTTAAGGTCAATGGCAGAAAAGGAAATATTCTTCGTTTCAAAACTAGACAGAATGATTCTCATAAACTCCTTTGTGATGTGTGCGTTCAACACACAGAGTTTAACCTTTCTGTTCATAGAGCTGTTAGGAAACACTCTGTTTGTAAAGTCTGTAAGTGGATATTCTGACATCTTTTGGCCTTCGTTGGAAACGGGATTTCTTCATATTCTGCTAGACAGAAGAATTCTCAGTAACTTCCTTGTGTTGTGTGTATTCAACTCACAGAGTTGAACGATCCTTTACACAGAGCAGACTTGTAACACTCTTTTTGTGGAATTTGCAAGTGGAGATTTCAGCCGCTTTGAGGTCAAAGGTAGAAAAGGAAATATCTTCCTATAAAAACTAGACAGAATGATTCTCAGAAACTCCTTTGTGATGTGTGCGTTCAACTCACAGAGTTTAACCTTTCTTTTCATAGAGCAGTTAGGAAACACTCTGTTTGTAAAGTCTGCAAGTGGATATTCAGACCTCCTTGAGGCCTTCGTTGGAAATGGGATTTCTTCATATTCTGCTAGACAGAAGAATTCCCAGTAACTTCCTTGTGTTGTGTGTGTTCAACTCACAGAGTTGAACTTTCATTTACACAGAGCAGATTTGAAACACTCTTTTTGTGGAATTTGCAAGTGGAGATTTCAAGCGCTTTGAGGCCAAAGGCAGAAAAGGAAATATGTTCGTTTCAAAACTAGACAGAATCATTCTCAGAAACTGCTCTGCGATGTGTGCGTTCAACTCTCAGAGTTTAACTTTTCTTTTCATTCAGCAGTTTGGAAACACTGTGTTTGTAAAGTCTGCACGTGGATATTTTGACCACTTAGAGGCCTTCGTTGGAAACGGGTTTTTTTTCCTGTAAGGCTAGAGAGAAGAATTCCCAGTAACTTCCTTGTGTTGTGTGCATTCAACTCACAGAGTTGAACGTTCCCTTAGACAGAGCAGATTTGAAACACTCTATTTGTGCAATTTGCAAGTGTAGATTTCAAGCGCTTTAAGGTCAATGGCAGAAAAGGAAATATCTTCGTTTCAAAACTAGACAGAATCATTCCCACAAACTGCGTTGTGACGTGTTCGTTCAACTCACAGAGTTTAACCTTTCTGTTCATAGAGCAGTTAGGAAACACTCTGTTTGTAAAGTCTGTAAGTGGATATTCTGACATCTTGTGGCCTTCGTTGGAAACAGGATTTCTTCGAATTCTGCTAGACAGAAGAATTCTCAGTAACTTCCTTGTGTTGTGTGTATTCAACTCACAGAGTTGAACGATCCTTTACACAGAGCAGATTTGTAACACTCTTTTTGTGGAATTTGCAAGTGGAGATTTCAGCCGCTTTGAAGTCAAAGGTAGAAAAGGAAATAACTTCCTATAAAAACTAGACAGAATGATTCTCAGAAACTCCTTTGTGATGTGTACGTTCAACTCACAGAGTTTAACCTTTCTTTTCATAGAGCAGTTAGGAAACACTCTGTTTGTAAAGTCTGCAAGTGGATATTGAGACCTCTTTGAGGCCTTCGTTGGAAACGGGTTTTTTTCATGTAAGGCTAGACAGAAGAATTCTCAGTAACTTCCTTGTGTTGTGTGTATTCAACTGACAGAGTTGAACTTTCATTTAGAGAGAGCAGATTTGAAACCCTGTTTTGTGGAATTTGCAAGTGGAGATTTCAAGCGCTTTGGGGCCAAAGGCAGAAAAGGAAATATCTTCGTATAAAAACTAGACAGAATGATTCTCAGAAACTGCTCTGCGATGTGTGCGTTCACCTCTCAGAGTTTAACTTTTCTTTTCATTCAGCAGTTTGGAAACCCTCTGTTTGTAAAGTCTGCACGTGCATAATTTGACCACTTAGAGGCCTTCGTTGGCAACGGGTTTTTTTCATGTAAGGCTAGACAGAAGAATTCCCAGTAACTTCCCTTGTGTTGTGTACATTTAACTCACAGAGTTGAACGTTCCCTTAGACAGAGCAGATTTGAAACACTCTTTTTGTGCAATTGGCAAGTGGAGATTTCAAGCGCTTTAAGGTCAATGGCAGAAAAGGAAATATCTTATTTTCAAAACTAGACAGAACGATTCTCAGAAACTCCTTTGTGATGTGTGCGTTCAACTCACAGAGTTTAACCTTTCTTTTCATAGAGCAGTTAGGAAACTGTCTGTTTGTAAAGTCTGCAAGTGGATATTCAGACCTCTTTGAGGCCTTCGTTGGAAACGGGATTTCTTCATATTCTGCTAGACAGAAGAATTCTCAGTAACTTCCTTGTGTTGTGTGTATTGAACTCGCAGAGTTGAACGATCCTTTACAGAGAGCAGACTTGAAACACTCTTTTTGTGGAATTTGCAAGTGGAGATTTCAGCCGCTTTGAGGTCAATGGTAGAAAAGGAAATATCTTCGTATAAAGACTAGACAGAATGATTCTCAGAAACTCCTTTGTGATGTGTGCGTTCAACACACAGAGTTTAACTTTTCTTTTCATAGAGAAGTTAGTAAACACTCTGTTTATAAAGTCTGCAAGTGGATATTCAGACCCCTTTGAGGCCTTCGTTGGAAACGGGATTTCTTCATATTATGCTAGACAGAAGAATTCCAAGTAACTTCCTTGTGTTGTGTGTGTCCAACTCACAGAGTTGAACTTTCATTTACACAGAGCAGATTTGAAACACTCTTTTTGTGGAATTTGCAAATGGAGATTTCAAGCGCTTTGAGGCCAAAGGCAGAAAAGGAAATATCTTCGTATAAAAACCAGACAGAATCATTCTCAGAAACTGCTCGTGCGATGTGTGCGTTCGACTCTCAGAGTTTAACTTTTCTTTTCATTCAGCAGTTTGGAAACACTCTGTTTGTAAAGTCTGCACGTGGATAATTTGACCACTTAGAGGCCTTCGTTGGAAACGGGTTTTTTTCATGTAAGGCTAGACAGAAGAATTCCCAGTAACTTCCTTGTGTTGTGTACATTCAACTCACAGAGTTGAACCGTTCCCTTAGACAGAGCAGATTTGAAACACTCTTTTTGTGCAATTGGCAAGTGGAGATTTCAAGCGCTTTAAGGTCAATGGCAGAAAAGGAAATATCTTCGTTTCAAAACTAGGCAGAATGATTCTCAGAAACTCCTTTGTGATGTGTGCGTTCAACTCACAGAGTTTAACCTTTCTTTTCATAGAGCAGTTAGGAAACGCTCTGTTTGTAAAGTCTGCAAGTGGATATTCAGACATCCTTGAGGCTTTCGTTGGAAACGGGATTTCTTCATATTCTGCTAGAAAGAAGAATTCTCAGTAACTTCCTTGTGTTGTGTGCATTCAACTCACAGAGTTGAACGATCCTTTACACAGAGCAGACTTGAAACACTCTTTTTGTGGAATTTGCAAGTGGAGATTTCAGCCGCTTTGAGGTCAATGGTAGAAAAGGATACTATCTTCGTATAAAGACTAGACAGAATGATTCTCAGAAACTCCTTTGTGATGTGTGCGTTCAACTCACAGAGTTTAACCTTTCTTTTCATAGAGCAGTTAGGAAACACTCTGTTTGTAAAGTCTGCAAGTGGATATTCAGACATCTTTGAGGCTTTCGTTGGAAACGGGATTTCTTCATATTCTGCTAGACAGAAGAATTCTCAGTAACTTCCTTCTGTTGTGTGTATTCAACTCACAGAGTTGAACGATCCTTTACACAGAGCAGACTTGAAACACTCTTTTTGTGGAATTTGCAAGTGGAGATTTCAGCCGCTTTGAGGTCAATGGTAGAATAGGAAATATCTTCCTATAGAAACTAGACAGAATCATTCTCAGAAACTGCTCTGCGATGTGTGCGTTCAACTCTCAGAGTTTAACTTTTCTTTTCATTCAGCAGTTTGGAAACACTCTGTTTGTAAATTCTGCACGTGGATAACTTGACCACTTAGAGGCCTTCGTTGGAAACGGGTTTTTTTCCTGTAAGGCTAGACAGAAGAATTCCCAGTAACTTCCTTGTGTTGTGTACATTCAACTCACAGAGTTGAACGTTCCCTTAGACAGAGCAGATTTGAAACACTCTTTTTGTGCAATTGGCAAATGGAGATTTCAAGCGCTTTAAGGTCAATGGCAGAAAAGGAAATATCTTCGTTTCAAAACTAGACAGAATCATTCCCACAAACTGCGTTGTGATGTGTTCGTTCAACTCACAGAGTTTAACCTTTCTGTTCATAGAGCAGTTAGGAAACACTGTGTTTGTAAAGTCTGTAAGTGGATATTCTGACATCTTGTGGCCTTCGTTGGAAACGGGATTTCTTCATTTTCTGCTAGACAGAAGAATTCTCAGTAACTTCCTTGTGTTGTGTTTATTCAACTCACAGAGTTGAACGATCCTATACACAGAGCAGACTTGAAACACTCTTTTTGTGGAATTTGCAAGTGGAGATTTCAGCCGCTTTGAGGTCAATGGTAGAATAGGAAATATCTTCCTATAGAAACTAGACAGAGTGATTCTCAGAAACTCCTTTGGGATGTCTGCGTTCAACTCACAGAGTTTAACCTTTCTTTTCATAGAGCAGTTAGGAAACACTCTGTTTGTAAAGTCTGCAAGTGGATATTCAGACCTCCTTGAGGCCTTCGTTGGAAACGGGATTTCTTCATATTCTGCTATACAGAAGAATTCTCAGAAACTTCCTTGTGTTGTGTGTATTCAACTCACAGAGTTGAACGATCGTTTACACAGAGCAGACTTGAGACACTCTTTTTGTGGAATTTGTAAGTGGAGATTTCAGCCGCTTTGAGGTCAATGGTAGAAAAGGAAATATCTTCATATAAAGACTAGACAGAATCATTCTCAGAAACTGCTCTGCGATGTGTGCGTTCAACTCTCAGAGTTTAACTTTTCTTTTCATTCAGCAGTTTGGAAACACTCTGGTTGTAAAGTCTGCACGTGGATAACTTGACCACTTAGAGGCCTTCGTTGGAAACGGGTTTTTTTCCTGTAAGGCTAGACAGAAGAATTCCCAGTAACTTCCTTGTGTTGTGTACATTCAACTCACAGAGTTGAACGTTCCCTTAGACAGAGCAGATTTGAAACACTCTTTTTGTGCAATTGGCAAGTGGAGATTTCAAGCGCTTTGAGGTCAATGGCAGAAAAGGAAATATCTTCGTTTCAAAACTAGACAGAATGATTCTCAGAAACTCCTTTGTGATGTGTGAGTTCAACTCACAGAGTTTATCCTTTCTTTTCATAGAGCAGTTAGGAAACACTCTGTTTGTAAAGTGTGCAAGTGGATATTCAGACCTCTTTGAGGCCTTCGTTGGAAACGGGATTTCTTCATATTCTGCTAGACAGAAGAATTCTCAGTAACTTCCTTGTGTTGTGTGCATTGAACTCACAGAGTTGAACGATCCTTTACACAGGGCAGACTTGAAACACTCTTTTTGTGGAATTTGCAAGCGGAGATTTCAGCCTCTTTGAGGTTAATGGTAGAAATTGAAATATCTTCGTATAGAAACTAGACAAAATGATTCTCAGAAACTCCTTTGTGATGTGTGCGTTCAACTCACAGAGTTTAACTTTTCTTTTCATAGAGCAGTTAGGAAACACTCTGTTTGTAAAGTCTGCAAGTGGATATTCAGACCTCTTTGAGGCCTTCGTTGGAAACGGGATTCTTCATATTATGCTAGACAGAAGTATTCTCAGTAACTTCCTTGTGTTGTGTGTATTCAACTGACAGAGTTGAACTTTCATTTAGAGAGAGCAGATTTGAAACACTGTTTTTGTGGAATTTGCAAGTGGAGATTTCAAGCGCTTTGGGGCCAAAGGCAGAAAAAGAAATATCTTCGTATAAAAACTAGACAGAATCATTCTCAGAAACTGCTCTGCGATGTGTGCGTTCAACTCTCAGAGTTTAACTTTTCTTTTCATTCAGCAGTTTGGAAACACTCTGTTTGTAAAGTCTGCACGTGGATATTTTGAGCACTTAGAGGCCTTCGTTGGAAACGGGTTTTTTTCCTGTAAGGCTAGACAGAAGAATTCCCAGTAACTTCCTTGTGTTGTGTACATTCAACTCACAGAGTTGAACGTTCCCTTAGACAGAGCAGATTTGAAACACTCTTTTTGTGCAATTGGCAAATGGAGATTTCAAGCGCTTTAAGGTCAATGGCAGAAAAGGAAATATCTTCGTTTCAAAACTAGACAGAATCATTCCCACAAACTGCGTTGTGATGTGTTCGTTCAACTCACAGAGTTTAACCTTTCTTTTCATAGAGCAGTTAGGAAACAGTCTGTTTGTCAATTCTGTAAGTGGATATTCTGACATCTTGTGGCCTTCGTTGGAAACGGGATATTCTTCATATTCTGCTAGACAGAAGAATTCTCAGTAACTTCCTTGTGTTGTGTGTATTCAACTCACAGAGTTGAACGATCCTTTACACAGAGCAGACTTGAAACACTCTTTTTGTGGAATTTGCAAGTGGAGATTTCAGGCGCTTTGAGGTCAATAGTAGAAAAGGAAATATCTTCGTAGAAAAACTAGACAGAATGATTCTCAGAAACTCCTTTGTGATGTGTGTGTTCAACTCACAGAGTTTAACCTTTCTTTTCATAGAGCAGTTAGTAAACACTCTGTTTATAACGTCTGCAAGTGGATATTCAGACCCCTTTGAGGCCTTCGTTGGAAACGGGATTTCTTCATATTATGCTAGACAGAAGAATTCTCAGTAACTTCCTTGTGTTGTGTGTATTCAACTGACAGAGTTGAACTTTCTTTTAGAGAGAGCAGATTTGAAACACTGTTTTTGTGGAATTTGCAAGTGGAGATTTCAAGCGCTTTGGGGCCAAAGGCAGAAAAGGAAATATCTTCGTATAAAAACTAGACAGAATCATTCTCAGAAACTGCTCTGCGATGTGTGCGTTCAACTCTCAGAGTTTAACTTTTCTTTTCATTCAGCAGTTTGGAAACACTCTGTAAACTCTGCATGTGGATATTTTGACCACTTAGAGGCCTTCGTTGGAAACGGGTTTTTTTCCTGTAAGGCTAGACAGAAGAATTCCCAGTAACTTCCTTGTGTTGTGTACATTCAACTCACAGAGTTGAACGTTCCCTTAGACAGAGCAGATTTGAAACACTCTTTTTGTGCAATTGGCAAGTGGTGATTTCAGCCGCTTTGAGGTCAATGGTAGAAAAGGAAATATCTTCGTATAAAAACTAGACAGAATGATTCTCAGAAACTTCATTGTGATGTGTGCGTTCAACTCACAGAGTTTAACCTTTCTTTTCATACAGCAGTTAGGAAACACTCTGTTTGTAAACTCTGCAAGTCGATATTCACACCTCTTTGAGGCCTTCGTTGGAAACGGGATTTCTTCATACTATGCTAGACAGAAGAATTCTCAGTAACTTCCTTGTGTTGTGTGTATTCAACTCACAGAGTTGAACGATCCTTTACACAGAGCAGACTTGTAACACTCTTTTTGTGGAATTTGCAAGTGGAGATTTCAGCCGCTTTGAAGTCAAAGGTAGAAAAGGAAATAACTTCCTATAAAAACTAGAAAGAATGATTCTCAGAAACTCCTTTGTGATGTGTGTGTTCAACTCACAGAGTTTAACCTTTCTTTTCATAGAGCAGTTAGTAAACACTCTGTTTATAAAGTCTCCAAGTGGATATTCAGACCCCTTTGAGGCCTTCGTTGGAAACGGGATTTCTTCATATTATGCTAGACAGAAGAATTCCCAGTAACTTCTTTGTGTTGTGTGTGTTCAACTCACAGAGTTGAACTTTCATTTACACAGAGCAGATTTGAAACACTCTTTTTGTGGAATTTGCAAGTGGAGATTTCAAGCGCTTTGAGGCCAAAGGCAGAAAAGGAAATATCTTTGTATAAAAACTAGACAGAATCATTCTCAGAAACTGCTCTGCGATGTGTGTGTTCAACTCTCAGAGTTTAACTTTTCTTTTCATTCAGCAGTTTGGAAACACTCTGTTTGTAAAGTCTCCACGTGGATAATTTGACCACTTAGAGGCCTTCGTTGGAAACGGGTTTTTTTCATGTAAGGCTAGACAGAAGAATTCTCAGAATCTTCCTTGTGTTGTGTGTATTCAACTCACACAGTTGAACGACGGTTTACACAGAGCAGATTTGAAACACTCTTTTTGTGGAATTTGCAAGTGGAGATTTCAGCTGCTTTGAGGTCAATGGTAGAAAAGGAAATATCTTCGTATAAAAACTAGACAGAATGATTCTCAGAAACTTCTTTGTGATGTGTGCGTTCAACTCACAGAGTTTAACCTTTCTTTTCATAGAGCAGTTAGGAAACACTCTGTTTGTAAACTCTGCAAGTGGATATTCAGACCTTTTTGAGGCCTTCGTTGGAAACGGGATTTCTTCATACTGTGCTAGACAGAATAATTCTCAGTAACTTCCTTGTGTTGTGTGTATTCAACTCACAGAGTTGAAGGATCCTTTACAGAGAGCAGGCTTGAAACACTCTTTTTGTCGAATTTGCAAGTGGAGATTTCAGCCGCTTTCAGGTCAATGGTAGAATAGGAAGTATCTTCTTATAGAAACTAGACAGAATGATTCTCAGAAACTCTTTTGTGATGTGTGCGTTCAACTCACAGAGTTTAACCTTTCTTTTCATAGAGCAGTTAGGAAACACTCTGTTTGTAAAGGCTGCACGTGGATATTTGGACTTCTTTGAGGCCTTCATTGGAAACGGGTTTTTTTCATGTAAGGCTAGACAGAAGAATTCCCAGTAACTTCCTTGTGTTGTGTGTGTTCAAATCACAGAGTTGAACTTTCATTTACACAGAGCAGATTTGAAACACTCTTTTTGTGGAATTTGCAAATGGAGATTTCAAGCGCTTTGAGGCCAAAGGCAGAAAAGGAAATATCTTCGTATAAAAACTAGACAGAATCATTCTCAGAAACTGCTCTGCGATGTGTGCGTTCAACTCTCAGAGTTTAACTTTTCTTTTCATTCAGCAGTTTGGAAACACTCTGTTCGTAAAGTCTGCACGTGGATAACTTGACCACTTAGAGGCCTTCGTTGGAAACGGGTTTTTTTCCTGTAAGGCTAGACAGAAGAATTCCCAGTAACTTCCTTGTGTTGTGTGCATTCAACTCACAGAGTTGAACGTTCCCTTAGACAGAGCAGATTTGAAACACTCTGTGCAATTTGCAAGTGTAGATTTCAAGCGCTTTAAGGTCAACGGCAGAAAAGGAAATATCTTCGTTTCAAAACTAGACAGAAATCATTCCCACAAACTGCGTTGTGATGTGTTCGTTCAACTCACAGAAGTTTAACCTTTCTTTTCATAGAGCAGTTAGGAAACAGTCTGTTTGTAAATTCTGTAAGTGGATATTCTGACATCTTGTGGCCTTCGTTGGAAACGGGATTTCTTCATATTCTGCTAGACAGAAGAATTCTCAGTAACTTCCTTGTGTTGTGTGTATTCAACTCACGGAGTTGAACGATCGTTTACACAGAGCAGACTTGAAACACTCTTTTTGTGGAATTTGCAAGTGGAGATTTCAGCCGCGTTGAGGTCAATGGTAGAAAAGGAAATATCTTCGTATAAAAACTAGACAGAATGATTCTCAGAAACTTCATTGTGATGTGTGCGTTCAACTCACAGAGTTTAACCTTTCTTTTCATAGAGCAGTTAGGAAACACTCTGTTTGTAAACTCTGCAAGTGGATATTCAGACCTCTTTCAGGCCTTCGTTGGAAACGGGATTTCTTCATACTGTGCTAGACAGAAGATTTCCCAGTAACTTCCTTGTGTTGTGTGTGTTCAACTCACAGAGTTGAACTTTCATTTACACAGAGCAGATTTGAAACACTCTTTTTGTGGAATTTGCAAATGGAGATTTCAAGCGCTTTGAGGCCAAAGGCAGAAAAGGAAATATCTTCGTATAAAAACTAGACAGAATCATTCTCAGAAACTGCTCTGCGATGTGTGCGTTCAACTCTCACAGTTTAACTTTTCTTTTCATTCAGCAGTTTGGAAACACTCTGTTTGTAAAGTCTGCACGTGGATAATTTGACCACTTAGAGGCCTTTGTTGGAAACGGGTTATTTTCATGTAAGGCTAGACAGAAGAATTCCCAGTAACTTCCTTGTGTTGTGTGCAATCAAATCACAGAGTTGAACGTTCCCTTAGACAGAGTAGATTTGAAACACTCTATTTGTGCAATTTGCAAGTGTAGATTTCAAGCGCTTTAAGGTCAAAGGCAGAAAAGGAAATATCTTCGTTTCAAAACTAGACAGAACGATTCTCAGAAACTCCTTTGTGATGTGTGCGTTGAACTCACAGAGTTTAACCTTTCTTTTCATAGAGCAGTTAGGAAACACTCTGTTTGTAAAGTCTGCAAGTGGATATTCAGACCTCTTTGAGGCCTTCGTTGGAAACGGGATTTCTCCATATTCTGCTAGACAGAAGAATTCTCAGTAACTTCCTTGTGTTGTGTGTATTCAACTCACAGAGTTGAACGATCCTTTAAACAGAGCAGACTTGAAACACTCTTTTTGTGGAATTTGCAAGTGGAGATTTCAGCCGCTTTGAGGTCAATGGTAGAAAAGGAAACTACCTTCATATAAAGACTAGACAGAATGATTCTCAGAAACTCCTTTGTGATGTGTGCGTTCAACTCACAGAGTTTAACCTTTCTTTTCATAGAGCAGTTAGGAAACACTCTGCTTGTAAAGTCTGCAAGTGGATATTCAGTCCTCTTTGAGGCCTTCGTTGGAAACGGGTTTTTTTCATATAAGGCTAGACAGAAGAATTCCCAGTAACTTCCCTTGTGTTGTGTGTGTTCAACTCACAGAGTTGAACTTTCATTTACACAGAGCAGATTTGAAACACTCTTTTTGTGGAATTTGCAGGTGGAGATTTCAAGCGCTTTGAGGCCAAAGGCAGAAAAGGAAATATCTTCGTATAAAAACTAGACAGAATCATTCTCAGAAACTGCTCTGCGATGTGTGCGTTCAACTCTCAAGAGTTTAACTTTTCTTTTCATTCAGCAGTTTGGAAACACTCTGTTTGTAAAGTCTGCACGTGGATATTTTGACCACTTAGAGGCCTTCGTTGGAAACGGGTTTTTTTCCTGTAAGGCTAGACAGAAGAATTCCCAGTAACTTCCTTGTGTTGTGTACATTCAACTCACAGAGTTGAACGTTCCCTTAGACAGAGCAGATTTGAAACACTCTTTTTGTGCAATTGGCAAGTGGTGATTTCAGCCGCTTTGAGGTCAATGGTAGAAAAGGAAATATCTTCGTATAAAAACTAGACAGAATGATTCTGAGAAACTCCTTTGTGATGTGTGCGTTAAACTCACAGAGTTTACCCTTTCTTTTCATAGAGCAGTTAGGAAACACTCTGTTTGTAAAGTCTGCAAGTGGATATTCAGACATCCTTGAGGCTTTCGTTGGAAACGGGATTTCTTCATATTCTGCCAGAAAGAAGAATTCTCAGTAACTTCCTTGTGTTGTGTGTATTCAACTCACACAGTTGAACGATCCTTTACACAAAGCAGACTTGTAACACTCTTTTTGTGGAATTTGCAAGTGGGGATTTCAGCCGCTTTGAAGTCAAATGTAGAAAAGGAAATATCTTCCTATAAAAACTAGACAGAATGATTCTCAGAAACTTCTTTGTGATGTGTGCGTTCAACTCACAGAGTTTAACCTTTCTTTTCATAGAGCAGTTAGGAAACACTCTGTTTGTAAACTCTGCAAGTGGATATTCAGACCTACTTTGAGGCCTTCGTTGGAAACGGGATTTCTTCATACTGTGCTAGACAGAAGAATTCTCAGTAACTTCCTTGTGTTGTGTGTATTCAACTCACAGAGTTGAACGATCGTTTACACAGAGCGGACTTGAAACACTCTTTTTGTGGAATTTGCAATTGGAGATTTCAGCCGCGTTGAGGTCAATGGTAGAAAAGGAAATCTCTTCGTATAAAAACTAGACAGAACCATTCTCAGAAACTGCTCTGCGATGTGTGCGTTCAACTCTCAGAGTTTAACTTTTCTTTTCATTCAGCAGTTTGGAAACACTCTGTTTGTAAAGTCTGCACGTGGATATTTTGACCACTTAGAGGCCTTCGTTGGAAACGGGTTTTTTTCCTGTAAGGCTAGACAGAAGAATTCCCAGTAACTTCCTTGTGTTGTCTACATTCAACTCACAGAGTTGAACGTTCCCTTAGACAGAGCAGATTTGAAACACTCTTTTTGTGCAATTGGTAAGTGGTGATTTCAGCCGCTTTGAGGTCAAAGGTAGAAAAGGAAATATCTTCGTATAAAAACTAGACAGAATCATTCCCAAAAACTGCGTTGTGATGTGCTCGTTCAACTCACAGAGTTTAACCTTTCTTTTCATAGAGCAGTTAGGAAACAGTCTGTTTGTAAATTCTGTAAGTGGATATTCTGACATCTTGTGGCCTTCGTTGGAAACGGGATTTCTTCATATTCTGCTAGACAGAAGAATTCTCAGTAACTTCCGCGTGTTGTGTGTATTCAACTCACAGAGTTGAACGATCCTTTACACAGAGCAGACTTGACACACTCTTTTTGTGGAATTTGCAAGTGGAGATTTCAGCCGCTTTGAGGTCAATGGTAGAAAAGGAAATATCTTCGTATAAAAACTAGACAGAATGATTCTCAGAAACTCCTTTGTGATGTGTGCGTTCAACTCACAGAGTTTAACCTTTCTTTTCATAGAGCAGTTAGGAAACACTCTGTTTGTAAAGTCTGCAAGTGGATATTCAGCCCTCTTTGAGGCCTTCGTTGGAAACGGTTTTTTTTCATATAAGGCTAGACAGAAGAATTCTCAGTAACTTCCTTGTGTTGTGTGTATTCAACTCACAGAGTTGAACTTTCATTTAGAGAGAGCAGATTTGAAACACTGTTTTTGTGGAATTTGCAAGTGGAGATTTCAAGCGCTTTGCGGCCAAAGGTAGAAAACGAAATATCTTCGTATAAAAACTAGACAGAATCATTCTCAGAAACTGCTGCGTGATGTGTGCGCTCAACTCTCAGAGTTTAACTTTTCTTTTCATTCAGCGGTTTGGAAACACTCTGTTTGTAAAGTCTGCACGTGGACATTTTGACCACTTAGAGGCCTTCGTTGGAAACGGGTTTTTTTCATGTAAGGCTAGACAGAAGAATTCTCAGTAACTTCCTTGTGTTGTGTGTATTCAACTCACAGAGTTCAACGATGCTTTACACAGAGTAGACTTGAAACACACTTTTTGTTGAATTTGCAACTGGAGATTTCAGCCGCTTTGAGGTCAATGGTAGAATAGGTAATATCTTCCTATAGAAACTAGACAGAATGATTCTCAGAAACTCCTTTGTGATGTGTGCGCTCAACTCACAGAGTTTAGCCTTTCTTTTCATGGAGCAGTTAGGAAACACTCTGTTTGTAAAGTCTGCAAGTGGATATTCAGACCTCTTTGAGGCCTTCGTTGGAAACGGGATTTCTTCATATTCTGCTAGACAGAAGAATTCTCAGAAACTTCCTTGTGTTGTGTGTATTCAACTCACAGAGTTGAACGATCCTTTACACAGAGCAGACTTGAAACACTCTTTTTGTGGAATTTGCAAGTGGAGATTTCAGCCGCTTTGAGGTCAATGTTAGAATAGGAAATATCTTCCTATAGAAACTAGACAGAATGATTCTCAGAATCTCCTTTGTGATGTGTGCGTTCAACTCACAGAGTTTAACCTTTCTTTTCATAGAGCAGTTAGGAAACACTCTGTTTGTAAAGTCTGCAAGTGGATATTCAGACCTCTTTGAGGCCTTCGTTGGAAACGGGTTTTTTTCATATAAGGCTAGACAGAAGAATTCCCAGTAACTTCCTTGTGTTGTGTGTGTTCAACTCACAGAGTTGAACTTTGATTTACACAGAGCAGATTTGAAACACTCTTTTTGTGGAATTTGCAGGTGGAGATTTCAAGCGCTTTGAGGCCAAAGGCAGAAAAGGAAATATCTTCGTATAAAAACTAGACAGAATCATTCTCAGAAACTGCTCTGCGATGTGTGCGTTCAACTCTCAGAGTTTAACTTTTCTTTTCATTCAGAAGTTTGGAAACACTCTGTTTGTAAAGTCTGCACGTGGATAACTTGACCACTTAGAGGCCTTCGTTGGAAACGGGTTTTTTTCATGTACGGCTAGACAGAAGAATTCCCAGTAACTTCCTTGTGTTGTGTGCATTCAACTCACAGAGTTGAACGTTCCCTTAGACAGAGCAGATTTGAAACACTCTATTTGTGCAATTTGCAAGTGTAGATTTCAACCGCTTTAAGGTCAATGGCAGAAAAGGAAATATCTTCGTTTCAAAACTAGACAGAATCATTCTCAGAAACTGCTCTGCGATGTGTGCGTTCAACTCTCAGAGTTTAACTTTTCTTTTCATTCAGCAGTTTGGAAACACTCTGTTTGTAAAGTCTGCACGTGGATAATTTGTCCACTTAGAGGCCTTCGTTGGAAACGGGTTTTTTTCATGTAAGGCTAGACAGAAGAATTCTCAGTAACTTCCTTGTGTTGTGTGTATTCAACTCACAGAGTTGAACGATCCTTTACACAGAGCAGACTTGTAACACTCTTTTTGTGGAATTTGCAAGTGGAGATTTCAGCTGCTTTGAAGTCAAAGGTAGAAAAGGAAATATCTTCCTATAAAAACTAGACAGAATGATTGTCAGAAACTCCTTTGTGATGTGTGCGTTCAACTCACAGAGTTTAACCTTTCTTTTCATAGAGCAGTTAGGAAACACTCTGTTTGTAAAGTCTGCAAGTGGATATTCAGACTTCTTTGAAGCCTTCGTTGGAAGCGGGATTTCTTCATATTCTGCTAGAAAGAAGAATTCCCAGTAACTTCCCTTGTGTTGTGTGTGTTCAACTCACAGAGTTGAACTTTCATTTACACAGAGCAGATTTGAAACACTCTTTTTGTGGAATTTGCAAGTGGAGATTTCAAGCGCTTTGAGGCCGAAGGCAGAAAAGGAAATATCTTCGTTTCAAAACTAGACAGAATCATTCTCAGAAACTGCTCTGCGATGTGTGTGTTCAACTCTCAGAGTTTAACTTTTCTTTTCATTCAGCAGTTTGGAAACACTCTGTTTGTAAAGTCTGCACGTGGATATTTTGACCACTTAGAGGCCTTCGTTGGAAACGGGTTTTTTTCCTGTAAGGCTAGACAGTAGAATTCCCAGTAACTTCCTTGTGTTGTGTGCATTCAACTCACAGAGTTGAACGTTCCCTTAGACAGAGCAGATTTGAAACACTCTATTTGTGCAATTTGCAAGTGTAGTTTTCAAGCTCTTTAAGGTCAACGGCAGAAAAGGAAATATCTTGGTTTCAAAACTAGACAGAATCATTCCCACAAACTGCGTTGTGATGTGTTCGTTCAACTCACAGAGTTTAACCTTTCTTTTCATAGAGCAGTTAGGAAACAGTCTGTTTGTAAATTCTGTAAGTGGATATTCTGACATCCTTGTGGCCTTCGTTGGAAACGGGATTTCTTCATATTCTGCTAGACAGAAGAATTCTCAGTAACTTCCTTGTGTTGAGTGTATTCAACTCACAGAGTTGAACGATCCTTTACACAGAGCAGACTTGTAACACTCTTTTTGTGGAATTTGCAAGTGGAGATTTCAGCCGCTTTGAAGTCAAAGGTAGAAAAGGAAATATCTTCCTATAAAAACTAGACAGAATGATTCTCAGAAACTCCTTTGAGATGTGTGTGTTCAACTCACAGAGTTTAACCTTTCTTTTCATAGAGCAGTTAGGAATCACTCTGTTTGTAAAGTCTGCAGGTGGATATTCAGACCTCTTTGAGGCCTTCGTTGGAAACGGGTTTTTTTCATATAAGGCTAGAGAGAAGAATTCCCAGTAACTTCCTTGTGTTGGCTGTGTTCAACTCACAGAGTTGAACTTTCATTTACACAGAGCAGATTTGAAACACTCTTTTTGTGGAATTTGCAAATGGAGATTTCAAGCGCTTTGAGGCCAAAGGCAGAAAAGGAAATATCTTCGTATAAAAACTCGACAGAATCATTCTCAGAAACTGCTCTGCGATGTGTGCGTTCAACTCTCAGAGTTTAACTTTTCTTTTCATTCAGCAGTTTGGAAACACTCTGTTTGTAAAGTCTTCACGTGGATAATTTGACCACTTAGAGGCCTTCGTTGGAAACGGGTTTTTTTCATGTAAGGCTAGACAGAAGAATTCCCAGTAACTTCCTTGTGTTGTGTACATTCAACTCACAGAGTTGAACGTTCCCTTAGACAGAGCAGATTTGAAACACTCTTTTTGTGCAATTGGCAAGTGGAGATTTCAAGCGCTTTAAGGTCAATGGCAGAAAAGGAAATATCTTCGTTTCAAAACTAGACAGAATCATTCTCAGAAACTGCTCTGCGATGTGTGTGTTCAACTCTCAGAGTTTAACTTTTCTTTTCATTCAGCAGTTTGGAAACACTCTGTTTGTAAAGTCTGCACGTGGATAATTTGACCACTTAGAGGCCTTCATTGGAAACGGGTTTTTTTCATGTAAGGCTAGACAGAAGAATTCTCAGTAACTTCCTTGTGTTGTGTGTATTCAACTCACAGAGTTGACCGATCCTTTACACAGAGCAGACTTGTAACACTCTTTTTGTGGAATTTGCAAGTGGAGATTTCAGCCGCTTTGAAGTCAATGGTAGAAAAGGAAATATCTTCCTATAAAAACTAGACAGAATGATTCTCAGAAACTCCTTTGTGATGTGTGCGTTCAACTCACAGAGTTTAACCTTCCTTTTCATAGAGCAGTTAGGAAACACTCTGCTTGTAAAGTCTGCAAGTGGATATTCAGACCTCTTTGAGGCCTTCCTTGGAAACGGGATTTTTTCATATAAGGCTAGACAGAAGAATTCCCAGTAACTTCCTTGTGTTGTGTGTATTCAACTCACAGAGTTGAACTTTCATTTACACAGAGCAGATTTGAAACACTCTTTTTGTGGTATTTGCAAGTGGAGATTTCAGCCGCTTTGATGTCAATGATAGAAAAGGAAATATCTTCGTATAAAAACTAGACAGAATCATTCTCAGAAACTGCTGCGTGATGTGTGCGTTCAACTCTCAGAGTTTAACTTTTCTTTTCATTCAGCGGTTTGGAAACACTCTGTTTGTAAAGTCTGCACGTGGATATTTTGACCACTTAGAGGTCTTCGTTGGAAACGGGTTTTTTTTAATGTAAGGCTAGACAGAAGAATTCCCAGTAACTTCCTTGTGTTGTGTACATTCAACTCACAGAGTTGAACGTTCCCTTAGACAGAGCAGATTTGAAACACTCTTTTTGTGCAATTGGCAAATGGAGATTTCAAGCGCTTTAAGGTCAATGGCAGAAAAGGAAATATCTTCGTTTCAAAACTAGACAGAATCATTCCCACAAACTGCGTTGTGATGTGTTCGTTCAACTCACAGAGTTTAACCTTTCTGTTCATAGAGCAGTTAGGAAACACTCTGTTTGTAAAGTCTGCAAGTGGATATTCAGACCTCCTTGAGGCTTTCGTTGGAAACGGGATTTCTTCATATTCTGCTAGACAGAGAAGATTCTCAGAAACTTCCTTGTGTTGTGTGTTTTCAACTCACAGAGTTGAACGATCCTTTACACAGAGCAGACTTGAAACACTCCTTTTGTGGAATTTGCAAGTGGAGATTTCAGCCGCTTTGAGGTCAATGGTAGAATAGGAAATATCTTCCTATAGAAACTAGACAGATGATTCTCAGAAACTCCTTTGAGATGTGTGCGTTCAACTCACAGAGTTTAACCTTTCTTTTCATAGAGCAGTTAGGAAACACTCTGTTTGTAAAGTCTGCAAGTTGATATTCAGACCTCCTTGAGGCCTTCGTTGGAAACGGGATTTCTTCATATTATGCTAGACAGAAGAATTCCCAGTAACTTCCCTTGTGTTGTGTGTGTTCAACTCACAGAGTTGAACTTTCATTTACACAGAGCAGATTTGAAACACTCTTTTTGTGGAATTTGCAAATGGAGATTTCAAGCGCTTTGCGGCCAAAGGCAGAAAAGGAAATATCTTCGTATAAAAACTAGACAGAATCATTCTCAGAAACTGCTCTGCGATGTGTGCGTTTAACTCTCAGAGTTTAACTTTTCTTTTCATTCAGCAGTTTGGAAACACTCTGTTTGTAAAGTCTGCACGTGGATAACTTGACCACTTAGAGGCCTTCGTTGGAAACGGGTTTTTTTCATGTAAGGCTAGACAGAAGAATTCCCAGTAACTTCCTTGTGTTGTGTGCATTCAACTCACAGAGTTGAACGTTCCCTTAGACAGAGCAGATTTGAAACACTCTATTTGTGCAATTTGCAAGTGTAGTTTTCAAGCTCTTTAAGGTCAACGGCAGAAAAGGAAATATCTTGGTTTCAAAACTAGACAGAATCATTCTCAGAAACTGCTCTGCGATGTGTGCTTTCAACTCTCAGAGTTTAACTTTTCTTTTCATTCAGCAGTTTGGAAACACTCTGTTTGTAAAGTCTGCACGTGGATAACTTGACCACTTAGAGGCCTTCGTTGGAAACGGGTTTTTTTCATGTAAGGCTAGACAGAAGAATTCTCAGTAACTTCCTTGTATTGTGTGTATTCAACTCACATAGTTGAACGATCCTTTACACAGAGCATACTTGAAACACTCTTCTTGTGGAATTTGCAAGTGGAGATTTCAGCCGCTTTGAGGTCAATGGTAGAATAGGAAATATCTTCCTATAGAAACTAGACAGAATGATTCTCAGAAACTCCTTTGTGATGTGTGCGTTCAACTCACAGAGTTTAACCTTTGTTTTCATAGAGCAGTTAGGAAACACTCTGTTTGTAAAGTCTGCAAGTGGATATTCAGACCTGCTTGAGGCCTTCTTTGGAAACGGGATTTCTTCTTATTATGCCAGACAGAAGAATTCCCAGTAACTTCCTTGTGTTGTGTGTGTTCAACTCACAGAGTTGAACTTTCATTTACACAGAGCAGATTTGAAACACTCTTTTTGTGGAATTTGCAAATGGAGATTTCAAGCGCTTTGAGGCCAAAGGCAGAAAACGAAATATCTTCGTATAAAAACTAGACAGAATCATTCTCAGAAACTGCTGCGTGATGTGTGCGTTCAACTCTCAGAGTTTAACTTTTCTTTTCATTCAGCGGTTTGGAAACATTCTGTTTGTAAAGTCTGCACGTGGATATTTTGACCACTTAGAGGCCTTCGTTGGAAACGGGTTTTTTTCATGTAAGGCTAGACAGAAGAATTCCCAGGAACTTCCTTGTGTTGTGTACATTCAACTCACAGAGTTGAACGTTCCCTTAGACAGAGCAGATTTGAAACACTCTTTTTGTGCAATTGGCAAATGGAGATTTCAAGCGCTTTAAGTTCAATGGCAGAAAAGGAAATATCTTCGTTTCAAAACTAGACAGAATCATTCCCACAAGCTGCGTTGTGATGTGTTCGTTCAACTCACAGAGTTTAACCTTTCTGTTCATAGAGCAGTTAGGAAACACTCTGTTTGTAAAGTCTGTAAGTGGATATTCTGACATCTTGTGGCCTTCGTTGGAAACGGGATTTCTTCATATTCTGCAAGACAGAAGAATTCTCAGTTACTTCCTTGTGTTGTGTGTATTCAACTCACAGAGTTGAACGATCCTTTACACAGAGCAGACTTGAAACACTCTTTTTATGGAATTTGCAAGTGGAGATTTCAGCCGCTTTGAGGTCAATGGTAGAAAAGGAAATATCTTCGTATAAAGACTAGACAGAATGATTCTCAGAAACTCCTTTGTGATGTGTGCGTTCAACTCACAGAGTTTCACTTTTCTTTTCATAGAGCAGTTAGGAATCACTCTGTTTGTAAAGTCTGCAAGTGGATATTCAGACCTCTTTGAGGCCTTCGGTGGAAACGGGATTTCTTCATATTATGCTAGACAGAAGAATTCTCAGTAACTTCCTTGTGTTGTGTGTATTCAACTCACAGAGTTGAAAGATCCTTTACAGAGAGCAGGCTTGAAACACTCTTTTTGTCGAATTTGCAAGTGGAGATTTCAGCCGCTTTGAGGTCAATGGTAGAATAGGAAATATCTTCTTATAGAAACTAGACAGAATCATTCTCAGAAACTGCTGCGTGATGTGTGCGTTCAACTCTCTGAGTTTAACTTTTCTTTTCATTCAGCGGTTTGGAAACACTCTGTTTGTAAAGTCTGCACGTGGATATTTTGACCACTTAGAGGCCTTCGTTGGAAACGGGTTTTTTTCATGTAAGGCTAGACAGAAGAATTCCCAGTAACTTCCTTGTGTTGTGTGCATTCAACTCACAGAGTTGAACGTTCCCTTAGACAGAGCAGATTTGAAACACTCTATTTGTGCAATTTGCAAGTGTAGATTTCAAGCGCTTTAAGGTCAACGGCAGAAAAGGAAATATGTTCGTTTCAAAACTAGACAGAATGATTCTCAGAAACTCCTTTGTGATGTGTGCGTTCAACTCACAGAGTTTCACCTTTCTTTTCATAGAGCCGTTAGGAAACACTCTGTTTGTAAAGTCTGCAAGTGGATATTCAGACCTCCTTGAGGCCTTCGTTGGAAGCGGGATTTCTTCATATTATGCTAGACAGAAGAATTCTCAGTAACTTCCTTGTGTTGTGTGTATTCAACTCACAGAGTTGAACGATCCTTTACACAGAGCATACTTGAAACACTCTTGTTGTGGAATTTGCAAGTGGAGATTTCAGCCGCTTTGAGGTCAATGGTAGAATAGGAAGTATCTTCCTATAGAAACTAGACAGAATGATTCTCAGAAACTCCTTTGTGATGTGTGCGTTCAACTCACAGAGTTTAACCTTTCTTTTCATAGAGCAGTTAGGAAACACTCTGTTTGTAATGTCTGCAAGTGGATATTCAGACCTCTTTGAGGCCTTCGTTGGAAACGGGATTTCTTCATATTATGCTAGACAGAAGAATTCCCAGTAACTTCCTTGTGTTGTGTGTGTTCAACTCACAGAGTTGAACTTTCATTTACCCAGAGCAGATTTGAAACACTCTTTTTGTGGAATTTGCAAGTGGAGATTTCAAGCGCTTTGAGGCCAAAGGCAGAAAAGGAAATATCTTCGTTTCAAAACTAGACAGCATCATTCTCAGAAACTGCTCTGCGATGTATGCGTTCAACTCTCAGAGTTTAACTTTTCTTTTCATTCAGCAGTTTGGAAACACTCTGTTTGTAAAGTCTGCACGTGGATATTTTGACCACTTAGAGGCCTTGGTTGGAAACGGGTTTTTTTCATGTAAGGCTAGACAGAAGAATTCCCAGTAACTTCCTTGTGTTGTGTACATTCAACTCACAGAGTTGAACGTTCCCTTAGACAGAGCAGATTTGAAACACTCTTTTTGTGCAATTGGCAAGTGGAGATTTCAAGCGCTTTAAGGTCAATGGCAGAAAAGGAAATATCTTCGTTTCAAAACTAGGCAGAATCATTCCCACAAACTGCGTTGTGATGTGTTCGTTCAACTCACAGAGTTTAACCTTTCCGTTCATAGAGCAGTTAGGAAACACACTGTTTGTAAAGTCTGTAAGTGGATATTCTGACATCTTGTGGCCTTCGTTGGAAACGGGATTTCTTCATATTCTGCTAGACAGAAGAATTCTCAGTAACTTCCTTGTGTTGTGTGTATTCAACTCACAGAGTTGCACGATCCTTTACACAGAGCAGACTTGAAACACTCTTTTTGTGGAATTTGCAAGTGGAGATTTCAGCCGCTTTGAGTTCAATGGTAGAATAGGAAATATCTTCCTATAGAAACTAGACAGAATGATTCTCAGAATCTCCTTTGTGATGTGTGCGTTCAACTCACAGAGTTCAACCTTTCTTTTAATAGAGTAGTTGGGAAACACTCTGTTTGTAAAGTCTGCAAGTGGATATTCAGACTTCTTTGAGGCCTTCGTTGGAAGCGGGATTTCTTCATATTCTGCTAGACAGAAGAATTCTCAGTAACCTCCTTGTGTTGTGTGTATTCAACTCACAGAGTTGAACGACCCTTTACACAGAGCAGACTTGAAACACTCTTTTTGTGGAATTTGCAAGTGGAGATTTCAGCCGCTTTGAGGTCAATGGTAGAATAGGAAATATCTTCCTATAGAAACTAGACAGAATCATTCTCAGAAACTGCTGCGTGATGTGTGCGTTCAACTCTCAGAGTTTAACTTTTCTTTTCATTCAGCGGTTTGGAAACCCTCTGTTTGTAAAGTCTGCACGTGGATATTTTGACCACTTAGAGGCCTTCGTTGGAAACGGGTTTTTTGTATGTAAGGCTAGACAGAAGAATTCCCAGTAACTTCCTTGTGTTGTGTGCATTCAACTCACAGAGTTGAACGTTCCCTTAGACAGAGCAGATTTGAAACACTCTATTTGTGCAATTTGCAAGTGTAGATTTCAAGCGCTTTAAGGTCAACGGCAGAAAAGGAAATATCTTCGTTTCAAAACTAGACAGAATGATTCTCAGTAAACTCCTTTGTGACGTGTGCGTTCAACTCACAGAGTTTAACCTTTCTGTTCATAGAGCAGTTAGGAAACACTCTGTTTGTAAAGTCTGCAAGTGGATATTCAGACCTCCTTGAGGCCTTCGTTGGAAACGGGATTTCTTCATATTCTGATAGACAGAAGAATTCTCAGTAACTTCCCTTGTGTTGTGTGTATTCAACTCACAGAGTTGAACGATCCTTTACACAGAGCAGACTTGAAACACTCTTTTTGTGGAATTTGCAAGTGGAGATTTCAGCCGCTTTGAGGTCAATGTTAGAATAGGAAATATCTTCCTATAGAAACTAGACAGAAATGATTCTCAGAAACTCCTTTGTGATGTGTGCGTTCAACTCACAGAGTTTAACCTTTCTTTTCATAGAGCAGTTAGGAAACACTCTGTTTGTAAAGTCTGCAAGTGGATATTCAGACCTGTTTGAGGCCTTCGTTGGAAACGGGTTTTTTTCATATAAGGCTAGACAGAAGAATTCTCAGGAACTTCCTTGTGTTGTGTGTATTCAACTGACAGAGTTGAACTTTCATTTAGAGAGAGCAGATTTGAAACACTGTTTTTGTGGAATTTGCAAGTGGAGATTCCAAGCGCTTTGGGGCCAAAGGCAGAAAAGGAAATATCTTCGTAGAAAAACTAGACAGAATCATTCTCAGAAACTGCTCTGCGATATGTGCGTTCAACTCTCAGAGTTTAACTTTTCTTTTCATTCAGCAGTTTGGAAACACTCTGTTTGTAAAGTCTGCACGTGGATATTTTGACCACTTAGAGGCCTTCGTTGGAAACGGGTTTCTTTCCTGTAAGGCTAGACAGAAGAATTCCCAGTAACTTCCTTGTGTTGTGTACATTCAACACACAGATTTGAACGTTCCCTTAGACAGAGCTGATTTGAAACACTCTTTTTGTGCAATTGGCAAGTGGAGATTTCAAGCGCTTTAAGGTCAATGGCAGAAAAGTAAATATCTTCGTTTCAAAACTAGACAGAATCATTCCCACAAACTGCGTTGTGATGTGTTCGTTCAACTCACAGAGTTTAACCTTTCTTTTCATAGAGCAGTTAGCAAACAGTCTGTTTGTCAATTCTGTAAGTGGATATTCTGACATCTTGTGGCCTTCGTTGGAAACGGGATTTCTTCATATTCTGCTAGACAGAAGAATTCTCAGTAACTTCCTTGTGTTGTGTGTATTCAACTCACAGAGTTGAATGATCCTTTACACAGAGCAGACTTGAAACACTCTTTTTGTGGAATTTGCAAGTGGAGATTTCAGCCGCTTTGAGGTCAATAGTAGAAAAGGAAATATCTTCGTAGAAAAACTAGACAGAATGATTCTCAGAAAATCCTTTGTGATGTGTGCGTTCAACTCACAGAGTTTAACTTTTCTTTTCATAGAGCAGTTTGGAAACACTCTGTTTGTAAAGTCTGCAAGTGGATATTCAGACCTCTTTCAGGCCTTCGTCGGAAACGGGATTTCTTCATATTATGCTAGACAGAAGAATTCCCAGTAACTTCCTTGTGTTGTGTGTGTTCAACTCACAGAGTTGAACTTTCATTTACACAGAGCAGATTTGAAACACTCTTTTTGTGGAATTTGCAAATGGAGATTTCAAGCGCTTTGAGGCCAAAAGCAGAAAAGGAAATATCTTCGTATAAAAACTAGACAGAATCATTCTCAGAAACTGCTGCGTGATGTGTGCGTTCAACTCTCAGAGTTTAACTATTCTTTTCATTCAGCGGTTTGGAAACACTCTGTTTGTAAAGTCTGCACGTGGAAATTTTGACCACTTAGAGGCCTTCGTTGGAAACGGGTTTTTTTCATGTAAGGCTAGACAGAAGAATTCCCAGTAACTTCCTTGTGTTGTGTACATTCAACTCACAGAGTTGAACGTTCCCTTAGACAGAGCAGATTTGAAATACTCTTTTTGTGCAATTGGCAAGTGGAGATTTCAAGCGCTTTAAGGTCAATGGCATAAAAGGAAATATCTTGGTTTCAAAACTAGACAGAATCATTCCCACAAACCGCGTTGTGATGTGTTCGTTCAACTCACAGAGTTTAACCTTTCTGTTCATAGAGCAGTTAGGAAACACTCTGTTTGTAAAGTCTGTAAGTGGATATTCTGACAACTTGTGGCCTTCGTTGGAAACGGGATTTCTTCATATTCTGCTAGACAGAAGAATTCTCAGTAACTTCCCTTGTGTTGTGTGTATTCAACTCACAGAGTTGAATGATCCTTTACACAGAACAGTCTTGAAACACTCTTTTTGTGGAATTTGCAAGTGGAGATTTCAGCCGCTTTGAGGTCAATGGTAGAATAGGATATATCTTCCTATAGAAACTAGACAGAATGATTCTCAGAAACTACTTTGTGATGTGTGCGTTCAACTCACAGAGTTTAACCTTTCTTTTCATAGAGCAGTTAGGAAACACTCTGTTTGTAAAGTCTGCAAGTGGATATTCAGACCTCTTTGAGGCCTTCGTTGGAAACGGGATTTCTTCATACTGTGCTAGACAGAAGAATTCTCAGTAACTTCCCTTGTGTTGTGTGTATTCAACTCACAGAGTTGAACGATCCTTTACACAGAGCGGACTTGAAACACACTTTTTGTGGAATTTGCAAGTGGAGATTTCAAGCGCTTTGAGGCCAAAGGCAGAAAAGGAAATATCTTCGTATAAAAACTAGACAGAATGATTCTCAGAAACTCCTTTGTAATGTGTGCGTTCAACTCACAGAGTTTAACCTTTCTTTTCATAGAGCAGTTAGGAAACACTCTGTTTGTAAAGTCTGCAAGTGGATATTCAGACCTCTTTGAGGCCTTCGTTGGAAACGGGTTATTTTCATATAAGGCTAGACAGAAGAATTCCCTTTAAATTGCTTGTGTTGTGTGTATTCAACTGACAGATTTGAACTTTCATTTAGACAGAGCAGATTTGAAACACTCTTTTTGTGCAATTTGCAAGTGGAAATTTCAAACGCTTTAAGGTCAATGGCAGAAAAGGAAATATCTTCGTTTCAAAACTAGACAGAATCATTCCCACAAACTGCGTTGTGCTGTGTTCGTTCAACTCACAGAGTTTAACCTTTCTTTTCATAGAGCAGTTAGGAAACACTCTGTTTGTAAACTCTGCAAGTGGATATTCACACCTCTTAGAGGCCTTCGTTGGAAACGGTATTTCTTCATATTATGCTAGATAGAAGAAATCTCAGTAACTTCCTTGTGTTGTGTTTATTCAACTCACAGAGTTGAACGATCCTTTACACAGAGCAGACTTGAAACACTCTTTTTGTGGAATTTGCAAGTGGAGATTTCAGCCGCTTTGAGGTCAATGGTAGAAAAGTAAATATCTTCGTATAAAGACTAGACAGAATGATTCTCAGAAACTTCTTGGTGATGTGTGCGTTCAACTCACAGAGTTTAACCTTTCTTTTCATAGAGCAGTTAGGAAACACTCTGTTTGTAAACTCTGCAAGTGGATATTCACACCTCTTTGAGGCCTTCGTTGGAAACGGGATTTCTTCATACTGTGCTACACAGAAGAATTCTCAGTAACTTCCTTGTGTAGTGTGTATTCAACTGACAGAGTTGAACTTTCATTTAGAGAGAGCAGATTTGAAACACTGTTTTTGTGGAATTTGCAAGTGGAGATTTCAAGCGCTTTGGGGCCAAAGGCAGAAAAGGAAATATCTTCGTATAAAAACTAGACAGAAACATTCTCAGAAACTGATGCGTGATGTGTGCGTTCAACTCTCAGAGTTTAACTTTTCTTTTCATTCAGCGGTTTGGAAACACTCTGTTTGTAAAGTCTGCACGTGGAAATTTTGACCACTTAGAGGCCTTCGTTGGAAACGGGTTTTTTTCATGTAAGGCTAGACAGAAGAATTCCCAGTAACTTCCTTGTGTTGTGTGCATTCAACTCACAGAGTTGAACGTTCCCTTAGACAGAGCAGATTTGAAACACTCTATTTGTGCAATTTGCAAGTGTAGTTTTCAAGCTCTTTAAGGTCAACGGCAGAAAAGGAAATATCTTCGTTTCAAAACTAGACAGAATCATTCCCACAAACTGCGTTGTGATGTGTACGTTCAACTCACAGAGTTTAACCTTTCCGTTCATAGAGCAGTTAGGAAACACTCTGTTTGTAAAGTCTGTAAGTGGATATTCTGACATCTTGTGGCCTTCGTTGGAAACGGGATTTCTTCATATTCTGCGAGACAGAAGAATTCTCAGTAACTTCCTTGTGTTGTGTGTATTCAACTCACAGAAGTTGAACGATCCTTTACACAGAGCAGACTTGTAACACTCTTTTTGTGGAATTTGCAAGTGGAGATTTCAGCCGCTTTGAAGTCAAAGGTAGAAAAGGAAATATCTTCCTATAAAAACTAGACAGAACGATTCTCAGAAACTCCTTTGTGATGTGTGCGTTCAACTCACAGAGTTTAACCTTTCTTTTCATAGAGCAGTTAGGAAACACTCTGTTTGTAAAGTCTGCAAGTGGATATTCAGACCTCTTTGAGGCCTTCGTTGGAAACGGGGATTTCTTCATATTCTGCTAGACAGAAGAATTCTCAGTAACTTCCTTGTGTTGTGTGTATTCAACTGACAGAGTTGAACTTTCATTTAGAGAGAGCAGATTTGAAACACTGTTTTTGTGGAATTTGCAAGTGGAGATTACAAGCGCTTTGGGGCCAAAGGCAGAAAAGGAAATATCTTCGTATAAAAACTAGACAGAATCATTCTCAGAAACTGCTGCGTGATGTGTGCGTTCAACTCTCAGAGTTTAACTTTTCTTTTCATTCAGCGGTTTGGAAAAACTCTGTTTGTAAAGACTGCACGTGGATATTTTGACCACTTAGAGGCCTTCGTTGGAAACGGGTTTTTTTTCATGTAAGGCTAGACAGAAGAATTCCCAGTAACTTCCTTGTGTTGTGTACATTCAACTCACGGAGTTGAACGTTCCCTTAGACAGAGCAGATTTGAAACACTCTTTTTGTGCAATTGGCAAATGGAGATTTCAAGCGCTTTAAGTTCAAAGGCAGAAAAGGAAATATCTTCGTTTCAAAACTAGACAGAATCATTCCCACAAACTGCGTTGTGATGTGTTCGTTCAACTCACAGAGTTTAACCTTTCTGTTCATAGAGCAGTTAGGAAACACTCTGTTTGTAAAGTCTGTAAGTGGATATTCTCACATCTTGTGGCCTTCGTTGGAAACGGGATTTCTTCATATTCTGCTAGACAGAAGAATTCTCAGTAACTTCCTTGTGTTGTGTGTATTCAACTCACAGAGTTGAACGATCCTTTACACAGAGCAGACTTGTAACACTCTTTTTGTGGAATTTGCAAGTGGAGATTTCAGCCGCTTTGAAGTCAAAGTAGAAAAGGAAATTTCTTCCTATAAAAACTAGACAGAATGATTCTCAGAAACTCCTTTGACATGTGTGCGTTCAACTCACAGAGTTTAACCTTTCTTTTCATAGAGCAGTTAGGAATCACTCTGTTTGTAAAGTCTGCAAGTGGATATTCAGACCTCTTTGAGGCCTTCGTTGGAAACGGGTTTTTTTCATATAAGGCTAGACAGAAGAATTCCCAGTAACTTCCTTGTGTTGTGTGTGTTCAACTCACAGAGTTGAACTTTCATTTACACAGAGCAGATTTGAAACACTCTTTTTGTGGAATTTGCAAGTGGAGATTTCAATTGCTTTGAGGCCAAAGGCAGAAAAGGAAATATCTTCGTATAAAAACTAGACAGAATCATTCTCAGAAACTGCTCTGTGATGTGTGCGTTCAACTCTCAGAGTTTAACTTTGCTTTTCATTCAGCAGTTTGGAAACACTCTGTTTGTAAAGTCTGCACGTGGATAATTTGACCACTTAGAGGCCTTCGTTGGAAACGGGTTTTTTTCATGTAAGGCTAGACAGAAGAATTCCCAGTAACTTCCTTGTGTTGTGTGCATTCAACTCACAGAGTTGAACGTTCCCTTAGACAGAGCAGATTTGAAACACTCTATTTGTGCAATTTCCAAGTGTAGATTTCAAGCGCTTTAAGGTCAACGGCAGAAAAGGAAATATCTTCGTTTCAAAACTAGAGAGAATCATTCCCACAAACTGCGTTGTGATGTGTTCGTTCAACTCACAGAGTTTAACCTTTCTGTTCATAGAGCAGTTAGGAAACACTCTGTTTGTACAGTCTGCCAGTGGATATTCAGACCTCCTTGAGGCCTTCGTTGGAAACGGGATTTCTTCATATTCTGCTAGACAGAAGAATTCTCAGTAACTTCCTTGTGTTGTGTGTATTCAACTCACAGAGTTGCACGATCCTTTACACAGAGCAGACTTGTAACACTCTTTTTGTGGAATTTGCAAGTGGAGATTTCAGCCGCTTTGAAGTCAAAGGTAGAAAAGGAAATATCTTCCTATAAAAACTAGACAGAATGATTCTCAGAAACTCCTTTGTGATGTGTGCGTTCAACTCACAGAGTTTAACCTTTCTTTTCATAGAGCAGTTAGGAAACACTCTGTTTGTACAGTCTGCAAGTGGATATTCAGACATCCTTGAGGCTTTCGTTGGAAACGGGATTTCTTCATATTCTGCTAGACAGAAGAATTCTCAGTAACTTCCTTGTGTTGTGTGTATTCAACTGTCAGAGTTGAACTTTCATTTAGAGAGAGCACATTTGAAACACTGTTTCTGTGGAATTTGCAAGTGGAGATTTCAAACGCTTTGGGGCCAAAGGCAGAAAAGGAAATATCTTCGTATAAAAACTAGACAGAATCATACTCAGAAACTGCTGCGTGATGTGTGCGTTCAACTCTCAGAGTTTAACTTTTCTTTTCATTCAACGGTTTGGAAACACTCTGTTTGTAAAGTCTGCACGTGGATATTTTGACCACTTAGAGGCCTTCGTTAGAAACGGGTTTTTTCATGTAAGGCTAGACAGAAGAATTCTCAGAAACTTCGTTGTGTTGTGTGTTTTCAACTCACAGAGTTCAACGATCCTTTACACAGAGTAGACTTGAAACACTCTTTTTGTGGAATTGGCAGGGTGGAGATTTCAGCCGCTTTGAGGTCAGTGGTAGAAAAGGAAATATCTTCGTATAAAAACTAGACAGAGTGATTCTCAGAAACTCCTTTGTGATGTCTGCGTTCAACTCACAGAGTTTAACCTTTCTTTTCATAGAGCAGTTAGGAAACACTGTGTTTGTAAAGTCTGCAAGTGGATATTCAGACCTCCTTGAGGCCTTCGTTGGAAACGGGATTTCTTCATATTCTGCTATACAGAAGAATTCTCAGAAACTTCCTTGTGTTGTGTGTATTCAACTCACAGAGTTGAACGATCCTTTACACAGAGCAGACTTGAAACACTCTTTTTGTGGAATTTGCAAGTGGAGATTTCAGCCGCTTTGAGGTCAATGGTAGAATAGGAAATATCTTCCTATAGAAACTAGACAGAATGATTCTCAGAAACTCCTTTGTGATGTGTGCGTTCAACTCACAGAGTTCAACCTTTCTTTTCATAGAGCAGTTGGGAAAAACTCTCTTTGTAAAGTCTGCAAGTGGATATTCAGACTTCTTTGAGGCCTTCGTTGGAAGCGGGGTTTCTTCATATTCTCCTAGACAGAAGAATTCCCAGTAACTTCCTTGTGTTGTGTGTGTTCAACTCACAGAGTTGAACTTTCATTTACACAGAGCAGATTTGAAACACTCTTTTTGTGGAATTTGCAAGTGGAGATTTCAAGCGCTTTGAGGCCAAAGGCAGAAAAGGAAATATCTTCGTTTGAAAACTAGACAGAATCATTCTCAGAAAATGCTCTGTGATGTGTGCGTTCAACTCTCAGAGTTTAACTTTTGTTTTCATTCAGCAGTTTGGAAACACTCTGTTTGTAAAGTCTGCACGTGGATATTTTGACCACTTAGAGGCCTTCGTTGGAAACGGGTTTTTTTCATGTAAGGGTAGACAGAAGAATTCCCAGTAACTTCCTTGTGTTGTGTACATTCAACTCACAGAGTTGAACGTTCCCTTAGACAGAGCAGATTTGAAACACTCTTTTTGTGCAATTGGCAAATGGAGATTTCAAGCGCTTTAAGGTCAATGGCAGAAAAGGAAATATCTTCGTTTCAAAACTAGACAGAATCATTCCCACAAACTGCGTTGTGATGTGTTCGTTCAACTCACAGAGTTTAACCTTTCTTTTCATAGAGCAGTTAGGAAACAGTCTGTTTGTAAATTCTGTAAGTGGATATTCTGACATCCTTGTGGCCTTCGTTGGAAACGGGATTTCTTCATATTCTGCTAGACAGAAGAATTCTCAGTAACTTCCTTGGGTTGTGTTTATTCAACTCACAGAGTTGAATGATCCTTTACACAGAGCAGACTTGAAACACTCTTTTTGTGGAATTTGCAAGTGGAGATTTCAGCCGCTTTGAGGTCAATGGTAGAAAAGTAAATATCTTCGTATAAAGACTAGACAGAATGATTGTCAGAAACTCCTTTGTGATGTGTGCGTTCAACTCACAGAGTTTAACCTTTCTTTTCATAGAGCAGTTAGGAAACACTCTGTTTGTAAAGTCTGCAAGTGGATATTCAGACCTCCTTGAGGCCTTCGTTGGAAACGGGATTTCTTCATATTCTGCTAGACAGAAGAATTCTCAGTAACTTCCTTGTGTTGTGTGTATTCAACTGACAGAGTTGAACTATCATTTAGAGAGAGCAGATTTGAAACACTGTTTTTGTGGAATTTGTAAGTGGAGATTTCAAGCGCTTTGGGGCCAAAGGCAGAAAAGGAAATATCTTCGTATAAAAACTAGACAGAATCATTCTCAGAAACTGCTGCGTGATGTGTGCGTTCAAGTCTCAGAGTTTAACTTTTCTTTTCATTCAGCGGTTTGGAAACACTCTGTTTGTAAAGTCTGCACGTGGAAATTTTGACCACTTAGAGGCCTTCGTTGGAAACGGGTTTTTTTCATGTAAGGCTAGACAGAAGAATTCCCAGTAACTTCCTTGTGTTGTGTGCATTCAACTCACAGAGTGGAACGTTCCCTTAGACAGGGCAGATTTGAAACACTCTATTTGTGCAATTTGCAAGTGTAGATTTCAAGCGCTTTAAGGTCAACGGCAGAAAAGGAAATATCTTCTTTTCAAAACTAGACAGAATCATTCCCACAAACTGCGTTGTGATGTGTTCGTTCATCTCACAGAGTTTAACCTTTCTTTTCGTAGAGCAGTTAGGAAACAGTCTGTTTGTAAATTCTGTAAGTGGATATTCTGACATCTTGTGGCCTTCGTTGGAAACGGGATTTCTTCATACTGTGCTAGACAGAAGAATTCTCAGTAACTTCCTTGTGTTCTGTGTATTCAACTCACAGAGTTGAACGATCCTTTACACAGAGCAGACTTGAAACACTCTTTTTGTGGAATTTGCAAGTGGAGATTTCAGCCGCTTTGAGGTCAATGGTAGAATAGGAAATATCTTTCTATAGAAACTAGACAGAGTGATTCTCAGAAACTCCTTTGTGATGTCTGCGTTCAACTCACAGAGTTTAACCTTTCTTTTCATAGAGCAGTTAGGAAACACTCTGTTTGTAAAGTCTGCAAGTGGATATTCAGACCTCCTTGAGGCCTTCGTTGGAAATGGGATTTCTTCATATTCTGCTATACAGAAGAATTCTCAGTAACTTCCTTGTGTTGTGTGTATTCAACTCACAGAGTTGAACGATCCTTTACACAGAGCATACTTGGAACACTCTTCTTGTGGAATTTGCAAGTGGAGATTTCAGCCGCTTTGAGATCAATGGTAGAATAGGAAATATCTTCGTATAAAAACTAGACAGAATCATTCTCAGAAACTGCTCTGTGATGTGTGCGTTCAACTCTCAAAGTTTAACTTTTCTTTTCATTCAGCAGTTTGGAAACACTCTGTTTGTAAAGTCTGCACGTGGATATTTTGACCACTTAGAGGCCTTCGTTGGAAACGGGTTTTTTTTCATGTAAGGCTAGACGGTAGAATTCCCAGTAACTTCCTTGTGTTGTGTGCATTCAACTCACAGAGTTGAACGTTCCCTTAGACAGAGCAGATTTGAAACACTCTATTTGTGCAATTTGCAAGTGTAGATATCAAGCGCTTTAAGGTCAATGGCAGAAAAGGAAATGTCTTAGTTTCAAAACTAGACAGAATGATTCTGAGAAAATCCTTTGTGATTTGTGCGTTCAACTCACAGAGTTTAACCTTTCTTTTCATAGAGCAGTTAGGAAACACTCTGTTTGTAAAGTCTGCAAGTGGATATTCAGACCTCCTTGAGGCCTTCGTTGGAAACGGGATTTCTTCATATTATGCTAGACAGAAGAATTCTCAGTAACTTCCTTGTGTTGTGTGTATTCAACTCACAGAGTTGAACGATCCTTTACACAGAGCAGACTTGAAACACTCTTTTTGTGGAATTTGCAAGTGGAGATTTCAGCCGCTTTGAGGTCAATGGTAGAATAGGAAATATCTTCCTATAGAAAGTAGACAGAATGATTCTCAGAAATTACTTTGTGATGTGTGCGTTCAACTCACAGAGTTTAACCTTTCTTTTCATAGAGCAGTTAGGAAACACTCTGTTTGTAAAGTCTGCAAGTGGATATTCAGACATCTTTGAGGCTTTCGTTGGAAACGGGATTTCTTCTTATTCTGCTATACAGAAGAATTCTCAGTAACTTCCTTTTGTTGTGTGTATTCAACTGACAGAGTTGAACTTTCATTTAGACAGAGCAGATTTGAAACATTCTTTTTGTGGAATTTGCAAGTGGAGATTTCAAGCGCTTTGAGGCCAAAGGCAGAAAAGGATATATCTTCGTATAAAAACTAGACAGAATCATTCTCAGAAACTGCTGCGTGATGTGTGCGTTCAACTCTCAGAGTTGAACTTTTCTTTTCATTCAGCGGTTTGGAAACACTCTGTTTGTAAAGTCTGCACGTGGAAATTTTGACCACTTAGAGGCCTTCGTTGGAAACGGGTTTTTTTCATGTAAGGCTAGACAGAAGAATTCCCAGTAACTTCCTTGTGTTGTGTACATTCAACTCACAGAGTTGAACGTTCCCTTAGACAGAGCAGATTTGAAACACTCTTTTTGTGCAATTGGCAAATGGAGATTTCAAGCGCTTTAAGGTCAATGGCAGAAAAGGAAATATCTTCGTTTCCAAACTAGACAGAATCATTCCCACAAACTGCGTTGTGATGTGTTCGTTCATCTCACAGAGTTTAACCTTTCTTTTCGTAGAGCAGTTAGGAAACAGTCTGTTTGTAAATTCTGTAAGTGGATATTCTGACATCTTGTGGCCTTCGTTGGAAACGGGATTTCTTCATATTCTGCTAGACAGAAGAATTCTCAGTAACTTCCTTGTGTTGTGTGTATTCAACTCACAGAGTTGAACGATCCTTTACACAGAGCAGACTTGAAACACTCTTTTTGTGGAATTTGCAAGTGGAGATTTCAGCCACTTTGAGGTCAATGTTAGAATAGGAAATATCTTCCTATAGAAACTAGACAGAATGATTCTCAGAAACTCCTTTGTGATGTGTGTGTTCAACTCACAGAGTTTAACCTTTCTTTTCATAGAGCAGTTAGTAAACACTCTGTTTATAAAGTCTGCAAGTGAATATTCAGACCCCTTTGAGGGCTTCGTTGGAAACGGGATTTCTTCATATTATGCTAGACAGAAGAATTCCCAGTAACTTCCTTGTGTTGTGTGTGTTCAACTCACAGAGTTGAACTTTCATTTACACAGAGCAGATTTGAAGCACTCTTTTTGTGGAATTTGCAAGTGGAGATTTCAAGCGCTTTGAGGCCAAAGGCAGAAAAGGAAATATCTTCGTTTCAAAACTAGACAGAATCATTCTCAGAAACTGCTCTGCGATGTGTGCGTTCAACTCTCAGAAGTTTAACTTTTCTTTTCATTCAGCAGTTTGAAAACACTCTGTTTGTAAAGTCTGCACGTGGATAATTTGACTACTTAGAGGCCTTCGTTGGACACGGGTTTTTTTCATGTAAGGCTAGACAGAAGAATTCCCAGTAACTTCCTTGTGTTGCGTACATTCAGCTCACAGAGTTGAACGTTCCCTTAGACAGAGCAGATTTGAAACACTCTTTTTGTGCAATTGGCAAGTGGAGATTTCAAGCGCTTTAAGGTCAATGGCAGAAAAGGAAATATCTTCGTTTCAAAACTAGACAGAATCATTCCCACAAACTGCGTTGTGATGTGTTCGTTCAACTCACAGAGTTTAACCTTTCTTTTCATAGAGCAGTTAGGAAACAGTCTGTTTGTAAATTCTGTAAGTGGATATTCTGACATCTTGTGGCCTTCGTTGGAAACAGGATTTCTTCATATTCTGCTAGACAGAAGAATTCTCAGTAACTTCCTTGTGTTGTGTGTATTCAACTCAGAGAGTTGAACGATCCTTTACACAGAGCAGACTTGAAACACTCTTTTTGTGGAATTTGCAAGTGGAGATTTCAGCCGCTTTGAGGTCAATGGTAGAATAGGAAATATCTTCCTATAGAAACTAGACAGAATGATTCTCAGAAACTCCTTTGTGATGTGTGCGTTCAACTCACAGACTTTAACCTTTCTTTTCATAGAGCAGTTAGGAAACACTCTGTTTGTAAAGTCTGCAAGTGGATATTCAGACATCTTTGAGGCTTTCGTTGGAAACGGGTTTTCTTCATATTCTGCTATACAGAAGAATTCTCAGAAACTTCCTTGTGTTGTGTGTCTTCAACTCACAGAGTTGAACGATGCTTTACACAGAGCAGACTTGAAACACTCTATTTGTGGAATTTGCAAGTGGAGATTTCAGCCGCTTTGAGGTCAATGGTAGAATAGGAAATATCTTCTTATAGAAACTAGACAGAATCATTCTCAGAAACTGCTCTGTGATGTGTGCGTTCAACTCTCAGAGTTTAACTTTTCTTTTCATTCAGTAGTTTGGAAACACTCTGTTTGTAAATCTGCACGTGGATATTTTGACCACTTAGAGGCTTTCGTTGGAAACGGGTTTTTTTCATGTAAGGCTAGACAGAAGAATTCCCAGTAACTTCCTTGTGTTGTGTGCATTCAACTCACAGAGTTGAACGTTCCCTTAGACAGAGCAGATTTGAAACACTCTATTTGTGCAATTTGCAAGTGTAGATTTCAAGCGCTTTAAGGTCAACGGCAGAAAAGGAAATATCTTCGTTTCAAAACTAGATAGAATCATTCCCACAAACTGCGTTGCGATGTGTTCGTTCAACTCACAGAGTTTAACATTTCTTTTCATAGAGCACTTAGGAAACAGTCTGTTTGTAAATTCTGTAAGTGGATATTCTGACATCTTGTGGCCTTCGTTGGAAACAGGATTTCTTCATATTCTGCTAGACAGAAGAATTCTCAGTAACTTCTTTGTGTTGTGTGTATTCAACTCACAGAGTTGAACGATCCTTTACACAGAGCAGACTTGAAATACTCGTTTTGTGGAATTTGCAAGTGGAGATTTCAGCCACTTTGAGGTCAATGGTAGAAAAGGAAATATCTTCGTATAAATACTAGACAGAATGATTCTCAGAAACTCCTTTGTGATGTGTGCGTTCAACTCACAGAGTTTAACTTTTCTTTTCATAGAGCAGTTAGGAAACACTCTGTTTGTAAAGTCTGCAAGTGGATATTCAGAGCTCCTTTGAGGCCTTCGTTGGAAACGGGATTTCTTCATATTCTGCTAGACAGAATAATTCTCAGTAACTTCCTTGTGTTGTGTGTATTCAAGTCACAGAGTTGAACGATCCTTTACAGAGAGCAGACTTGAAACACTCTTTTTGTGGAATTTGCAATTGGAGATTTCAACCGCTTTGAGGTCAATAGTAGAAAAGGAAATATCTTCGTAGAAAAACTAGAAAGAATCATTCTCAGAAACTGCTCTGCGATGTGTGCGTTCAACTCTCAGAGTTTAACTTTTCTTTTCATTCAACAGTTTGGAAACACTCTGTTTGTAAAGTCTGCACGTGGATAATTTGACCACTTAGAGGCCTTCGTTGGAAACGGGTTTTTTTCCTGTAAGGCTAGACAGAAGAATTCCCAGTAACTTCCTTGTGTTGTGTACATTCAACTCACAGAGTTGAACGTTCCCTTAGACAGAGCAGATTTGAAACACTCTTTTTGTGCAATTGGCAAGTGGTGATTTCAGCCGCTTTGAGGTCAATGGTAGAAAAGGAAATATCTTCGTATAAAAACTAGACAGAATGATTCTCAGAAACTTCTTTGTGACGTGTGCGTTCAACTCACAGAGTTTAACCTTTCTTTTCATAGAGCAGTTAGGAAACACTCTGTTTGTAAAGTCTGCAAGTGGATATTCAGACCTCCTCGAGGCTTTCGTTGGAAACGGGATTTCTTCATATTGTGCTAGACAGAAGAATTCTCAGTAACTTCCTTGTGTTGTGTGTATTCAACTCACAGAGTTGAACGATCCTTTACACAGAGCCGACTTGAAACACTCTTTTTGTGGAATTTGCAAGTGGAGATTTCAGCCGCTTTGAGGTCAATGGTGGAAAAGGAAATATCTTCGTATAAAAACTAGACAGAATGATTCTCAGAAACTCCTTTGTGATGTGTGCGTTCAACTCACAGAGGTTAACCTTTCTTTTCATAGAGCAGTTAGGAAACACTCTGTTTGTAAAGTCTGCAAGTGGATATTCAGACCTCTTTGAGGCCTTCGTTGGAAAAGGGTTTTTTTCATATAAGGCTAGACAGAAGAATTCCCAGTAACTTCCTTGTGTTGTGTGTGTTCAACTCACAGAGTTGAACTTTCATTTACACAGAGCAGATTTGAAACACTCTTTTTGTGGAATTTGCAAGTGGAGATTTCAAGCGCTTTGAGGCCAAATGCAGAAAAGGAAATATCTTCATATAAAAACTAGACAGAATCATTCTCAGAAACTGCTCTGCGAATGTGTGCGTTCAACTCTCAGAGTTTAACTTTTCTTTTCATTCAGCAGTTTGGAAACACTCTGTTTGTAAAGTCTGCACGTGGATAATTTGACCACTTAGAGGCCTTCGTTGGAAACGGGTTTTTTTCATGTAAGGCTAGACAGAAGAATTCCCAGTAACTTTCCTTGTGTTGTGTACATTCAACTCACAGAGTTGAACGTTCCCTTAGACAGAGCAGATTTGAAACACTCTTTTTGTGCAATTGGCAAGTGGTGATTTCAGCCGCTTTGAGGTCAATGGTAGAAAAGGAAATATCTTCGTATAAAAACTAGACAGAATCATTCCCACAAACTGCGTTGTGATGTGTTCGTCCAACTCACAGAGTTTAACCTTTCTGTTCATAGAGCAGTTAGGAAACACTCTGTTTGTAAAGTCTGTAAGTGGATATTCTGATATCTTGTGGCCTTCGTTGGAAACGGGATTTCTTCATATTCTGCTAGACAGAATAATTCTCAGTAACTTCCTTGTGTTGTGTGTATTCTACTCACAGAGTTGAACGATCCTTTACACAGAGCAGACTTGAAACACTCTTTTTGTGGAATTTGCAAGTGGAGATTTCAGCCGCTTTGAGGTCAATGGTAGAATAGGAAATATCTTCCTATAGAAACTAGACCGAATGATTCTCAGAAACTCCTTTGTGATGTGTGCGTTCAACTCACAGAGTTTAACCTTTCTTTTCATTGAGCAGTTAGGAAACACTCTGTTTGTAAAGTCTGCAAGTGGATATTCAGACCTCCTTGAGGACTTCGTTGGAAACGGGATTTCTTCATATTATGCTAGACAGAAGAATTCCCAGTAACTTCCTTGTGTTGTGTGTGTTCAACTCACAGAGTTGAACTTTCATTTACACAGAGCAGATTTGAAACACTCTTTTTGTGTAATTTGCAAGTGGAGATTTCAAGCGCTTTGAGGCCAAAGGCAGAAAAGGAAATATCTTCGTTTCAAAACTAGACAGAATCATTCTCAGAAACTGCTCTGTGATGTGTGCGTTCAACTCTCAGAGTTTAACTTTTCTTTTCATTCAGCAGTTTGGAAACACTCTCTTTGTAAAGTCTGCACGTGGATATTTTGACCACTTGGAGGCCTTCGTTGGAAACGGGTTTTTTTCATGTAAGGCTAGACAGGAGAATTCTCAGTAACTTCCTTGTGTTGTGTACATTCAACTCACAGAGTTGAACGTTCCCTTAGACAGAGCAGATTTGAAACACTCTTTTTGTGCAATTGGCAAGTGGTGATTTCAGCCGCTTTGAGGTCAATGGTAGAAAAGGAAATATCTTCGTATAAAAACTAGACAGAATGATTCTCAGAAACTCCTTTGTGATGTGTGCGTTCAACTCACAGAGTTTAACATTTCTTTTCATAGAGCAGTTAGGAAAAACTCTGTTTGTAAGGTCTGCAAGTGGATATTCAGACATCTTTGAGGCTTTCGTTGGAAACGGGTTTTCTTCATATTATGCTAGACAGAAGAATTCTCAGAAACTTCCTTGTGTTGTGTGTTTTCAACTCACAGAGTTGAACGATGCTTTACACAGAGTAGACTTGAAACACTCTTTTTGTGGAATTTGCAAGTGGAGATTTCAGCCGCTTTGAGGTCAATGGTAGAATAGGAAATATCTTCCTATAGAAACTAGACAGAACGATTCTCAGAAACTCCTTTGTGATGTGTGCGTTCAACTCACAGAGTTTAACCTTTCTTTTCATAGAGCAATTAGGAAACACTCTGTTTGTAAAGTCTGCAAGTGGATATTCAGACCTCTTTGAGGCCTTCGTTGGAAACGGGATTTCTTCATATTCTGCTAGACAGAAGAATTCCCAGTAACTTTCTTGTGTTGTGTGTGTTCAACTCACAGAGTTGAACTTTCATTTACACAGAGCAGATTTGAAACACTCTTTTTGTGGAATTTGCAAATGGAGATTTCAAGCGCTTTGAGGCCAAAGGCAGAAAAGGAAATATCTTCGTATAAAAACTAGACAGAATGATTCTCAGAAACTCCTTTGTGATGTGTGCGTTCAACTCACCGAGTTTAACCTTTCTTTTCATAGAGCAGTTAGGAAACACTCTGTTTGTAAAGTCTGCAAGTGGATATTCAGACCTCTTTGAGGCCTTCGTTGGAAACGGCTATTTTTCATATAAGGCTAGACAGAAGAATTCCCAGTAACTTCCTTGTGTTGTGTACATTCAACTCACAGAGTTGAACGTTCCCTTAGACAGAGCAGATTTGAAACACTCTTTTTGTGCAATTGGCAAGTGGAGATTTCAAGCGCTTTGAGGTCAATGGCAGAAAAGGAAATATCTTCGTTTCAAAACTAGACAGAATCATTCCCACAAACTGCGTTGTGATGTGTTCGTTCAACTCACAGAGTTTAACCTTTCTGTTCATAGAGCAGTTAGGAAACACTCTGTTTGTAAAGTCTGTAAGTGGATACTCTGACATCTTGTGGCCTTCGTAGGAAACGGGATTTCTTCATATTCTGCTAGACAGAAGAATTGTCAGTAACTTCCTTGTGTTGTGTGTATTCAACTCACAGAGTTGAACGATCCTTTACAGAGAGCAGACTTGAAACACTCTTTTTGTGGAATTTGCAAGTGGAGATTTCAGCCGCTTTGAGGTCAATAGTAGAAAAGGAAATATCTTCACAGAAAAACTAGACAGAATGATTCTCAGAAACTTCTTTGTTATGTGAGCATTCAACTCACAGAGTTGAACCTATCTTTTGATTGAGCAGTTTTGAATCTCTCATTTTGCAGAATCTGCAAGGGGATATTTGGAGCCCTTTGCGGCCTATGGTGGAAAAGGAAATACCTTCAAATGAAAAGCACACAGAAGAATTCTCAGTAACTTCCTTGTGTTCTGTGTATTCAACTGACAGAGTTGTACTTTCGTTTAGAGAGAGCAGATTTGAAACACTGTTTTTGTGGAATTTGCAAGTGGAGATTTCAAGCGCTTTGGGGCCAAAGGCAGAAAAGGAAATATCTTCGTATAAAAACTAGACAGAATCATTCTCAGAAACTGCTCTGCGATGTGTGCGTTCAACTCTCAGAGTTTAATTTTTCTTTTCATTCAGCAGTTTGGAAACACTCTGTTTGTAAAGTCTGCACGTGGATAACTTGACCACTTAGAGGCCTTCGTTGGAAACGGGTTTTTTTCACGTAAGGCTAGACAGAAGAATTCCCAGTAACTTCATTGTGTTGTGTGCATTCAACTCACAGAGTTGAACGTTCCCTTAGACAGAGCAGATTTGAAACACTCTATTTATGCAATTTGCAAGTGTAGATTTCAAGCGCTTTAAGGTCAATGGCAGAAAAGGAAATATCTTCGTTTCAAAACTAGACAGAATGATTCTCAGAAACTCCTTTGTGATGTGTGCGTTCAACTCACAGAGTTTAACCTTTCTTTTCATAGAGCAGTTAGGAAACACTCTGTTTGTAAATTCTGTAAGTGGATATTCTGACATCTTGTGGCCTTCGTTGGAAACGGGATTTCTTCATATTCTGCTAGACAGAAGAATTCTCAGTAACTTCCTTGTGTTGTGTGTATTCAACTCACAGAGTTGAATGATCCTTTACACAGAACAGACTTGAAACACTCTTGTTGTGGAATTTGCAAGTGGAGAATTCAGCCGCTTTGAGGTCAACGGTAGAATAGGAAATATCTTCCTATAGAAACTAGACAGAATGATTATCAGAAACTCCTTTGTGATGTGTGCGTTCAACTCACAGAGTTTAACCTTTCTTTTCATAGAGCAGTTAGGAAACACTCTGTTTGTAAAGTCTGCAAGTGGATATTCAGACATCCTTGAGGCTTTCGTTGGAAACGGGATTTCTTCATATTCTGCTAGAAAGAAGAATTCTCAGTAACTTCCTTGTGTTGTGTGTATTCAACTCACAGAGTTGAACGATCCTTTACACAGAGCAGACTTGAAACACTCTTTTTGTGTAATTTGCAAGTGGAGATTTCAGCCGCTTTGAGGTCAATGGTAGAAAAGGAAATATCTTCGTATAAAAACTAGACAGAATGATTCTCAGAAACTCCTTTGTGATGTGTGCGTTCAACTCACAGAATTTAACCTTTCTTTTCATAGAGCAGTTAGGAAACACTCTGTTTGTAAAGTCTGCAAGTGGATATTCAGACCTCCTTGAGGCCTTCGTTGGAAACGGGATTTCTTCATATTATGCTAGACAGAAGAATTCCCAGTAACTTCCTTGTGTTGTGTGCATTCAACTCACAGAGTTGAACGTTCCCTTAGACAGAGCAGATTTGAAACACTCTATTTGTGCAATTTCCAAGTGTAGATTTCAAGCGCTTTAAGGTCAACGGCAGAAAAGGAAATATCTTCGTTTCAAAACTAGACAGAATCATTCCCACAAACAGCGTTGTGATGTGTTCGTTCAACTCACAGAGTTTAACCCTTTCTGTTCATAGAGCAGTTAGGAAACACTCTGTTTGTAAAGTCTGTAAGTGGATATTCTGACATCTTGTGGCCTTCGTTGGAAACGGGATTTCTTCATATTCTGCTAGACAGAAGAATTCTCAGTAACTTCCTTGTGTTGTGTGTATTCAACTCACAGAGTTGAACGATCCTTTACACAGAGCAGACTTGAAACACTCTTTTTGTGGAATTTGCAAGTGGAGATTTCAGCCGCTTTGAGGTCAACGGTAGAAAAGGAAATATCTTCGTATAAAAACTAGACAGAATGATTCTCAGAAACTCCTTTGTGATGTGTGTGTTCAACTCACAGATTTTAACCTTTCTTTTCATAGAGCAGTTAGGAAACACTCTGTTTGTAAAGTCTGCAAGTGGATATTCAGACCTCTTTGAGGTCTTCGTTGGAAACGGGTTTTTTTCATATAAGGCTAGACAGAAGAATTCCCAGTAACTTCCTTGTGTTGTGTGTGTTCAACTCACAGAGTTGAACTTTCATTTACACAGAGCAGATTTGAAACACTCTTTTTGTGGAATTTGCAAGTGGAGATTTCAAGCGTTTTGAGGCCAAAGGCAGAAAAGGAAATATCTTCGTTTCAAAACTAGACAGAATCATTCTCAGAAACTGCTCTGCGATGTGTGCGTTCAACTCTCAGAGTTTAACTTTTCTTTTCATTTAGCAGTTTGGAAACACTCTGTTTGTAAAGTCTGCACGTGGATATTTTGACCACTTAGAGGCCTTCGTTGGAAACGGGTTTTTTTCCTGTAAGGCTAGACAGAAGAATTCCCAGTAACTTCCTTGTGTTGTGTACATTCATCTCACAGAGTTGAACGTTCCCTTAGACAGAGCAGATTTGAAACACTCTTTTTGTGCAATTGGCAAGTGGAGATTTCAAGCGCTTTAAGGTCAATGGCAGAAAAGGAAATATCTTCGTTTCAAAACTAGACAGAATCATTCCCACAAACTGCGTTGTGATGTGTTCGTTCAACTCACAGAGTTTAACCTTTGTTTTAATAGAGGAGTTAGGAAACAGTCTGTTTGTAAATTCTGTAAGTGGATATTCTGACATCTTGTGGCCTTCGTTGGAAACGGGATTTCTTCATATTCTGCTAGACAGAAGAATTCTCAGAAACTTTCCTTGTGTTGTGTGTTTTCAACTCACAGAGTTGAACGATGCTTTACACAGAGTAGACTTGAAACACTCTTTTTGTGTAATTTGCAAGTGGAGATTTCAGCCGCTTTGAGGTCAATGGTAGAAAAGGAAATATCTTCGTATAAAAACTAGACAGAATGATTCTAAGAAACTCCTTTGTGATGTGTGCGTTCAACTCACAGAGTTTAACCTTTCTTTTCATAGAGCAGTTAGGAAACACTCTGTTTGTAAAGTCTGCAAGTGGATATTCAGACATCTTTGAGGCTTTCGTTGGAAACGGGATTTCTTCATATTCTGCTAGACAGAAGAATTCTCAGAAACTTCGTTGCGTTGTGTGTTTTCAACTCACAGAGTTCAACGATCCTTTACACAGAGTAGACTTGAAACACTCTTTTTGTGGAATTGGCAGGGTGGAGATTTCAGCCGCTTTGAGGTCAATGGTAGAAAAGGAAATATCTTCGTATAAAAACTAGACAGAATCATTCTCAGAAACTGCTGCGTGATGTGTGCGTTCAACTCTCAGAGTTTAACTTTTCTTTTCATTCAGCGGTTTGGAAACACTCTGTTTGTAAAGTCTGCATGTGGAAATTTTGACCACTTAGAGGCCTTCGTTGGAAACGGGTTTTTTTCATGTAAGGCTAGACAGAAGAATTCTCAGTAACTTCCTTGTGTTGTGTGTATTCAACTCACAGAGTTGAACGATCCTTTACACAGAGCAGACTTGAAACACTCTTTTTGTGGAATTTACAAGTGGAGATTTCAGCCGCTTTGAGGTCAATGGTAGAAAAGGAAATATCTTCGTATAAAGACTAGACAGAATGATTCTCAGAAACTCCTTTGTGATGTGTGCGTTCAACTCACAGAGTTTAACTTTTCTTTTCATAGAGCAGTTAGGAAACACTCTGTTTGTAAAGTCTGCAAGTGGATATTCAGACCTCTTTGACGCCTTCGTTGGAAACGGGATTTCTTCATATTATGCTAGACAGAAGAATTCTCAGTAACTTCCTTGTGTTGTGTGTATTCAACTCACAGGAGTTGAACGATCCTTTACACAGAGCAGACTTGAAACACTCTTTTTGTGGAATTTGCAAGTGGAGATTTCAGCCGCTTTGAGGTCAATGGTAGAAAAGGAAACTATCTTCATATAAAGACTAGACAGAATGATTCTCATAAACTCCTTTGTGATGTGTGCGTTCAACTCACAGAGTTTAACCTTTCTTTTCATAGAGCAGTTAGGAAACACTCTGTTTGTAAAGTCTGCAAGTGGATATTCAGACCCCTTTGAGGCCTTCGTTGGAAACGGGATTTCTTCATATTATGCTAGACAGAAGAATTCCCAGTAACTTCCTTGTGTTGTGTGTGTTCAACTCACAGAGTTGAACTTTCATTTACACAGAGCAGATTTGAAACACTCATTTTGTGGAATTTGCAAGTGGAGATTTCAAGCGCTTGTGAGGCCAAAGGCAGAAAAGGAAATATCTTCAGTATAAAAACTAGACAGAATCATTCTCAGAAACTGCTCTGCGATGTGTGCGTTCAACTCTCAGAGTTTAACTTTTCTTTTCATTCAACAGTTTGGAAACACTCTGTTTTTAAAGTCTGCACGTGGATAACTTGACCACTTAGAGGCCTTCGTTGGAAACGGGTTTTTTTCATGTAAGGCTAGACAGAAGAATTCCCAGTAACTTCCATGTGTTGTGTGCATTCAACTCACAGAGTTGAACGTTCCCTTAGACAGAGCAGATTTGAAACACTCTATTTGTGCAATTTGCAAGTGTAGATTTCAAGCGCTTTAAGATCAATGGCAGAAAAGGAGATATCTTCGTTTCAAAACTAGACAGAATCATTCCCACAAACTGCGTTGTGATGTGTTCGTTCAACTCACAGAGTTTAACCTTTCTTTTCATAGAGCAGTTAGGAAACAGTCTGTTTGTCAATTCTGTAAGTGGATATTGTGACATCTTGTGGCCTTCGTTGGAAACGGGATTTCTTCATATTCTCCTAGACAGAAGAATTCTCAGTAACTTCCTTGTGTTGTGTGTATTCAACTCACAGAGTTGAACGATCCTTTACAGAGAGCAGGCTTGAAACACTCTTTTTGTCGAATTTGCAAGTGGAGATTTCAGCCGCTTTGAGGTCAATGGTAGAATAGGAAATGTCTTCTTATAGAAACTAGACAGAATGATTCTCAGAAAATCTTTTCTGTGTGTGCGTTCAACTCACAGAGTTTAACTTTTCTTCTCATAGAGCAGTTAGGAAACACTCTGTTTGTAAAGTGTGCAAGTGGATATTCAGACCTCTTTGAGGCCTTCGTTGGAAACGGGATTTCTTCATATTATGCTAGACAGAAGAATTCTCAGTAACTTCCTTGTGTTGTGTGTATTCAACTGACAGAGTTGAACTTTCATTTAGAGAGAGCAGATTTGAAACACTGTTTTTGTGGAATTTGCAAGTGGAGATTTCAAGTGCTTTGGGGCCAAAGGCAGAAAACGAAATATCTTCGTATAAAAAGTAGACAGAATCATTCTCAGAAACTGCTCTGCGATGTGTGCGTTCAACTCTCAGAGTTTAACTTTTCTTATCATTCAGCAGTTTGGAAACACTCTGTTTGTAAAGTCTGCACGTGGATAATTTGACCACTTAGAGGCCTTCGTTGGAAACGGGTTTTTTTCCTGTAAGGCTAGACAGAAGAATTCCCAGTAACTTCCTTGTGTTGTGTACATTCAACTCACAGAGTTGAACGTTCCCTTAGACAGAGCAGATTTGAAACACTCTTTTTGTGCAATTGGCAAGTGGAGATTTCAAGCGCTTTAAGGTCAATGGCAGAAAAGGAAATATCTTCGTTTCAAAACTAGACAGAATCATTCCCACAAACTGCGTTGTGATGTGTTCGTTCATCTCACAGAGTTTAACCTTTCTTTTCGTAGAGCAGTTAGGAAACAGTCTGTTTGTAAATTCTGTAAGTGGATATTCTGACATCTTGTGGCCTTCGTGGGAAACGGGATTTCTTCATATTCTGCTAGACAGAAGAATTCTCAGAAACTTCCTTGTGTTGTGTGTATTCAACTCAAAGAGTTGAACGATCGTTTACACAGAGCAGACTTGAGACACTCTTTTTGTGGAATTTGTAAGTGGAGATTTCAGCCGCTTTGAGGTCAATGGTAGAAAAGGAAATATCTTCATATAAAAACTAGACAGAATGATTCTCAGAAACGTCCTTTGTGATGTGTGCGTTCAACTCACAGAGTTTAACCTTTCTTTTCATAGAGCAGTTAGGAAACACTCTGTGTGTAAAGTCTGCAAGTGGATATTCAGACCTCCTTGAGGCCTTCGTTGGAAACGGGATTTCTTCATATTCTGCTAGACAGAAGAATTGTCAGTAACTTCCTTGTGTTGTGTGTATTCACCTCACAGAGTTGAACGATCCTTTACACAGAGCAGACTTGAAACACTCTTTTTGTGGAATTTGCAAGTGGAGATTTCAGCCGCTTTGAGGTCAATGGTAGAAAAGGAAACTATGTTCGTATACAGACTAGACAGAATCATTCTCAGAAACTGCTGCGTGATGTGTGCGTTCAACTCACAGAGTGTAAGTTTTCTTTTCATTCAGCGGTTTGGAAACACTCTGTTTGTAAAGTCTGCACGTGGATATTTTGACCACTTAGAGGCCTTCGTTGGAAACGGGATTTTTTCATGTAAGGCTAGACAGAAGAATTCCCAGTAACTTCCTTGTGTTGTTTGCATTCAACTCACAGAGTTGAACGTTCCCTTAGACAGAGCAGATTTGAAACACTCTATTTGTGCAATTTGCAAGTGTAGATTTCAAGCGCTTTAAGGTCAATGGCAGAAAAGGAAATATCTTCGTTTCAAAACTAGACAGAATCATTCTCAGAAACTGCTCTGCGATGTGTGCGTTCAACTCTCAGAGTTTAACTTTTCTTTTCATTCAGCAGTTTGGAAACAGTCTGTTTGTAAAGTCTGCACATGGATAACTTGACCACTTAGAGGCCTTCGTTGGAAACGGGTTTTTTTCATGTAAGGCTAGACAGAAGAATTCTCAGTAACTTCCTTGTGTTGTGTGTATTCAACTCACAGAGTTGAACGATCCTTTACACAGAGCAGACTTGTAACACTCTTTTTGTGGAATTTGCAAGTGGAGATTTCAGCCACTTTGAAGTCAAAGGTAGAAAAGGAAATAACTTCCTATAAAAACTAGACAGAATGATTCTCAGAAAATCTTTTGTGATGTGTGCGTTCAACTCACAGAGTTTAACTTTTCTTCTCATAGAGCAGTTAGGAAACACTCTGTTTGTAAAGTCTGCAAGTGTATATTCAGACCTCTTTGAGGCCTTCGTTGGAAACGGGATTTCTTCATATTATGCTAGACAGAAGAATTCTCAGTAACTTCCTTGTGTTGTGTGTATTCAACTCACAGAGTTGAAGGATCCTTTACAGAGAGCAGGCTTGAAACACTCTTTTTGTCGAATTTGAAAGTGGAGATTTCAGCCGCTTTGAGGTCAATGGTAGAATAGGATATATCTTCTTATACAAACTAGACAGAATCATTCTCAGAAACTGCTCTGCGAAGTGTGCGTTCAACTCTCAGAGTTTAACTTATCTTTTCATTCAGCAGTTTGGAAACACTCTGTTTGTAAAGTCTGCACGTGGATAATTTGACCACTTAGAGGTCTTCGTTGGAAACGGGTTTTTTTCATGTAAGGCTAGACAGAAGAATTCCCAGTAATTTCCTTGTGTTGTGTACATTCAACTCACAGAGTTGAACGTTCCCTTAGACAGAGCAGACTTGTAACACTCTTTTTGTGGAATTTGCAAGTGGAGATTTCAGCCGCTTTAAAGTCAAAGGTAGAAAAGGAAATATCTTCCTATAAAAACTAGACAGAATCATTCCCACAAACTGCGTTGTGAAGTGTTCGTTCAACTCACAGAGTTTAACCTTTCTGTTCATAGAGCAGTTAGGAAACACTCTGTTTGTAAAGTCTGAAAGTGGATATTCTGACATCTTGTGGCCTTCGTTGGAAACGGGATTTCTGCATATTCTGCTAGACAGAAGACTTCTCAGTAACTTCCTTGTATTGTGTGTATTCAGCTCACAGAGTTGAACGATCCTTTACACAGAGCAGACCTGAAACACTCTTTTTGTGGAATTTGCAAGTGGAGATTTCAGCCGCTTTGAGGTCAATGGTAGAATAGGAAATATCTTCCTATAGAAACTAGACAGAATGATTCTCAGAAACTTCTTTGTGATGTGTGCGTTCAACTCACACAGTTTAACCTTTCTTTTCATAGAGCAGTTAGGAAACACTCTGTTTGTAAAGTCTGCAAGTGGATATTCAGACCTCCTTGAGGCCTTCGTTGGAAACGGGATTTCTTCATATTATGCTAGACAGAAGAATTCTCAGTAACTTCCTTGTGTTGTGTGTATTCAACTGACAGAGTTGAACTTTCATTTAGAGAGAGTAGATTTGTAACACTGTTTTTGTGGAATTTGCAAGTGGAGATTTCAAGCGCTTTGGGGCCAAAGGCAGAAAAGGAAATATCTTCGTATAAAAACTAGACAGAATCATTCTCAGAAACTGCTCTGCGATGTGTGCGTTCAACTCTCAGAGTTTAACTTTTCTTTTCATTCAGCAGTTTGGAAACACTCTGTTTGTAAAGTCTGCACGTGGATATTTTGACCACTTAGAGGCCTTCGTTGGAAACGGGTTTTTTTCCTGTAAGGCTAAAAAGAAGAATTCCCAGTAACTTCCTTGTGTTGTGTGCATTCAACTCACAGAGTTGAACGTTCCCTTAGACAGAGCAGATTTGAAACACTCTATTTGTGCAATTTGCAAGTGTAGATTTCAAGCGCTTTAAGGTCAACGGCAGAAAAGGAAATATCTTCGTTTCAAAACTAGACAGAATGATTCTCAGAAACTCCTTTGTGATGTGTACGTTCAACACACAGAGTTTAACTTTTCTTTTCATAGAGCAGTTAGGAAACACTCTGTTTGTAAAGTCTGCAAGTGGATATTCAGACCTCTTTGAGGCCTTCGTTGGAAACGGGATTTCTTCATATTATGCTAGACAGAAGAATTCTCAGTAACTTCCTTCTGTTGTGTGTATTCAACTCACAGAGTTGAACGATCCTTTACAGAGAGCAGACTTGAAACATTCTTTTTGTGGAATTTGCAAGTGGAGATTTCAGCCGCTTTGAGGTCAATTGTAGAAAAGGAAATATCTTCGTATAAAGACTAGACAGAATGATTCTCAGAAACTCCTTTGTGATGTGTGCGTTCAACTCACAGAGTTTAACCTTTCTTTTCATAGAGCAGTTAGGAAACACTCTGTAAAGTCTGCAAGTGGATATTCAGACCTCCTTGAGGCCTTCGTTGGAAACGGGATTTCTTCATATTCTGCTATACAGAAGAATTCCCAGTAACTTCCTTGTGTTGTGTGTGTTCAACTCACAGTGTTGAACTTTCATTTATACAGAGCAGATTGGAAACACTCTTTTTGTGGAATTTGCAAGTGGAGATTTCAAGCGCTTTGAGGCCAAAGGCAGAAAAGGAAATATCTTCGTATAAAAACTAGACAGAAATCATTCTCAGAAACTGCTGCGTGATGTGTGCGTTCAACTCTCAGAGTTTAACTTTTCTTTTCATTCAGCGGTTTGGAAACACTCTGTTTGTAAAGTCTGCATGTGGAAATTTTGACCACTTAGAGGCCTTCGTTGGAAACGGGTTTTTTTCATGTAAGGCTAGACAGAAGAATTCCCAGTAACTTCCTTGTGTTGTGTGCATTCAAGTCACAGAGTTGAACGTTCCCTTAGACAGAGCAGATTTGAAACACTCTATTTGTGCAATTTGCAAGTGTAGATTTCAAGCGCTTTAAGGTCAACGGCAGAAAAGGAAATATCTTCGTTTCAAAACTAGACAGAATCATTCCCACAAACCGCGTTGTGATGTGTTCGTTCAACTCACAGAGTTTAACCTTTCTGTTCATAGAGCAGTTAGGAAACACTCTGTTTGTAAAGTCTGCCAGTGGATATTCAGACCTCCTTGAGGCCTTCGTTGGAAACGGGATTTCTTCATATTCTGCTAGACAGAAGAATTCTCAGTAACTTCCTTGTGTTATGTGTATTCAACTCACAGAGTTGAACGATCCTTTACACAGAGCACACTTGAAACACTCTATTTGTAGAATTTGCAAGTGGAGATTTCAGCCGCTTTGAGGTCAATAGTAGAAAAGGAAATATCTTCGTAGAAAAACTAGACAGAATGATTCTCAGAAACTCCTTTGTGATGTGTGTGTTCAACTCACAGAGTTCAACCTTTCTTTTCATAGAGCAGTTAGTAAACACTCTGTTTATAAAGTCTGCAAGTGGATATTCAGACCCCTTTGAGGCCTTCGTTGGAAACGGGATTTCTTCATATTATGCTAGACAGAAGAATTCTCAGTAACTTCTTTGTGTTGTGTGTATTCAACTGACAGATTTGAACTTTCATTTAGAGAGAGCAGATTTGAAACACTGTTTTTGTGGAATTTGCAAGTGGAGATTTCAAGCGCTTTGGGGCCAAAGTCAGAAAAGGAAATATTCTTCGTATAAAAACTAGACAGAATCATTCTCAGAAACTGCTCTGCGATGTGTCTGTTCAAAGCTCAGAGTTTAACTTTTCTTTTCATTCAGCAGTTTGGAAACACTCTGTTTGTAAAATCTGCACGTGGATAACTTGACCACTTAGAGGCCTTCGTTGGAAACGGGTTTTTTTCATGTAAGGCTAGACAGAAGAATTCCCAGTAACTTCCTTCTGTTGTGTACATTCAACTCACAGAGTTGAACGTTCCCTTAGACAGAGCAGATTTGAAACACTCTTTTTGTGCAATTGGCAAATGGAGATTTCAAGCGCTTTAAGGTCAATGGCAGAAAAGGAAATATCTTCGTTTCAAAACTAGACAGAATGATTCTCAGAAACTTCTTTGTGATGTGTGCGTCCAACTCACAGAGTTTAACCTTTCTTTTCATAGAGCAGTTAGGAAACACTCTGTTTGTAAAGTCTGCAAGTGGATAATCAGACCTCTTTGAGGCCTTCGTTGGAAACGGGATTTCTTCATACTATGCTAGACAGAAGAATTCTCAGTAACTTCCTTGTGTTGTGTGTATTCAACTCACAGAGTTGAACGATCCTTTACACAGAGCAGACTTGTAACACTCTTTTTGTGGAATTTGCAAGTGGAGATTTCAGCCGCTTTGAAGTCAAAGTTAGAAAAGGAAATATCTTCCTATAAAAACTAGACAGAATGATTCTCAGAAACTCCTTTGTGATGGGTGCTTTCAACTCACAGAGTTTAACCTTTCTTTTCATAGAGCAGTTAGGAAACACTCTGTTTGTAAAGTCTGCAAGTGGATATTCAGACCTCTTAGAGGCCTTCGTTGGAAACGGGATTTCTTCATATTATGCTAGACAGAAGAATTCTCAGTAACTTCCCTTGTGTTGTGTGTATTCAACTGACAGAGTTGAACTTTCATTTAGAGAGAGTAGTTTTGAAACACTGTTTTTGTGGAATTTGCAAGTGGAGATTTCAAGCGCTTTGGGGCCAAAGGCAGAAAAGGAAATATCTTCGTATAAAAACTAGACAGAATCATTCTCAGAAACTGCTGCGTGATGTGTGCGTTCAACTCTCAGAGTTTAACTTTTCTTTTCATTCAGCGGTTTGGAAACACTCTGTTTGTAAAGTCTGCACGTGGAAATTTTGACCACTTAGAGGCCTTCGTTGGAAACGGGTTTTTTTCATGTAAGGCTAGACAGAAGAATTCCCAGTAACTTCCTTGTGTTGTGTGCATTCAACTCACAGAGTTGAACGTTCCCTTAGACAGAGCAGATTTGAAACACTCTATTTGTGCAATTTGCAAGTGTAGATTTCAAGCGCTTTAAGGTCAAAGGCAGAAAAGGAAATATCTTCGTTTCAAAACTAGACAGAATCATTCCCACAAACTGCGTTGTGATGTGTTCGTTCAACTCACAGAGTTTAACCTTTCTGTTCATAGAGCAGTTAGGAAACACTCTGTTTGTAAAGTCTGTAAGTGGATATTCTGACATCTTGTGGCCTTCGTTGGAAACGGGATTTCTTCATATTTCGCTAGACAGAAGAATTCTCAGTAACTTCCTTGTGTTGTGTGTATTCAACTCACAGAGTTGAACGATCCTTTACACTGAGCAGACTTGAAACATTCTTTTTGTGGAATTTGCAAGTGGAGATTTCAGCCGCTTTGAGGTCAATGGTAGAATAGGAAATATCTTCCTATAGAAACTAGACAGAACGATTCTCAGAAACTCCTTTGTGATGTGTGTGTTCAACTCACAGAGTTTAACCTTTCTTTTCATAGAGCAGTTAGGAAACACTCTGTTTGTAAAGTCTGCAAGTGGATATTCAGACCTCTTTGAGGCCTTCGTTGGAAACGGGATTTCTTCATATTCTGCTAGACAGAAGAATTCTCAGTAACTTCCTTGTGTTGTGTTTATTCAACTGACAGAGTTGAACTTTCATTTAGAGAGAGCAGATTTGAAACACTGTTTTTGTGGAATTTGCAAGTGGAGATTTCAAGCGCTTTGGGGCCAAAGGCAGAAAACGAAATATCTTCGTATAAAAACTAGACAGAATCATTCTCAGAAACTGCTGCGTGATGTGTGCGTTCAACTCTCAGAGTTTAACTTTTCTTTTCATTCAGCGGTTTGGAAACACTCTGTTTGTAAAGTCTGCACGTGGATATTTTGACCACTTAGAGGCCTTCGTTGGAAACGGGTTTTTTGCATGTAAGGCTAGACAGAAAGAATTCCCAGTAACTTCCTTGTGTTGTGTGCATTCAACTCACAGAGTTGAACGTTCCCTTAGACAGAGCAGATTTGAAACACTCTATTTGTGCAATTTGCAAGTGTAGATTTCAAGCGCTTTAAAGTCAATGGCAGAAAAGGAAATATCTTCGTTTCAAAACTAGACAGAATGATTCTCAGAAACTCCTTTGTGATGTGTGTGTTCAACTCACAGAGTTTAACTTTCCTTTTCATAGAGCAGTTAGGAAACACTCTGTTTGTAAAGTCTGCAAGTGGATATTCAGACCTCTTTGAGGCCTTCGTTGGAAACGGGATTTCTTCATATTATGCTAGACAGAAGAATTCTCAGTAACTTCCTTGTGTTGTGTGTATTCAACTCACAGAGTTGAACGATCCTTTACACAGAGCAGACTTGAAACAGTCTTTTTGTGGAATTTGCAAGTGGAGATTTCAGCCGCTTTGAGGTCAATGGTAGAAAAGGAAATCTCTTCGTATAAAGACTAGACAGAATGATTCTCAGAAACTCCTTTGTGATGTGTGCGTTCAACTCACAGAGTTTAACCTTTCTTTTCATAGAGCAGTTAGGAAACACTCTGTTTGTAAAGTCTGCAAGTGGATATTCAGACCTCCTTGAGGCCTTCTTTGGAAACGGGATTTCTTCTTATTCTGCTAGGCAGAAGATTTCCCAGTAACTTCCTTGTGTTGTGTGTGTTCAACTCACAGAGTTGAACTTTCATTTACACAGAGCAGATTTGGAACACTCTTTTTGTGGAATTTGCAAATGGAGATTTCAAGCGCTTTGAGGCCAAAGGCAGAAAAGGAAATATCTTCGTATAAAAACTAGACAGAATCATTCTCAGAAACTGCTGCGTGATGTGTGCGTTCAACTCTCAGAGTTTAACTTTTCTTTTCATTCAGCGCTTTGGAAACACTCTGTTTGTAAAGTCTGCACGTGGAAATTTTGACCACTTAGAGGCCTTCGGTTGGAAACGGGTTTTTTTCATGTAAGGCTAGACAGAAGAATTCCCAGTAACTTCCTTGTGTTGTGTGCATTCAACTCACAGAGTTGAACGTTCCCTTAGACAGAGCAGATTTGAAACACTCTATTTGTGCAATTTGCAAGTGTAGATTTCAAGCGCTTTAAGGTCAATGGCAGAAAAGGAAATATCTTCGTTTCAAAACTAGGCAGAATCATTCCCACAAACTGCGTTGTGATGTGTTTGTTCAACTCACAGAGTTTAACCTTTCTTTTCATAGAGCAGTTAGGAAACAGTCTGTTTGTAAATTCTGTAAGTGGATATTCTGACATCTTGTGGCCTTCGTTGGAAACGGGATTACTTCATATTCTGCTAGACAGAAGAATTCTCAGTAACTTCCTTGTGTTTTGTGTATTCAACTCACAGAGTTGAACGATCATTTACACAAAGCAGACTTGAAACACACTTTTTGTGGAATTTGCAAGTGGAGATTTAAGCCGCTTTGAGGTCAATGGTAGAATAGGAAATATCTTCCTATAGAAACTAGACAGAATGATTCTCAGAAACTCCTTTGTGATGTGTGCGTTCAACTCACAGAGTTCAACCTTTCTTTTCATAGAGCAGTTGGGAAACACTCTGTTTGTAAAGTCTGCAAGTGGATATTCAGACTTCTTTGAGGTCTTCGTTGGAAGCGGGATTTCTTCATATTCTGCTAGACAGAAGAATTCTCAGTAACTTCCTTGTGTTGTGTGTATTCAACTGACAGAGTTGAACTTTCATTTAGAGAGAGTAGATTTGAAACACTGTTTTTGTGGAATTTGCAAGTGGAGATTTCAAGCGCTTTGGGGCCAAAGGCAGAAAAGGAAATATCTTCATATAAAAACTAGACAGAATCATTCTCAGAAAACTGCTGCGTGATGTGTGCGTTCAACTCTCAGAGTTTAACTTTTCTTTTCATTCAGCGGTTTGGAAACACTCTGTTTGTAAAGTCTGCACGTGGAAATTTTGACCACTTAGAGGCCTTCGTTGGAAACGGGTTTTTTTCATGTAAGGCTAGACAGAAGATTTCCCAGTAAATTCCTTGTGTTGTGTACATTCAACTCACAGAGTTGAACGTTCCCTTAGACAGAGCAGATTTGAAACACTCTTTTTGTGCAATTGGCAAGTGGAGATTTCAAGCGCTTTAAGGTCAATGGCAGAAAAGGAAATATCTTCGTTTCAAAACTAGACAGAATCATTCCCACAAACTGCGTTGTGATGTTTTCGTTCAACTCACAGAGTTTAACCTTTCCGTTCATAGAGCAGTTAGGAAACACACTGTTTGTAAAGTCTGTAAGTGGATATTCTGACATCTTGTGGCCTTCGTTGGAAACGGGATTTCTTTATATTCTGCTAGACAGAAGAATTCTCAGAAACTTCCTTGTGTTGTGTGTTTTCAACTCACAGTGTTGAACGATCCTTTACACAGAGCAGACTTGAAACACTCTTTTTGTGGGATTTGCAAGTGGAGATTTCAGCCGCTTTGAGGTCTATGGTAGAAAAGGAAATATCTTCGTATAAAAACTAGACAGAATGATTCTCAGAAACTCCTTTGTAATGTGTGCGTTCAACTCACAGAGTTTAACGTTTCTTTTCATAGAGCAGTTAGGAAACACTCTGTTTGTAAAGTCTGCAAGTGGATATTCAGACCTCTTTGAGGCCTTCGTTGGAAACGGGTTTTTTTCATATAAGGCTAGACAGAAGAATTCTCAGTAACTTCCTTGTGTTGTGTGTATTCAGCTGACAGAGTTGAACTTTCATTTAGAGAGAGCAGATTTGAAACACTGTTTTTGTGTAATTTGCAATTGGAGATTTCAAGCGCTTTGGGGCCAAAGGCAGAAAAGGAAATATCTTCGTATAAAAACTAGACAGAATCATTCTCAGAAACTGCTGCGTGATGTGTGCGTTCAACTCTCAGAGTTTAACCTTTCTTTTCATTCAGCGGTTTGGAAACACTCTGTTTGTAAAGTCTGCACGTGGATATTTTGACCACTTAGAGGCCTTCGTTGGAAACGGGTTTTTTTCATGTAAGGCTAGACAGAAGAATTCCCAGTAACTTCCTTGTGTTGTGTACATTCAACTCACAGAGTTGAACTGTTCCCTTAGACAGAGCAGATTTGAAACACTCTTTTTGTGCAATTGGCAAATGGAGATTTCAAGCGCTTTAAGGTCAATGGCAGAAAAGGAAATATCTTCGTTTCAAAACTAGACAGAATCATTCTCAGAAACTGCTCTGCGATGTGTGCGTTGAACTCTCAGAGTTTAACTTTTCTTTTCATTCAGCAGTTTGGAAACACTCTGTTTGTGAAGTCTGCACGTGGATATTTTGACCATTTAGAGGCCTTCGTTGGAAACGGGTTTTTTTCCTGTAAGGCTAGACAGAAGAATTCCCAGTAACTTCCTTGTGTTGTGTACATTCAACTCACAGAGTTGAACGTTCCCTTAGACAGAGCAGACTTGTAACACTCTTTTTGTGGAATTTGCAAGTGGAGATTTCAGCCGCTTTCAAGTCAAAGGTAGAAAAGGAAATATCTTCCTATAAAAACTAGACAGAATGATTCTCAGAAACTCCTTTGAGATGTGTGCGCTCAACTCACAGAGTTTAACCTTTCGTTTCATAGAGCAGTTAGGAAACACTCTGTTTGTAAAGTCTGCAAGTGGATATTCAGACCTCTTTGAGGCCTTCGTTGGAAACGGGTTTTTTTCAAATAAGGCTAGACAGAAGAATTCTCAGTAACTTCCTTGTGTTGTGTGTATTCAACTGACAGAGTTGAACTTTCATTTAGAGAGAGCAGATTTGAAACACTGTTTTTGTGGAATTTGCAAATGGAGATTTCAAGCGCTTTGGGGCCAAAGGCAGAAAAGGAAATATCTTCGTATAAAAACTAGACAGAATCATTCTCAGAAACTGCTCTGCGATGTGTGCGTTCAACTCTCAGAGTTTAACTTTTCTTTTCATTCAGCAGTTTGGAAACACTCTGTTTGTAAAGTCTGCACGTGGATATTTTGACCACTTAGAGGCCTTCGTTGGAAACGGGTTATTTTCCTGTAAGGCTAGACAGAAGAATTCCCAGTAACTTCCTTGTGTTGTGTGCATTCAACTCACAGAGTTGAACGTTCCCTTAGACAGAGCAGATTTGAAACACTCTATTTGTGCAATTTGCAAGTGTAGATTTCAGGCGCTTTAAGGTCAACGGCAGAAAAGGAAATATCTTCGTTTCAAAACTAGACAGAATGATTCTCAGAAACTCCTGTGTGAAGTGTGTGTTCAACTCACAGAGTTTAACCTTTCTATTCATAGAGTAGTTAGGAAACACTCTGTTTGTAAAGTCTGCAAGTGGATATTTTGACCTCTTTGAGGCCTTCGTTGGAAACGGGTTTTTTTCATGTAAGGCTAGACAGAAGAATTCTCAGTAACTTTCCTTGTGTTGTGTGTATTCAACTCACAGAGTTGAACGATCCTTTACACAGAGCAGACTTGTAACACTCTTTTTGTGGAATTTGCAAGGGGAGATTTCAGCCGCTTTGAAGTCAAAGGTAGAAAAGGAAATATCTTCCTATAAAAACTAGACAGAATGATTCTCACAAACTCCTTTGTGATGTGTGCGTTCAACTCACAGAGTTTAACCTTTCTTTTCATAGAGCAGTTAGGAAACACTCTGTTTGTAAAGTCTGCAAGTGGATATTCAGACCTCCTTGAGGCCTTCGTTGGAAACGGGATTTCTTCATATTCTGCTAGACAGAAGAATTCCCAGTAACTTCCTTGTGTTGTGTGTGTTCAACTCACAGAGTTGAACTTTGATTTACACAGAGCAGATTTGAAACACTCTTTTTGTGGAATTTGCAAGTAGAGATTTCAAGCGCTTTGAGGCCAAAGGCAGAAAAGGAAATATCTTCGTATAAAAACTAGACAGAATCATTCTCAGAAACTGCTCTGCGATGTGTGCGTTCAACTCTCAGAGTTTAACTTTTCTTTTCATTCAGCAGTTTGGAAACACTCTGTTTGTAAAGTCTGCACGTGGATATTTTGACCACTTAGAGGCCTTCGTTGGAAACGGGTTTTTTTCCTGTAAGGCTAGATAGAAGAATTCCCAGTAACTTCCTTGTGTTGTGTACATTCAACTCACAGAGTTGAACGTTCCCTTAGACAGAGCAGATTTGAAACACTCTTTTTGTGCAATTAGCAAGTGGAGATTTCAAGCGCTTTAAGGTCAATGGCAGAAAAGGAAATATCTTACTTTCAAAACTAGACAGAATGATTCTCAGAAACTCCTTTGTGATGTGTGCGTTCAACTCAAAGAGTTTAACTTTTCTTTTCACAGAGCAGTTAGGAAACACTCTGTTTGTAAAGTCTGCAAGTGGATATTCAGACCTATTTGAGGCCTTCGTTGGAAACGGGATTTCTTCATATTATGCTAGACAGAAGAATTCTCAGTAACTTCCTTGTGTTGTGTGTATTCAAATCACAGAGTTGAACGATCCTTTACACAGAGCAGACTTGAAACATTCTTTTTGTGGAATTTGCAAGTGGAGATTTCAGCCGCTTTGAGGTCAATGGTAGAATAGGAAATATCTTCCTATAGAAACTAGACAGAATGATTCTCAGAAACTCCTTTGTGATGTGTGCGTTCAACTCACAGAGTTTAACCTTTCTTTTCATAGAGCAGTTAGGAAACAATCTGTTTGTAAAGTCTGCAAGTGGATATTCAGACCTCTTTGAGGCCTTCGTTGGAAACGGGTTTTTTTCATATAAGGCTAGACAGAAGAATTCCCAGTAACTTCCTTGTGTTGTGTGTGTTCAACTCACAGAGTTGAACTTTCATTTACACAGAGCAGATTTGAAACACTCTTTTTGTGGAATTTGCAAGTGGGGATTTCAAGCGCTTTGAGGCCAAAGGCAGAAAAGGAAATATCTTCGTATAAAAACTAGACAGAATCATTCTCAGAAACCGCTCTGTGATGTGTGCGTTCAACTCTCAGAGTTTAACTTTTCTTTTCATTTAGCAGTTTGGAAACTCTCGGGTTGTAAAGTCTGCACGTGGATATTTTGAACACTTAGAGGCCTTCGTTGGAAACGGGTTTTTTTCATGTAAGGCTAGACAGAAAAATTCCCAGTAACTTCCTTGTGTTGTGTGCATTCAACTCACAGAGATGAACGTTCCCTTCGACAGAGCAGATTTGAAACACTCTATTTGTGCAATTTGCCAGTGTAGATTTCAAGCGCTTTAAGGTCAATGGCAGAAAAGGAAATATCTTCGTTTCAAAACTAGACAGAACGATTCTCAGAAACTCCTTTGTGATGTGTGCGTTCAACTCACAGAGTTTAACCTTTCTTTTCATAGAACAGTTAGGAAACACTCTGTTTGTAAAGTCTGCAAGTGGATATTCAGACCTCTATGAGGCCTTCGTTGGAAACGGGATTTCTTCATATTCTGCTAGACAGAAGAATTCTCAGTAACTTCCTTGTGTTGTGTGTATTCAACTCACAGAGTTGAACGATCCTTTACACAGAGCAGACTTGAAACACTCTTTTTGTGGAATTTGCAAGTGGAGGTTTCAGCCGCTTTGAGGTCAATAGTAGAAAAGGAAATATCTTCGTAGAAAAACTAGACAGAATGATTCTCAGAAACTCCTTTGGGATGTGTGCGTTCAACTCACAGAGTTTAACCTTTCTGTTCATAGAGCAGTTAGGAAACACTCTGTTTGTAAAGTCTGCAAGTGGATATTCAGACCTCCTTGAGGCCTTCGGTGGAAACGGGATTTCTTCATATTCTGCTAGACAGAAGAATTCCCAGTAACTTCCTTGTGTTGTGTGTGTTCAACTCACAGAGTTGAACTTTCATTTACACAGAGCAGATTTGAAACACTCTTTTTGTGGAATATGCAAGTGGAGATTTCAAGCGCTTTGAGGCCAAAGGCAGAAAAGGAAATATCTTCGTTTCAAAACTAGACAGAATCATTCTCAGAAACTGCTCTGCGATGTGTGCGTTCAACTCTCAGAGTTTAACTTTTCTTTTCATTCAGCAGTTTGGAAACACTCTGTTTGTAAAGTCTGCACGTGGATAATTTGACCACTTAGAGGCCTTCGTTGGAAACGGTTTTTTTCATGTAAGGCTAGACAGAAGAATTCTCAGTAACTTCCTTGTGTTGTGTGTATTCAACTCACAGAGTTGAACGATCCTTTACACAGAGCAGACTTGTAACACTCTTTTTGTGGAATTTACAAGTGGAGATTTCAGCCGCTTTGAAGTCAAAGGTAGAAAAGGAAATATCTTCCTATAAAAACTAGACAGAATCATTCCCACAAACTGCGTTGTGATGTGTTCGTTCAACTCACAGAGTTTAACCTTTCTTTTCATAGAGCAGTTAGGAAACAGTCTGTTTGTCAATTCTGTAAGTGGATATTCTGACATCTTGTGGCCTTCGTTGGAAACAGGATTTCTTCATATTCTGCTAGACAGAAAGAATTCTCAGTAACTTCCTTGTGTTGTGTGTATTCAACTCACAGAGTTGAACGATCCTTTACACAGAGCAGACTTGAAACACTCTTTTTGTGGAATTTGCAAGTGGAGATTTCAGCCGCTTTGAGGTCAATAGTAGAAAAGGAAATATCTTCGTAGAAAAACTAGACAGATGATTCTCAGAAACTCCTTTGTGATGTGTGCGTTCAACTCACAGAGTTTAACCTTTCTTTTCATAGAGCAGTTAGGAAACACTCTGTTTGTAAACTCTGCAAGTGGATATTCAGACCTCTTTGAGGCCTTCGTTGGAAACGGGTTTTCTTCATATTATGCCTGACAGAAGAATTCCCAGTAACTTCCTTGTGTTGTGTGTGTTCAACTCACAGAGTTGAACTCTCATTTACACAGAGCAGATTTGAAACACTCTTTTTGTGGAATTTGCAAGTGGAGATTTCAAGCGCTTTGAGGCCAAAGACAGAAAAGGAAATATCTTCGTATAAAAACTAGACAGAATCATTCTCAGAAACTGCTCTGCGATGTGTGCGTTCAACTCTCAGAGTTTAACTTTTCTTTTCATTCAGCAGTTTGGAAACACTCTGTTTGTAAAGTCTGCACGTGGATATTTTGACCACTTAGAGGCCTTCGTTGGAAACGGGTTTTTTTCCTGTAAGGCTAGTCAGAAGATTTCCCAGTAACTTCCTTGTGTTGTGTACATTCAACTCACAGAGTTGAACGTTCCCTTAGACAGAGCAGATTTGAAACACTCTTTTTGTGCAATTGGCAAATGGAGATTTCAAGCGCTTTAAGGTCAATGGCAGAAAAGGAAATATCTTCGTTTCAAAACTAGACAGATTCATTCCCACAAACTGCGTTGTGATGTGTTCGTTCAACTCACAGAGTTTAACCTTTCTGTTCATAGAGCAGTTAGGAAACACTCTGTTTGTAAAGTCTGCCAGTGGATATTCAGACCTCCTTGAGGCCTTCGTTGGAAACGGGATTTCTTCATATTCTGCTAGAAAGAAGAATTCTCAGTAACTTCCTTGTGTTGTGTGTATTCAACTCACAGAATTGAACGATCCTTTACACAGAGCAGACTTGAAACATTCTTTTTGTGGTATTTGCAAGTGGAGATTTCAGCCGCTTTGAGGTCAATGGTAGAATAGGAAATATCTTCCTATAGAAACTAGACAGAATGATTCTCAGAAACTCCTTTGTGATGTGTGCGTTCAACTCACAGAGTTTAACCTTTCTTTTCATAGAGCAGTTAGGAAACACTCTGTTTGTAAACTCTGCAAGTGGATATTCAGACCTCTTTGAGGCCTTCGTTGGAAACGGGATTTCTTCATACTGTGCTAGACAGAAGAATTCTCAGTAACTTCCTTGTGTTGTGTGTATTCAACTCACAGAGTTGAACGATCCTTTACACAGAGCAGACTTGAAACACTCTTCTTGTGGAATTTGCAAGTGGAGATTTCAGCCGCGTTGAGGTCAATGGTAGAAAAGGAAATATCTTCGTATAAAAACTAGACAGAATCATTCTCAGAAACTGCTCTGTGATGTGTGCGTTCAACTCTCAGAGTTTAACTTTTCTTTTCATTCAGCAGTTTGGAAACACTCTGTTTGTAAAGTCTGCACGTGGATATTTTGACCACTTAGAGGCCTTCGTTGGAAACGGGTTTTTTCATGTAAGGCTAGACAGAAGAATTCCCAGTAACTTCCTTGTGTTGTGTACATTCAACTCACAGAGTTGAACGTTCCCTTAGACAGAGCAGATTTGAAACACTCTTTTTGTGCAATTGGAAAGTGGAGATTTCAAGCGCTTTAAGGTCAATGGCAGAAAAGGAAATATCTCCGTTTCAAAACTAGACAGAATCATTCCCACAAGCTGCGTTGTGATGTGTTCGTTCATCTCACAGAGTTTAACGTTTCTTTTCATAGAGCAGTTAGGAAACAGTCTGTTTGCAAATTCTATAAGTGGATATTCTGACATCTTGTGGCCTTCGTTGGAAACGGGATTTCTTCATATTCTGCTAGACAGAAGAATTCTCAGTAACTTCCTTGTGTTGTGTGTATTCAACTCACACAGTTGAACGATCCTTTACACAGAGCAGACTTGAAACACTCTTTTTGTGGAATTTGCAAGTGGAGATTTCAGCCGCTTTGAGGTCAACAGTAGAAAAGGAAATATCTTCGTAGAAAAACTAGACAGAATGATTCTCAGAAACTCCTTTGTGATGTGTGCGTTCAACTCACAGAGTTTAACCTTTCTTTTCATAGATCAGTTAGGAAACACTCTGTTTGTAAAGTCTGCAAGTGAATATTCAGACATCCTTGAGGCTTTCGTTGGAAACGGGATTTCTTCATATTCTGCTAGAAAGAAGAATTCCCAGTAACTTCCTTGTGTTGTGTGTGTTCAACTCACAGAGTTGAACTTTCATTTACACAGAGCAGATTTGAAACAGTCTTTTTGTGGAATTTGCAAATGGAGATTTCAAGCGCTTTGAGGTCAAAGGCAGAAAAGGAAATATCTTCGTATAAAAACTAGACAGAATCATTCTCAGAAACTGCTGCGTGATGTGTGCGTTCAACTCTCAGAGTTTAACTTTTCTTTTCATTCAGCGGTTTGGAAACACTCTGTTTGTAAAGTCTGCACGTGGATATTTTGTCCACTTAGAGGCCTTCGTTGGAAACGGGTTTTTTTCATGTAATTCTAGACAGAAGAATTCCCAGTAACTTCCTTGTGTTGTGTGCATTCAACTCACAGAGTTGAACGTTCCCTTAGACAGAGCAGATTTGAAACACTCTATTTGTGCAATTTGCAAGTGTAGTTTTCAAGCTCTTTAAGGTCAACGGCAGAAAAGGAAATATCTTCGTTTCAAAACTAGACAGAATCATTCCCACAAACTGCGTTGTGATGTGTTCGTTCAACTCACAGAGTTTAACCTTTCTGTTCATAGAGCAGTTAGGAAACACTCTGTTTGTAAAGTCTGCAAGTGGATATTCAGACCTCTTTGTGGCCTTCGTTGGAAACGGGATTTCTTCATATTATGCTAGACAGAAGAATTCTCAGTAACTTCCTTGTGTTGTGTGTATTCAACTCACAGAGTTGAACGATCCTTTACACAGAGCAGACTTGTAACACTCTTTTTGTGGAATTTGCAAGTGGAGATTTCAGCCGCTTTGAAGTCAAAGGTAGAAAAGGAAATATCTTCCTATAAAACTAGACAGAATGATTCTCAGAAACTCCTTTGTGATGTGTGCGTTCAACTCACACAGTTTAACCTTCCTTTTCATAGAGCAGTTAGGAAACACTCTGTTTGTAAAGTCTGCAAGTGGATATTCAGACCTCTTTGAGGCCTTCGTTGGAAACGGGTTTTTTTCATATAAGGCTAGACAGAAGAATTCTCCGTAACTTCCTTGTGTTGTGTGTATTCAACTGACAGAGTTGAACTTTCATTTAGAGAGATCAGATTTGAAACACTCTATTTGTGCAATTTGCAAGTGTAGATTTCAAGCGCATTAAGGTCAATGGCAGAAAAGGAAATATCTTCGATTCAAAACTAGACAGAATCATTCTCAGAAACTGCTCTGCGATGTGTGCGTTCAACTCTCAGGGTTTAACTTTTCTTTTCATTCAGCAGTTTGGAAACACTCTGTTTGTAAAGTCTGCACGTGGATATTTTGACCACTTAGAGGCCTTCGTTGGAAACGGGTTTTCTTCCTGTAAGGCTAGACAGAAGAATTCTCAGTAACTTCCTTGTGTTGTGTACATTCAACTCACAAGAGTTGAACGTTCCCTTAGACAGAGCAGATTTGAAACACTCTTTTTGTGCAATTGGCAAGTGGTGATTTCAGCCGCTTTGAGGTCAATGGTAGAAAAGGAAATATCTTCGTATAAAAACTAGACAGAATCATTCCCAGAAACTGCGTTGTGATGTGTTCGTTCAACTCACAGAGTTTAACCTTTCTTTTCATAGAGCAGTTAGGAAACAGTCTGTTTGTCAATTCTGTAAGTGGATATTCTGACATCTTGTGGCGTTCGTTGGAAACGGGATTTCTTCATATTCTGCTAGACAGAAGAATTCTCAGTAACTTCCTTGTGTTGTGTGTATTCAACTCACAGAGTTGAACGATCCTTTACACAGAGCAGACTTGAAACACTCTTTTTTTGGAATTTGCAAGTGGAGATTTCAGCCGCTTTGAGGTCAATGGTAGAAAAGGAAACTATCTTCATATAAAGACTAGACAGAATGATTCTCAGAAACTTCTTTGTGATGTGTGCGTTCAACTCACAGAGTTTAACCTTTCTTTTCATAGAGCAGTTAGGAAACACTCTGTTTGTAAAGTCTGCAAGTGGATATTCAGACCTCTTTGAGGCCTTCGTTGGAAACGGGATTTCTTCATACTATGCTAGACAGAAGAATTCTCAGTAACTTCCTTGTGTTGTGTGTATTCAACTCGCAGAGTTGAACGATCCTTTACACAGAGCAGACTTGTAACACTCTTTTTGTGGAATTTGCAAGTGGAGATTTCAGCCGCTTTGAAGTCAAAGGTAGAAAAGGAAATATCTTCCTATAAAAACTAGACAGAAATCATTCTCAGAAACTGCTGCGTGATGTGTGCGTTCAACTCTCAGAGTTTAACTTTTCTTTTCATTCAGCGGTTTGGAAACACTCTGTTTGTAAAGTCTGCACGTGGATATTTTGACCACTTAGAGGCCTTCCTTGGAAACGGGTTTTTTTCATGTAAGGCTAGACAGAAGAATTCCCAGTAACTTCCTTGTGTTGTGTGCATTCAACTCACAGAGTTGAACGTTCCCTTAGACAGAGCAGATTTGAAACACTCTATTTGTGCAATTTGCAAGTGTAGATTTCAAGCGCTTTAAGGTCAACGGCAGAAAAGGAAATATCTTCGTTTCAAAACTAGACAGAATGATTCTCAGAAACTCCTTTGTGATCTGTGCGTTCAACTCACAGAGTTTAACTTTTCTTTTCATAGAGCAGTTAGGAAACACTCTGTTTGTAAAGTCTGCAAGTGGATATTCAGAGCTCTTTGAGGCCTTCGTTGGAAACGGGATTTCTTCATATTCTGCTAGACAGAAGAATTCTCAGTAGCTTCCTTGTGTTGTGTGTATTCAACTCACAGAGTTGAACGATCCTTTACAGAGAGCAGACTTGAAACACTCTTTTTGTGGAATTTGCAAGTGGAGATTTCAGCCGCTTTGAGGTCAATGGTAGAATAGGAAATATCTTCCTATAGAAACTGGACAGAATGATTCTCAGAAACTCCTTTGTGATGTGGGCGTTCAACTCACAGAGTTTAACCTTTCTTTTCATAGAGCAGTTAGGAAACACTCTGTTTGTAAAGTCTGCACGTGGATATTTGGACTTCTTTGAGGCCTTCGTTGGAAACGGTTTTTTTTCATGTAAGGCTAGACAGAAGAATTCTCAGTAACTTTCCTTGTGTTGTGTGTATTCAACTGACAGAGTTGAACTTTCATTTAGAGAGAGCTGATTTGAAACACTGTTTTTGTGGAATTTGCAAGTGGAGATTTCAAGCGCTTTGGGGCCAAAGGCAGAAAAGGAAATATCTTTGTATAAAAACTAGACAGAAGCATTCTCAGAAACTGCTCTGCGATGTGTGCGTTCAACTCTCAGAGTTTAACTTTTCTTTTCATTCAGCAGTTTGGAAACACTCTGTTTGTAAAGTCTGCACGTGGATAATTTGACCACTTAGAGGCCTTCGTTGGAAACGGGTTTTTTTCATGTAAGGCTAGACAGAAGAATTCCCAGTAACTTCCTTGTGTTGTGTACATTCAACTCACAGAGTTGAACGTTCCCTTAGACAGAGCAGATTTGAAACACTCTTTTTGTGCAATTGGCAAGTGGAGATTTCAAGCGCTTTAAGGTCAATGGCAGAAAAGGAAATATCTTCGTTTCAAAACTAGACAGAATCATTCCCACAAACTGCGTTGTGATGTGTTCGTTCAACTCACAGAGTTTAACCTTTCTTTTCATAGAGCAGTTAGGAAACAGTCTGTTTGTCAATTCTGTAAGTGGATATTCAGACCTCTTTGAGGCCTTCGTTGGAAACGGGATTTCTTCATACTATGCTAGACAGAGGAATTCTCAGGAACTTCCTTGTGTTGTGTGTATTCAACTCACAGAGTTGAACGATCCTTTACACAGAGCAGACTTGAAACACTCTTTTGGTGGAATTTGCAAGTGGAGATTTCAGCCGCTTTGAGTTCAATGGTAGAATAGGAAATATCTTCCTATAGAAACTACACAGAATGATTCTCAGAAACTGCTTTGTGATGTGTGCGTTCAACTCACAGAGTTCAACCTTTCTTTTCATAGAGCAGTTGGGAAACACTCTGTTTGTAAAGTCTGCAAGTGGATATTCAGACTTCTTTGAGGCCTTCGTTGGAAGCGGGATTTCTTCATGTTCTGCTAGACAGAAGAATTCCCAGTAACTTCCTTGTGTTGTGTGTGTTCAACTCACAGAGTTGAACTTTCATTTACACAGAGCAGATTTGAAACACTCTTTTTGTGGAATTTGCAGGTGGAGATTTCAAGCGCTTTGAGGCCAAAGGCCGAAAAGGAAATATCTTCGTATAAAAACTAGACAGAATCATTCTCAGAAACTGCTCTGCGATGTGTGCGTTCAACTCTCAGAGTTTAACTTTGCTTTTCATTCAGCAGTTTGGAAACACTCTGTTTGTAAAGTCTGCACGTGGATAATTTGACCACTTAGAGGCCTTCGTTGGAAACGAGTTTTTTTCATGTAAGGTTAGACAGAAGAATTCTCAGTAACTTCCTTGTGTTGTGTACATTCAACTCACAAGAGTTGAACGTTCCCTTAGACAGAGCAGATTTGAAACACTCTTTTTGTGCAATTGGCAAGTGGTGATTTCAGCCGCTTTGAGGTCAATGGTAGAAAAGGAAATATCTTCGTATAAAAACTAGACAGAATGATTCTCAGAAACTCCTTTGTGATGTGTGCGTTCAACTCACAGAGTTCAACCTTTCTTTTCATAGAGCAGTTGGGAAACATTCTGTTTGTAAAGTCTGCAAGTGGATATTCAGACTTCTTTGAGGCCTTCGTTGGAAGCGGGATTTCTTCATATTCTGCTAGACAGAAGAATTCTCAGAAACTTCCTTGTGTTGTGTGTTTTCAACTCACAGAGTTGAACGATCCTTTACACAGAGCAGACTTGAAACACTCCTTTTGTGGAATTTGCAAGTGGAGATTTCAGCCGCTTTGAGGTCAATGGTAGAATAGGAAATATCTTCCTATAGAAACTAGACAGAATGATTCTCAGAAACTCCTTTGTGATGCGTGCGTTCAACTCACAGAGTTTAACTTTTCTTTTCATAGAGCAGTTAGGAAACACTCTGTTTGTAAAGGCTGCAAGTGGATATTCAGACCCCTTTGAGGCCTTCGTTGGAAACGGGATTTCTTCATATTATGCGAGACAGAAGAATTCTCAGTAACTTCCTTGTGTTGTGTGTATTCAACTCACAGAGTTAAACGATCCTTTACACAGAGCAGACTTGAAACACTCTTTTTGTGGAATTTGCAAGTGGAGATTTCAGCCGCTTTGAGGTCAATAGTAGAAAAGGAAATATCTTCGAAGAAAAACTAGACAGAATCATTCTCAGAAACTGCTCTGCGATGTGTGCGTTCAACTCTCAGAGTTTAACTTTTCTTTTCATTCAGCAGTTTGGAAACACTCTGTTTGTAAAGTCTGCACGTGGATATTTTGACCACTTAGAGGCCTTCGTTGGAAACGGGTTTCTTTCCTGTAAGGCTAGACAGAAGAATTCCCAGTAACTTCCTTGTGTTGTGCGCATTCAACTCACAGAGTTGAACGTTCCCTTAGACAGAGCAGATTTGAAACAGCCTATTTGTGCAATTTGCAAGTGTACATTTCAAGCACTTTAAGGTCAACGGCAGAAAAGGAAATATCTTCGTTTCAAAACTAGACAGAATGATTCTCAGAAACTCCTTTGTGATGTGTGCGTTCAACTCACAGAGTTTAACCTTTCTTTTCACAGAGCAGTTAGGAAACACTCTGTTTGTAAAGTCTGCAAGTAGATATTCAGACCTCTTTGAGGCCTTCGTTGGAAAAGGGATTTCTTCATATTATGCTAGACAGAAGAATTCTCAGAAACTTCCTTGTGTTGTATGTATTCAACTCACAGAGTTGAACGATCCTTTACACACAGCAGACTTGAAACACTCTTTTTGTGGAATTTGCAAGTGGAGATTTCAGCCGCTTTGTGTTCAATGGTAGAAAAGGAAATATCTTCGTATAAAAACTAGACAGAATGATTCTCAGAAACTCCTTTGTGATGTGTGCGTTCAACTCACAGAGTTTAACCTTTCTTTTCATAGAGCAGTTGGGAAACACTCTGTTTGTAATGTCTGCAAGTGGATATTCAGACATCCTTGAGGCTTTCGTTGGAAACGGGATTTCTTCATATTCTGCTAGAAAGAAGAATTCTCAGTAACTTCCTTGTGTTGTGTGTATTCAACTGACAGAGTTGAACTTTCATTTAGAGAGAGCAGATTTGAAACACTGTTTTTGTGGAATTTGCAAGTGGAGATTTCAAGCGCTTTGGGGCCAAAGGCCGAAAAGGAAATATCTTCGTATAAAAACTAGACAGAATCATTCTCAGAAACTGCTGCGTGATGTGTGCGTTCAACTCTCAGAGTTTAACTTTTCTTTTCATTCAGCGGTTTGGAAACACTCTGTTTGTAAAGTCTGCACGTGGATATTTTGACCACTTAGAGGCCTTCGTTGGAAACGGGTTTTTTTCATGTAAGGCTAGACAGAAGAATTCCCAGTAACTTCCTTGTGTTGTGTACATTCAACTCACAGAGTTGAACGTTCCCTTAGACAGAGCAGATTTGAAACACTCTTTTTGTGCAATTGGCAAGTGGAGATTTCAAGCGCTTTAAGGTCAATGGCAGAAAAGGAAATATCTTCGTTTCAAAACTAGAGAGAATGATTCTCATGAACTCCTTTGTGATGTGTGCGTTCAACTCACAGAGTTTAACCTTTGTTTTCATAGAGCAGTTAGGAAACACTCTGTTTGTAAAGTCTGCAAGTGGATATTCAGACCTCCTTGAGGCCTTCTTTGGAAAAGGGATTTCTTCATATTCTGCTAGACAGAAGAATTCTCAGTAACTTCCTTGTGTTGTGTGTATTCAACTCACAGAGTTGAATGATCCTTTACACAGAGCAGACTTGAAACACTCTTTTTGTGGAAATTGCAAGTGGAGATTTCAGCCGCTTTGAGGTCAATGGTAGAAAAGTAAATATCTTCGTATAAAGACTAGACAGAATGATTCTCAGAAACTCCTTTGTGATGTGTGCGTTCAACTCACAGAATTTAACATTTCTTTTCATAGAGCAGTTAGGAAACACTCTGTTTGTAAAGTCTGTAAGTGGATATTCAGACCTCTTTGAGGCCTTCGTTGGAAACGGGATTTCTTCGTATTCTGCTGGACAGAAGAATTCTCAGTAACTTCCCTTGTGTTGTGTGTATTCAACTGACAGAGTTGAACTTTCATTTAGAGAGAGCAGATTTGAAACACTGTTTTTGTGGAATTTGCAAGTGGAGATTTCAAGCGCTTCGGGGCCAAAGGCAGAAAAGGAAATATCTTCGTATAAAAACTAGACAGAATCATTCTCAGAAACTGCTGCGTGATGTGTGCGTTCAACTCTCAGAGTTTAACTTTTCTTTTCATTCAGCGGTTTGGAAACACTCTGTTTGTAAAGTCTGCACGTGGATATTTTGACCACTTAGAGGCCTTCTTTGGAAACGGGTTTTTTTCATATAAGGCTAGACAGAAGATTTCCCATTAAATTCCTTGTGTTGTGTACATTCAACTCACAGAGTTGAACGTTCCCTTAGACAGAGCAGATTTGAAACACTCTTTTTGTGCAATTGGCAAGTGGAGATTTCAAGCGCTTTAAGGTCAATGGCAGAAAAGGAAATATCTTCGTTTCAAAACTAGACAGAATCATTCCCACAAACTGCGTTGTGATGTGTTCGTTCAACTCACAGAGTTTAACCTTTCCGTTCATAGAGCGGTTAGGAAACACTCTGTTTGTAAAGTCTGTAAGTGGATATTCTGACATCTTCTGGCCTTCGTTGGAAACGGGATTTCTTCATATTCTGCTAGACAGAAGAATTCTCAAGTAACTTCCTTGTGTTGTGTGTATTCAACTCACAGAGTTGAACGATCCTTTACACAGAGCAGACTTGTAACACTCTTTTTGTGGAATTTGCAAGTGGAGATTTCAGCCGCTTTGAAGTCAAAGGTAGAAAAGGAAATATCTTCCTATAAAAACTAGACAGAATGATCCTCAGAAACTCCCTTGTGATGTGTGCGTTCAACTCACAGACTTTAAACTTTCTTTTCATAGAGCAGTTAGGAAACACTCTGTTTGTAAAGTCTGCAAGTGGATATTCAGACCTCCTTGAGGCCTTCGTTGGAAACGGGATTTCTTCATATTATGCTAGACAGAAGAATTCTCAGTAACTTCCTTGTGTTGTGTGTATTCAACTGACAGAGTTGAACTTTCATTTAGAGAGAGCAGATTTGAAACACTGTTTTTGTGGAATTTGCAAGTGGAGATTTCAAGCGCTTTGGGGCCAAAGGCAGAAAAGGAAATATCTTCGTATGAAAACTAGGCAGAATCATTCTCAGAAGCTGCTGCGTGATGTGTGCGTTCAACTCTCAGAGTTTAACTTTTCTTTTCATTCAGCGGTTTGGAAACACTCTGTTTGTGAAGTCTGCACGTGGATATTTTGACCACTTAGAGGCCTTCGTTGGAAACGGGTTTTTTGCATGTAAGGCTAGACAGAAGAATTCCCAGTAACTTCCTTGTGTTGTGTGCATTCAACTCACAGAGTTGAACGTTCCCTTAGACAGAGCAGATTTGAAACACTCTATTTGTGCAATTTGCAAGTGTAGATTTCAAGCGCTTTAAGGTCAATGGCAGAAAAGGAAATATCTTCGTTTGAAAAATAGACAGAATCATTCCCACAAACTGCGTTGTGATGTGTTCGTTCAACTCACAGAGTTTAACTTTTCTTTTCATAGAGCAGTTAGGAAACACTCTGTTTGTAAAGTCTGTAAGTGGATATTCAGACCTCTTTGAGGCCTTCGTTGGAAACGGGATTTATTCATATTCTGCTAGACAGAAGAATTCTCAGTAACTGCCTTGTGTTGTGTGTATTCAACTCACAGAGTTGAACGATCCTTTACACAGAGCAGACTTGAAACACTCTTTTTGTGGAATTTGCAAGGGGAGATTTCAGCCGCTTTGAGGTCAATGGTAGAATAGGAAATATCTTCCTATAGAAACTAGACAGAATGATTCTCAGAAACTCCTTTGTGATGTGTGCGTTCAACTCACAGAGTTTAACCTTTCTTTTCATAGAGCAGTTAGGAAACACTCTGTTTGTAAAGTCTGCAAGTGGATATTCAGACCTCTTTGAGGCCTTCGTTGGAAACGGGATTTCTTCATATAAAATCTAGACAGAAGAATTCCCAGTAACTTCCTTGTGTTGTGTGTGTTCAACTCACAGAGTTGAACTTTCATTTACACAGAGCAGATTTGAAACACTCTTTTTGTGGAATTCGCAAGTGGAGATTTCAAGCGCTTTGAGGCCAAAGGCAGAAAAGGAAATATCTTCGTTTCAAAACTAGACAGAATCATTCTCAGAAACTGCTGCGTGATGTGTGCGTTCAACTCTCAGAGTTTAACTTTTCTTTTCATTCAGCGGTTTTGAAACACTCTGTTTGTAAAGTCTGCACGTGGATATTTTGACCACTTAGAGGCCTTCGTTGGAAACGGGTTTTTTTCATGTAAGGCTAGACAGAAGAATTCCCAGTAACTTCCTTGTGTTGTGTGCATTCAACTCACAGAGTTGAACGTTTCCTTAGACAGAGCAGATTTGAAACAATCTATTTGTGCAATTTGCAAGTGTAGATTTCAAGCGCTTTAAGGTCAATGGCAGAAAAGGAAATATCTTCGTTTCAAAACTAGACAGAATCATTCCCACAAACTGCGTTGTGATGTGTGCGTTCAACTCAAAGAGTTTAACCTTTCTTTTCATAGAGCAGTTAGGAAACACTCTGATTGTAAAGTCTGCAAGTGGATATTCAGACCTCCTTGAGGCCTTCGTTGGAAACGGGATTTCTTCATATTCTGCTAGACAGAAGAATTCTCAGTAACTATCTTGTGTTGTGTGTATTCAACTCACAGAGTTCAACGATCCTTTACACAGAGCAGACTTGAAACACTCTTTTTGTGGAATTTGCAAGTGGAGATTTCAGCCGCTTTGAGGTCAATGGTAGAATAGGAAATATCTTCCCATAGAAACTAGACAGAATGATTCTCAGAAACTCCTTTGTGATGTGTGCGTTCAACTCACAGAGTTCAACCTTTGTTTTCCTAGAGCAGTTGGGAAACACTCTGTTTGTAAAGTCTGCAAGTGGATATTCAGACTTCTTTGAGGCCTTCGTTGGAAGCGGGATTTCTTCATGTTCTGCTGGACAGAAGAATTCCCACTAACTTCCTTGTGTTGTGTGTGTTCAACTCACAGAGTTGAACTTTCATTTACACAGAGCAGATTTGAAACACTCTTTTTGTGGAATTTGCAAGTGGAGATTTCAAGCGCTGTGAGGCCAAAGGCAGAAAAGGAAATATCTTCGTATAAAAACTAGACAGAATCATTCTCAGAAACTGCTCTGCGATGTGTGCGTTCAACTCTCAGAGTTTAACTTTTCTTTTCATTCAGCAGTTTGGAAACACTCTGTTTGTAAAGTCTGCACGTGGATATTTTGACCACTTAGAGGCCTTCGTTGGAAACGGGTTTTTTTCCTGTAAGGCATAGACAGTAGAATTCCCAGTAACTTCCTTGTGTTGTGTACATTCAACTCACAGAGTTGAACGTTCCCTTAGACAGAGCAGATTTGAAACACTCTTTGTGCAATTGGCAAGTGGAGATTTCAAGCGCTTTAAGGTCAATGGCAGAAAAGGAAATATCTTCGTTTCAAAACTAGACAGAATCATTCCCACAAACTGCGTTGTGATGTGTTCGTTCAACTCACAGCAGTTTAACCTTTCTGTTCATAGAGCAGTTAGGAAACACTCTGTTTGTAAAGTCTGTAAGTGGATATTCTGACATCTTGTGGCCTTCGTTGGAAACGGGATTTCTTCATTTTCTGCTAGACAGAAGAATTCTCAGTAACTGCCTTGTGTTGTGTGTATTCAACTCACAGAGTTGAACGATCCTTTACACAGAGCAGACTTGAAACAATCTTTTTGTGGAATTTGCAAGTGGAGATTTCAGCCACTTTGAGGTCAATGGTAGAATAGGAAATATCTTCCTATAGAAACTAGACAGAATGATTCTCAGAAACTCCTTTGTGATGTGTGTGTTCAACTCACAGAGTTTAACCTTTCTTTTCATAGAGCAGTTAGTAAACACTCCGTTTATAAAGTCTGCAAGTGGATATTCAGACCCCTTTGAGGCCTTCGTTGGAAACGGGATTTCTTCATATTATGCTAGACAGAAGAATTCCCAGTAACTTCCTTGTGTTGTGTGTGTTCAACTCACAGAGTTGAACTTTCATTTACACAGAGCAGATTTGAAACACTCTTTTTGTGGAATTTGCAGGTGGAGATTTCAAGCGCTTTGAGGCCAAAGGCAGAAAAGGAAATATCTTCGTATAAAAACTAGACAGAAATCATTCTCAGAAACTGCTCTGCGATGTGTGCGTTCAACTCTCAGAGTTTAACTTTTCTTTTCATTCAGCAGTTTGGAAACACTCTGTTTGTAAAGTCTGCACGTGGATAATTTGACCACTTAGAGGCCTTCGTTGGAAACGGGTTTTTTTCATGTAAGGCTAGACAGAAGAATTCCCAGTAACTTCCTTGTGTTGTGTACATTCAACTCACAGAGTTGAACGTTCCCTTAGACAGAGCAGATTTGAAACACTCTTTTTGTGCAATTGGCAAGTGGAGATTTCAAGCGCTTTAAGGTCAATGGCAGAAAAGGAAATATCTTCGTTTCAAAACTAGACAGAATGATTCTGAGAAACTCCTTTGTGATATGTGCGTTCAACTCACAGAGTTTAACCTTTCTTTTCATAGAGCAGTTAGGAAACACTCTGATTGTAAAGTCTGCAAGTGGATATTCAGACCTCCTTGAGGCCTTCGTTGGAAACGGGATTTCTTCCTATTATGCTAGACAGAAGAATTCTCAGTAACTTCCTTGTGTTGTGTGTATTCAACTCACAGAGTTGAATGATCCTTTACACAGAGCAGACTTGAAACACTCTTTTTGTGGAATTTGCAAGTGGAGATTTCAGCCGCTTTGAGTTCAATGGTAGAATAGGAAATATCTTCCTATAGAAACTAGACAGAATGATTCTCAGAAACTCCTTTGTGATGTGTGCGTTCAACTCACAGAGTTTAACCTTTCTTTTCATAGAGCAGTTAGGAAACACTCTGTGTGTAAAGTTTGCAAGTGGATATTCAGACCTCTTTGAGGCCTTCGTTGGAAACGGGTTTTTTTCATATAAGGTTAGACAGAAGAATTCTCAGTAACTTCCTTGTGTTGTGTGTATTCAACTCACAGAGTTGAATGATCCTTTACACAGAACAGACTTGAAACACTCTTTTTGTGGAATTTGCAAGTGCAGATTTCAGCCGCTTTGAGGTCAAGGGTAGAAAAGGAAATATCTTCGTACAAAAACTAGACAGAATCATTCTCAGAAACTGCTGCGTGATGTGTGCGTTCAACTCTCAGAGTTTAACTTTTCTTTTCATTCAGCGGTTTGGAAACACTCTGTTTGTAAAGTCTGCACGTGGAAATTTTGACCACTTAGAGGCCTTCGTTGGAAACGGGTTTTTTTCATGTAAGGCTAGACAGAAGAATTCCCAGTAACTTCCTTGTGTTGTGTGCATTCAACTCACAGAGTTGAACGTTCCCTTAGACAGAGAAGATTTGAAACACTCTATTTGTGCAATTTGCAAGTGTAGATTTCAAGCGCTTTAAGGTCAACGGCAGAAAAGGAAATATCTTCGTTTCAAAACTAGACAGAATCATTACCACAAACTGCGTTGTGATGTGTTCGTTCAACTCACAGAGTTTAACCTTTCTCTTCATAGAGCAGTTAGGAAACACTCTGTTTGTAAAGTCTGCAAGTGGATATTCAGACCTCCTTGAGGCCTTCGTTGGAAACGGGATTTCTTCATATTATGCTAGACAGAAGAATTCCTCAGTAACTTCCTTGTGTTGTGTGTATTCAACTCACAGAGTTGAATGATCCTTTACACAGAGCAGACTTGAAACACTCTTTTTGTGGAATTTGCAAGTGGAGATTTCAGCCGCTTTGAGGTCAATGGTAGAATAGGAAATAACTTCCTATAGAAACTAGACAGAATGATTCTCAGAAACTCCTTTGTGATGTGTGTGTTCAACTCACAGAGTTCAACCTTTCTTTTCATAGAGCAGTTGGGAAACACTCTGTTTGTAAAGTCTGCAAGTGGATATTCAGACCTCCTTGAGGCCTTCGTTGGAAACGGGATTTCTTCATATTATGCTAGACAGAAGAATTCTCAGTAACTTCCTTGTGTTGTGTGTATTCAACTGACAGAGTTGAACTTTCATTTGGAGAGAGCAGATTTGAAACACTGTTTTTGTGGAATTTGCAAGTGGAGATTTCAAGCGCTTTGGGGCCAAAGGCAGAAAAGGAAATATCTTCGTATAAAAACTAGACAGAATCATTCTCAGAAAATCCTCTGTGATGTGTGCTTTCAACTCTCAGAGTTTAACTTTTCTTTTCATTCAGCAGTTTGGAAACACTCTGTTTGTAAAGTCTGCACGTGGATATTTTGACCACTTAGAGGCCTTCGTTGGAAACGGGTTTTTTTCATGTAAGGGTAGACAGAAGAATTCCCAGTAACTTCCTTGTGTTGTGGGCATTCAACTCACAGAGTTGAACGTTCCCTTAGACAGAGCAGATTTGAAACACTCTATTTGTGTAATTTGCAAGTGTAGATTTCAAGCGCTTTAAGGTCAACGGCAGAAAAGGAAATATCTTCGTTTCAAAACTAGACAGAATCATTCCCACAAACGGCGTTGTGATGTGTTCGTTCAACTCACAGAGTTTAACCTTTCTGTTCATAGAGCAGTTAGGAAACACTCTGTTTGTAAAGTCTGTAAGTGGATATTCTGACATCTTGTGGCCTTCGTTGGAAACGGGATTTCTTCATATTCTGCTAGACAGAAGAATTCCCAGTAACTTCCTTGTGTTGTGTACATTCAACTCACAGAGTTGAACGTTCCCTTAGACAGAGCAGACTTGTAACACTCTTTTTGTGGAATTTGCAAGTGGAGATTTCAGCCGCTTTGAAGTCAAAGGTAGAAAAGGAAATATCTTCCTATAAAAACTAGACAGAATGATTCTCAGAAACTCCTTTGTGATGTGTGCGTTCAACTCACAGAGTTTAACTTTTCTTTTCATAGAGCCGTTAGGAAACACTCTGTTTGTAAAGTCTGCAAGTGGATATTCAGACCTCTTTGAGGCCTTCGTTGGAAACGGGATTTCTTCATTTTATGCTAGACAGAAGAATTCTCAGTAACTTCCTTGTGTTGTGTGTATTCAGCTGACAGAGTTGAACTTTCATTTAGAGAGAGCAGATTTGAAACACTGTTTTTGTGTAATTTGCAATTGGAGATTTCAAGCGCTTTGGGGCCAAACCCAGAAAAGGAAATATCTTCGTATAAAAACTAGACAGAATCATTCTCAGAAACTGCTCTGCGATGTGTGCTTTCAACTCTCAGAGTTTAACTTTTCTTTTCATTCAGCAGTTTGGAAACACTCTGTTTGTAACGTCTGCACGTGGATATTTTGACCACTTAGAGGCCTTCGTTGGAAACGGGTTTTTTTCCTGTAAGGCTAGACAGAAGAATTCCCAGTAACTTCCTTGTGTTGTGTACATTCAACTCACAGAGTTGAACGTTCCCTTAGACAGAGCAGATTTGAAACACTCTTTTTGTGCAATTGGCAAGTGGAGAATTCAAGCGCTTTAAGGTCAATGGCAGAAAAGGAAATATCTTCGTTTCAAAACTAGACAGAATGATTCTCAGAAACTCCTTTGTGATGTGTGCGTTCAACTCACAGAGTTTAACCTTTCTTTTCATAGAGCAGTTAGGAAACACTCTGTTTGTAAAGTCTGCAAGTGGATATTCAGACCTCCTTGAGGCCTTCGTTGGAAACGGGATTTCCTCATATTATGCTAGACAGAAGAATTCCCAGTAACTTCCTTGTGTTGTGTGTATTCAACTCACAGAGTTGAACGATCCTTTACACAGAGCAGACTTGAAACACTCTTTTTGTGGAATCTGCAAGTGGAGATTTCAGCCGCTTTGAGGTCAATGGTAGAATAGGAAATATCTTCCTATAGAAACTAGATAGAATGATTCTCAGAAACTCCTTTGTGATATGTGTGTTCAACTCACAGATTTTAACCTTTCTTTTCATAGAGCAGTTAGTAAACACTCTGTTTATAAAGTCTGCAAGTGGATATTCAGACCCCTTTGAGGCCTTCGTTGGAAACGGGATTTCTTCATATTCTGCTAGACAGAAGAATTCTCAGTAACTTTCCTTGTGTTGTGTGTATTCAACTGACAGAGTTGAACTTTCATTTAGAGAGAGCAGATTTGAAACACTGTTTTTGTGGAATTTGCCAGTGGAGATTTCAAGCGCATTGGGGCCAAAGGCAGAAAAGGAAATATCTTCGTATAAAAACTAGACAGAATCATTCTCAGAAACTGCTCTGCGATGTGTGCATTCAACTCTCAGAGTTTAATTTTTCTTTTCATTCAGCAGTTTGGAAACACTCTCTTTGTAAAGTCTGCACGTGGATATTTTGACCACTTAGAGGCCTTCGTTGGAAACGGGTTTTATTCCTGTAAGGCTAGACAGAAGAATTCCCAGTAACTTCCTTGTGTTGTGTACATTCAACTCACAGAGTTGAACGTTCCCTTAGACAGAGCAGATTTGAAACACTCTTTTTGTGCAATTGGCAAGTGGAGATTTCAAGCGCTTTAAGGTCAATGGCAGAAAAGGAAATATCTTCGTTTCAAAACCAGACAGAATCATTCCCAAAAACTGCGTTGTGATGTGTGCGTTCAACTAACAGAGTTTAACCTTTCTTTTCATAGAGCAGTTAGGAAACACTCTGTTTGTAAACTCTGCAAGTGGATATTCAGACCTCTTTGAGGCCTTCGTTGGAAACGGGATTTCTTCATACTGTGCTAGACAGAAGAATTCTCAGTAACTTCCTTGTGTTGTGTGTATTCAACTCACAGAGTTGAACGATCCTTTACACAGAGCAGACTTGTAACACTCTTTTTGTGGAATTTGCAAGTGGAGATTTCAGCCGCTTTGAAGTCAAAGGTAGAAAAGGAAATAACTTCCTATAAAAACTAGACAGAATGATTCTCAGAAACTCCTTTGTGATGTGTGCGTTCAACTCACAGAGTTTAACCTTTCTTTTCATAGAGCAGTTAGGAAACACTCTGTTTGTAAAGTCTGCAAGTGGATATTCAGACCTCCTTGAGGCTTTCGTTGGAAACGGGATTTCTTCATATTATGCTAGAAAGAAGAATTCTCAGTAACTTCCTTGTGTTGTGCGTATTCAACTGACAGAGTTGAACTTTCATTTAGAGAGAGCAGATTTGAAACACTCTTTTTGTGGAATTTGCAAGTGGAGATTTCAAGCGCTTTGGGGCCAAAGGCAGAAAAGGAAATATCTTCGTATAAAAACTAGACAGAATCATTCTCAGAAACTGCTGCGTGATGTGTGCGTTCAACTCTCAGAGTTTAACCTTTCTTTTCATTCAGCGGTTTGGAAACACTCTGTTTCTAAAGTCTGCACGTGGATATTTTGACCACTTAGAGGCCTTCGTTGGAAACGGGTTTTTTTCATGTAAGGCTAGACAGAAGAATTCCCAGTAACTTCCTTGTGTTGTGTGCATTCAACTCACAGAGTTGAACGTTCCCTTAGACAGAGCAGATTTGAAACACTCTATTTGTGCAATTTGCAAGTGTAGATTTCAAGCGCTTTAAGGTCAACGGCAGAAAAGGAAATATCTTCGTTTCAAAACTAGACAGAATGATTCTCAGAAACTCCTTTGTGATGTGTGCCTTCAAGTCACAGAGTTTAACCTTTCTTTTCATACAGCAGTTAGGAAACACTCTGTTTGTAAAGTCTGCAAGTGGATTTTCAGACCTCTTTGTGGCCTTCGTTGGAAACGGGATTTCTTCATATTCTGCTAGACAGAAGAATTCTCAGTAACTTCCTTGTGTTGTGTGTATTCAACTCACAGAGTTGAACGATCCCTTACACAGAGCAGACTTGAAACACTCTTGTTGTGGAATTTGCAAGTGGAGATTTCAGCCGCTTTGAGGTCAATGGTAGAAAAGGGAATATCTTCGTATAGAAACTAGACAGAATGATTCTCAGAAACTTCTTTGTGATGTGTGCGTTCAACTCACAGAGTTTAACCTTTCTTTTCATAGAGCAGTTAGGAAACACTCCGTTTGTAAACTCTGCAAGTGGATATTCAGACCTCTTTGAGGCCTTCATTGGAAACGGGATTTCTCCATACTATGCTAGACAGAAGAATTCTCAGTAACTTCCTTGTGTTGTGTGTATTCAGCTGACAGAGTTGAACTTTCATTTAGAGAGAGCAGATTTGAAACACTGTTTTTGTGTAATTTGCAATTGGAGATTTCAAGTGCTTTGGGGCCAAACGCAGAAAAGGAAATATCTTCGTATAAAAACTAGACAGAATCATTCTCAGAAACTGCTCTGCGATGTGTGCGTTCAACTCTCAGAGTTTAACTTTTCTTTTCATTCAGCAGTTTGGAAACACTCTGTTTTTAAAGTCTGCACGTGGATAATTTGACCACTTAGAGGCCTTCGTTGGAAACGGGTTTTTTTCATGTAAGGCTAGACAGAAGAATTCCCAGTAACTTCCTTGGGTTGTGTACATTCAACTCACAGAGTTGAACGTTTCCTTAGACAGAGCAGATTTGAAACACTCTTTTTGTGCAATTGGCAAGTGGTGATTTCAGCCGCTTTGAGGTCAATGGTAGAAAAGGAAATATCTTCGTATAAAAACTAGACAGAATGATTCTCAGAAACTCCTTTGTGATGTGTGCGTTCAACTCACAGAGTTTAACTTTTCTTTTCATAGAGCAGTTAGGAAACACTCTGTTTGTAAAGTCTGCAAGTGGATATTCAGACCTCCTTGAGGCCTTCGTTGGAAATGGGATTTCTTCATATTCTGCTAGACAGAAGAATTCTCACTAACTTCCTTGTGTTGTGTGTATTCAACTCACAGAGTAGAACGATCCTTTACACAGAGCAGACTTGAAACACTCTTTTTGTGGAATTTGCAAGTGGAGATTTCAGCCGCTTTGAGGTCAATGGTAGAAAAGGAAATATCTTCGTATAAAGACTAGACAGAATGATTCTCAGAAACTCCTTTGTGATGTGTGCGTTCAACTCACAGAGATTAACTTTTCTTTTCATAGAGCAGTTAGGAAACACTCTGTTTGTAAAGTCTGCAAGTGGATATTCAGACCTCTTTGTGGCCTTCGTTGGAAACGGGATTTCTTCATATTATGCTAGACAGAAGAATTCTCAGTAACTTCCTTGTGTTGTGTGTATTCAACTGACAGAGTTGAACTTTCATTTAGAGAGAGCAGATTTGAAACACTGTTTTTGTGGAATTTGCAAGTGGAGATTTCAAGCGCTTTGGGGTCAAAGGCAGAAAAGGAAATATCTTCGTATAAAAACTAGACAGAATCATTCTCAGAAACTGCTCTGCGATGTGTGCGTTCAACTCTCAGAGTTTAACTTTTCTTTTCATTCAGCAGTTTGGAAACACTCTGTTTGTAAAGTCTGCACGTGGATAATTTGACCACATAGAGGCCTTCGTTGGAAACGGGTTTTTTTCATGTAAGGCTAAACAGAAGCATTCCCAGTAACTTCCTTGTGTTGTGTGCATTCAACTCACAGAGATGAACGTTCCCTTAGACAGAGCAGATTTGAAACGCTCTATTTGTGCAATTTGCAAGTGTAGATTTCAAGCGCTTTAAGGTCAATGGCAGAAAAGGTAATATCTTCGTTTCAAAACTAGACAGAATGATTCTCAGAAACTTCTTTGTGATGTGTGCGTTCAACTCACAGAGTTTAACCTTTCTTTTCATAGAGCAGTTAGGAAACACTCTGTTTGTAAACTCTGCAAGTGGATATTCAGACCTCTTTGAGGCCTTCGTTGGAAACGGGATTTCTCCATACTTTGCTAGACAGAAGAATTCTCAGTAACTTCCTTGTGTTGTGTGTATTCAACTCACAGAGTTGAACGATCCTTTACACAGAGCGGACTTGAAACACTCGTTTTGTGGAATTTGCAAGTGGAGATTTCAGCCGCTTTGAGGTCAATGGTAGAAAAGGAAATATCTTCGTATAAAAACTAGACAGAATGATTCTCAGAAACTCCTTTGTGATGTGTGCTGTTCAACTCACAGAGTTTAACCTTTCTGTTCATAGAGCAGTTAGGAAACACTCTGTTTGTAAAGTCTGCAAGTGGATATTCAGACCTCCTTGAGGCCTTCGTTGGAAACGGGATTTCTTCATATTCTGCTAGACAGAAGAATTCCCAGTAACTTCCTTGTGTTGTGTGTGTTCAACTCACAGAGTTGAACTTTCATTTACACAGAGCAGATTTGAAACACTCTTTTTGTGGCATTTGCAAGTGGAGATTTCAAGGGCTTTGAGGCCAAAGGCAGAAAAGGAAATATCTTCGTTTCAAAACTAGACAGAATCATTCTCAGAAACTCCTTTGTGATGTGTGCGTTCAACTCACAGAGTTTAACCTTTCTTTTCATAGAGCAGTTAGGAAACACTCTGTTTGTAAAGTCTGCAAGTGGATATTCAGACCTCCTTGAGGCCTTCGTTGGAAACGGGATTTCTTCATATTCTGCTAGACAGAAGAATTCCCAGGAACTTCCTTGTGTTGTGTACATTCAACTCACAGAGTTGAACGTTCCCTTAGACAGAGCAGATTTGAAACACTCTTTTTGTGCAATTGGCAAGTGGTGATTTCAGCCGCTTTGAGGTCAATGGTAGAAAAGGGAATATCTTCGTATAAAAACTAGACAGAATCAATCCCACAAACTGCGTTGTGATGTGTTCGTTCAACTCACAGAGTTTAACCTTTTTGTTCATAGAGCAGTTAGGAAACACTCTGTTTGTAAAGTCTGTAAGTGGATATTCTGACATTTTGTGGCCTTGGTTGGAAATGGGATTTCTTCATATTCTCCTAGACAGAAGAATTCTCAGTAACTTCCTTGTGTTGTGTGTATTCAACTCACAGAGTTGAAAGATCCTTTACACAGAGCAGACTTGAAACACTCTTTTTGTGGAATTTGAAAGTGGAGATTTCAGCCGCTTTGAGGTCAATGGTAGAAAAGGAAATATCTTCGTATAGAAACTAGACAGAATGATTCTCAGAAACTCCTTTGTGATGTGTGCGTTCAACTCACAGAGTTTAACTTTTCTTTTCATAGAGCAGTTAGGAAACACTCTGTTTGTAAAGTCTGCAAGTGGATATTGAGACCTCTTTGAGGCCTTCGTTGGAAACGGGATTTCTTCATATTCTGCTAGACAGAAGAATTCCCAGTAACTTCCTTGTGTTGTGTGTGTTCAACTCACAGAGTTGAACTTTCATTTACACAGAGCAGATTTGAAACACTCTTTTTGTGGAATTTGCAAGTGGAGATTTCAAGGGCTTTGAGGCCAAAGGCAGAAAAGGAAATATCTTCGTTTCAAAACTAGACAGAATCATTCTCAGAAACTGCTCTGTGATGTGTGCGTACAACTCTCAGAGTTTAACTTTTCTTTTCATTCAGCAGTTTGGAAACACTCTGCAAAGTCTGCACGTAGATATTTTGACCACTTAGAGGCCTTCGTTGGAAACGGGTTTTTTTCATGTAAGGCTAGACAGAAGAATTCCCAGTAACTTCCTTGTGTTGTGTGCATTCAACTCACAGAGATGAACGTTCCCTTAGACAGAGCAGATTTGAAACACTCTATTTGTGTAATTTGCAAGTGTAGATTTCAAGCGCTTTAAGGTCAATGGCAGAAAAGGAAATATCTCCGTTTCAAAACTAGACAGAATGATTCTCAGAAACTCCTTTGTGATGTGTGTGTTCAACTCACAGAGTTTAACATTTCTTTTCATAGAGCAGTTAGGAAACGCTCTGTTTGTAAAGTCTGCAAGTGGATATTCAGACCTCGTTGAGACCTTCGTTGGAAACGGGATTTCTTCATATTCTGCTAGACAGAAGAATTCTCAGTAACTTCCTTGTGTTGTGTTTATTCAACTCACAGAGTTGAACGATCCTTTACACAGAGCAGACTTGAAACACTCTTTTTGTGGAATTTGCAAGTGGAGATTTCAGCCGCTTTGTGGTCAATGGTAGAAAAGGAAATATCTTCGTATAAAGACTAGACAGAATGATTCTCAAAACTCCTTTGTGATGTGTGCGTTCAACTCACAGAGTTTAACCTTTCTTTTCATAGAGCAGTTAGGAAACACTCTGTTTGTAAAGTCTGCAAGTGGATATTCAGACCTCTTTGAGGCCTTCGTTGGAAACGGGATTTCTTCATATTCTGCTAGACAGAAGAATTCCCAGTAACTTCCTTGTGTTGTGTGTGTTCAACTCACAGAGTTGAACTTTCATATACACAGAGCAGATTTGAAACACTCTTTTTGTGGAATTTGCAAGTGGAGATTTCAAGCGCTTTGAGGCCAAAGGCAGAAAAGGAAATATCTTCGTATAAAAACTAGACAGAATCATTCTCAGAAACTGCTCTGCGATGTGTGCGTTCAACTCTCAGAGTTTAACTTTTCTTTTCATTCAGCAGTTTGAAAACACTCTGTTTGTAAAGTCTGCACGTGGATATTTTGACCACTTAGAGGCCTTCGTTGGAAACGGGTTTTTTTGCCTGTAAGGCTAGACAGAAGAATTCCCAGTAACTTCCTTGTGTTGTGTGCATTCAACTCACAGAGTTGAACGTTCCCTTAGACAGAGCAGATTTGAAACACTCTATTTGTGCAATTTGCAAGTGTAGATTTCAAGCGCTTTAAGGTCAACGGCAGAAAAGGAAATATCTTCGTTTCAAAACTAGACAGAATGATTCTCAGAAACTCCTTTGTGATGTGTGCGTTCAACTCACAGAGTTTAACCTTTCTGTTCATAGAGCAGTTAGGAAACACTCTGTTTGTAAAGTCTGTAAGTGGATATTCTGACATCTTGTGGCCTTCGTTGGAAACGGGATTTCTTCATATTCTGCTAGACAGAAGAATTCTCAGAATCTTCCTTCTGTTGTGTGTATTCAACTCAGAGAGTTGAATGATCCTTTACACAGAGCACACTTGAAACACTCTTTTTGTGGAATTTGCAAGTGGAGATTTCAGCCGCTTTGAGGTCCATGGTAGAAAAGGAAATATCTTCGTATAAAAACTAGACAGAATGATTCTGAGAAACTCCTTTGTGATGTGTGCGTTCAACTCACAGAGTTTAACCTTTCTTTTCATAGAGCAGTTTGGAAACACTCCGTTTGTAAACTCTGCAAGTGGATATTCAGACCTCCTTGAGGCCTTCCTTGGAAACGGGATTTCTTCATATTATGCTAGACAGAAGAATTCCCAGTAACTTCCTTGTGTTGTGTGTGTTGAACTCACAGAGTTGAACTTTCATTTAGACAGAGCAGATTTGAAACACTCTTTTTGTGGAATTTGCAAATGGAGAATTCATGCACTTTGAGGCCAAAGGCAGAAAAGGAAATATCTTCGTATAAAAACTAGACAGAATCATTCTCAGAAACTGCTCTGCGATGTGTGCGTACAAATCTCAGAGTTTAACTTTTCTTTTCATTCAGCAGTTTGGAAACACTCTGTTTGTAAAGTCTGCACGTGGATAATTTGACAACTTAGAGACCTTCGTTGGAAACGGGTTTTTTTCATGTAAGGCTAGACAGAAGAATTCCCAGTAACTTCCTTGTGTTGTGTACATTCAACTCACAGAGTTGAACGTTCCCTTAGACAGAGCAGATTTGAAACACTCTTTTTGTGCAATTGGCAAGTGGAGATTTCAAGCGCTTTGAGGTCAATGACAGAAAAGGAAATATCTTCGTTTCAAAACTAGACAGAAATCATTCCCACAAACTGCGTTGTGATGTGTTCGTTCATCTCACAGAGTTTAACCTTTCTTTTCATAGAGCAGTTAGGAAACAGTCTGTTTGAAAATTCTGTAAGTGGATATTCTGACATCTTGTGGCCTTCGTTGGAAACGGGATTTCTTCATATTCTGCTAGACAGAGCAATTCTCAGTAAACTTCCTTGTGTTGTGTGTTTTCAACTCACAGAGTTCAACGATCCTTTACACAGAGCAGACTTGAAACACTCTTTTTGTGGAATTTGCAAGTGGAGATTTCAGCCGCTTTGAGGTCAATGGTAGAATAGGAAATATCTTCCTATAGAAACTAGACAGAATGATTCTCAGAAACTCCTTTGTGATGTGTGCGTTCAACTCACAGAGTTTAACCTTTCTTTTCATAGAGCAGTTAGGAAACACTCTGATTGTAAAGTCTGCAAGTGGATATTCAGAACTCCTTGAGGCCTTCGTTGGAAACGGAGATTTCTTCATATTATGCTAGACAGAAGAATTCTCAGTAACTTCCTTGTGTTGTGTGTATTCAACTCACAGAGTTGAACGATCCTTTACAGAGAGCAGACTTGAAACACTCTTTTTGTGGAATTTGCAAGTGGAGACTTCAGCCGCTTTGAGGTCAATGGTAGAAAAGGAAACTATCTACGTATAAAGACTAGACAGAATCATTCTCAGAAACTGCTCTGCGATGTGTGTGTTCAACTCACAGAGTTTCACCTTTCTTTTCATAGAGCAGATAGGAAACACTCTGTTTGTAAAGTCTGCAAGTCGATATTCAGACCTCTTTGAGGCCTTCGTTGGAAACGGGTTTTTTTCATATAAGGCTAGACAGAAGAATTCCCAGTAACTTCCTTGTGTTGTGTGCATTCAACTCACAGAGTTGAACGTTCCCTTAGACAGAGCAGATTTGAAACACTCTATTTGTGCAATTTGCAAGTGTAGATTTCAAGCGCTTTAAGGTCAATGGCAGAAAAGGAAATTTCTTCGTTTTAAAACTAGACAGAATCATTCCCAGAAACTGCGTTGTGATGTGTTCGTTCAACTCACAGAGTTTAACCTTTCTGTTCATAGAGCAGTTAGGAAACACTCTGTTTGTAAAGTCTGTAAGTGGATATTCTGACGTCTTGTGGCCTTCGTTGGAAACGGGATTTCTTCATATTCTGCTAGACAGAAGAATTCTCAGAAACTTCGTTGTGTTGTGTGTTTTCAACTCACAGAGTTGAACGATCCTTTACACAGAGCAGACTTGAAACACTCTTTTTGTGGAATTTGCAAGTGGAGATTTCAGCCGCTTTGAGGTCAATGGTAGAAAAGGAAATATCTTCGTATAAAAACTAGACAGAATGATTCTCAGAAACTTCATTGTGATGTGTGCGTTCAACTCACAGAGTTTAACCTTTCTTTTCATAGAGCAGTTAGGAAACACTCTGTTTGTAAACTCTGCAAGTGGATATTCAGACCTCTTTGAGGCCTTCGTTGGAAACGGGATTTCTCCATACTGTGCTAGACAGAAGAATTCTCAGTAACTTCCTTGTGTTGTGTGTATTCAACTGACAGAGTTGAACTTTCATTTCGAGAGAGAGCAGATTTGAAACACTGTTTTTGTGGAATTTGCAAGTGGAGATTTCAAGCGCTTTGGGGCCAAAGGCAGAAAAGGAAATATCTTCGTATAAAAACTAGACAGAATCATTCTCAGGAACTACTGCGTGATGTGTGGGTTCAACTCTCAGAGTTTAACTTTTCTTTTCATTCAGCGGTTTGGAAACACTCTGTTTGTAAAGTCTGCACGTGGAAATTTTGACCACTTAGAGGCCTTCGTTGGAAACGGGTTTTTTTCATGTAAGGCTAGACAGAAGAATTCCCAGTAACTTCCTTGTGTTGTGTGCATTCAACTCACAGAGTTGAACGTTCCCTTAGACAGAGCAGATTTGAAACACTCTATTTGTGCAATTTGCAAGTGTAGTTTTCAAGCTCTTTAAGGTCAACGGCAGAAAAGGAAATATCTTCGTTTCAAAACTAGACAGAATGATTCTCATAAACTCCTTTGTGATGTGTGCATTCAACTCACAGAGTTTCACCTTTCTTTTCATAGAGCAGTTAGGAAACACTCTGTTTGTAAAGTCTGCAAGTGGATATTCAGACCTCCTTGAGGCCTTCGTTGGTAACGGGATTTCTTCATATTCTGCTAGACAGAAGAATTCTCAGTAACTTCCTTGTGTTGTCTGTATTCAACTCACAGAGTTGAACGATCCTTTACACAGAGCAGACTTGAAACACTCTTTTTGTGGAATTTGCAAGTGGAGATTTCAGCCGCTTTGAGGTCAATGGTAGAAAAGGAAACTATCTTCGTATAAAGACTAGACAGAATGATTCTCAGAAACTTCTTTGTGATGTGTGCGTTCAACTCACAGAGTTTAACCTTTCTTTTCATAGAGCAGTTAGGAAACACTCTGTTTGTAAACTATGCAAGTGGATATTCAGACCTCTTTGAGGCCTTCGTTGGAAACGGGATTTCTTCATACTATGCTAGACAGAAGAATTCCCAGTAACTTCCTTGTGTTGTGTGTGTTCAACTCACAGAGGTGAACGGTCCTTTACACAGAGCAGATTTGAGACACTCTTTTTGTGGAATTTGCTAATGGAGATTTCAAGCGCTTTGAGGCCAAAGGCAGAAAAGGAAATATCTTCGTATAAAAACTAGACAGAATCATTCTCAGAAACTGCTGCGTGATGTGGGCGTTCAACTCTCAGAGTTTAACTTTTCTTTTCATTCAGCGGTTTGGAAACACTCTGTTTGTAAAGTCTGCACGTGGATATTTTGACCACTTAGAGGCCTTCGTTGGAAACGGGTTTTTTTCATGTAAGGCTAGACAGAAGAATTCCCAGTAACTTCCTTGTGTTGTGTGCATTCAACTCACAGAGTTGAACGTTCCCTTAGACAGAGCAGATTTGAAACACTCTATTTGTGCAATTTGCAAGTGTAGATTTCAAGCGCTTTAAGGTCAACGGCAGAAAAGGAAATATCTTCGTTTCAAAACTAGACAGAATCATTCCTACAAACTGCGTTGTGATGTGTTCGTTCAACTCACAGAGTTTAACCTTTCTGTTCATAGAGCAGTTAGGAAACACTCTGTTTGTAAAGTCTGCAAGTGGATATTCAGACCTCCTTGAGGCCTTCGTTGGAAACGGGATTTCTTCATATTCTGCTAGACAGAAGAATTCTCAGTAACTTCCTTGTGTTGTGTGTATTCAACTCACAGAGTTGAACGATCCTTTACACAGAACAGACTTGAAACACTCTTTTTGTGGAATTTGCAAGCGCAGATTTCAGCCGCTTTGAGGTCAATGGTAGAACAGGAAATATCTTCCTATAGAAACTAGACAGAATGATTCTCATAAACTCCTTTGTGATGTGTGCATTCAACTCACAGAGTTTCACCTTTCTTTTCATAGAGCAGTTAGGAAACACTCTGTTTGTAAAGTCTGCAAGTGGATATTCAGACCTCCTTGAGGCCTTCGTTGGAAACGGGATTTCTTCATATTCTGCTAGACAGAAGAATTCTCAGTAACTTCCTTGTGTTGTGTGTATTCAACTCACAGAGTTGAACGATCCTTTACAAAGAGCAGACTTGAAAAACTCTTTTTGTGGAATTTGCAAGTGGAGATTTCAGCCGCTTTGAGGTCAATGGTAGAAAAGGAAACTATCTTCGTATAAAGACTAGACAGAATCATTCTCAGAAACTGCTCTGCGATGTGTTCGTTCAACTCTCAGAGTTTAACTTTTCTTTTCATTCAGCAGTTTGGAAACACTCTGTTTGTAAAGTCTGCACGTGGATATTTTGACCACTTAGAGGCCTTCGTTGGAAACGGGTTTTTTTCCTGTAAGGCTAGACAGAAGAATTCCCAGCAACTTCCTTGTGTTGTGTGCATTCAACTCACAGAGTTGAACGTTCCCTTAGACAGAGCAGATTTGAAACACTCTATTTGTGCAATTTGCAAGTGTAGATTTCAAGCGCTTTAAGGTCAATGGCAGAAAAGGAAATATCGTCGTTTCAAAACTAGACAGATAATCATTCCCACAAACTGCGTTGTGATGTGTTCGTTCAACTCACAGGGTTTAACCTTTCTGTTCATAGAGCAGTTAGGAAACACTCTGTTTGTAAAGTCTGTAAGTGGATATTCTGACATCTTGTGGCCTTCGTTGGAAACGGGATTTCTTCATATTCTGCTAGACAGAAGAATTCTCAGTAACTTCCTTGTGTTGTGTGTATTCAACTCACCAGAGTTGAATGATCCTTTACACAGAACAGTCTTGAAACACTCTTTTTGTGGAATTTGCAAGTGGAGATTTCAGCCGCTTTGAGGTCAATGGTAGAATAGGAAATATCTTCCTATAGAAACTAGACAGAATGATTCTCAGAAACTCCTTTGTGATGTGTGCGTTCAACTCACAGAGTTTAACCTTTCTTTTCATAGCGCAGTTGGGAAACACTCTGTTTGTAAAGTCTGCAAGTGGATATTCAGACATCCTTGAGGCTTTCGTTGGAAACGGGATTTCTTCATATTCTGCTATAAAGAAGAATTCTCAGTAACTTCCTTGTGTTTTGTGTATTCAACTGACAGAGTTGAACTTTCATTTAGAGAGAGCAGATTTGAAACACTGTTTTTGTGGAATTTGCAAGTGGAGATTTCAAGCGCTTTGGGACCAAAGGCAGAAAAGGAAATATCTTCGTATAAAAACTAGACAGAATCATTCTCAGAAACTGCTGCGTGATGTGTGCGTTCAACTCTCAGAGTTTAACTTTTCTTTTCATTCAGCGGTTTGGAAACACTCTGTTTGTAAAGTCTGCACGTGGATATTTTGACCACTTAGAGGCCTTCGTTGGAAACGGGTTTTTTTCATGTAAGGCTAGACAGAAGAATTCCCAGTAACTTCCTTGTGTTGTGTGCATTCAACTCACAGAGTTGAACGTTCCCTTAGACAGAGCAGATTTGAAACACTCTATTTGTGCAATTTGCAAGTGTAGATTTCAAGCGCATTAAGGTCAATGGCAGAAAAGGAAATATCTTCGTTTCAAAATTAGACAGAATGATTCTGAGAAACTCCTTTGTGATGTGTGCGTTCAACTCACAGAGTTCAACCTTTCTTTTCATAGAGCAGTTGGGAAACACTCTGTTTGTAAAGTGTGCAAGTGGATATTCAGACCTCCTTGAGGCCTTCGTTGGAAACGGGATTTCTTCATATTATGCTAGACAGAAGAATTCTCAGTAACTTCCTTGTGTTGTGTGAATTCAACTCACAAAGTTGAACGATCCTTTACACAGAGCAGACTTGAAACACTCTTTTTGTGGAATTTGCAGGTGTAGATTTCAGCCGCTTTTTATTCAATGGTAGAATAGGAAATATCTTCCTATAGAAACTAGACAGAATGATTCTCAGAAACTCCTTTGTGATGTGTGCGTTCAACTCACAGAGTTTAACCTTTCTTTTCATAGAGCAGTTAGGAAACACTCTGTTTGTAAAGTCTGCAAGAGGATATTCAGACCTCTTTGAGGCCTTCGTTGGAAACGGGTTTTTTTCATATAAGGCTAGACAGAAGAATTCCCAGTAACTTCCTTGTGTTGTGTGTGTTCAACTCACAGAGTTGAACTTTCATTTACACAGAGCAGATTTGAAACACTCTTTTTGTGGAATTTGCAAGCGGAGATTTCAAGCGCTTTGAGGCCAAAGGCAGAAAAGGAAATATCTCCGTTTCAAAACTAGACAGAATCATTCTCAGAAACTGCTCTGCGATGTGTGCATTCAACTCTCAGAGTTTAATTTTTCTTTTCATTCAGCAGTTTGGAAACATTCTCTTTGTAAAGTCTGCACGTGGATATTTTGACCACTTAGAGGCCTTCGTTGGAAACGGGTTTTATTCTTGTAAGGCTAGACAGAAGAATTCCCAGTAACTTCCTTGTGTTGTGTACATTCAACTCACAGAGTTGAACGTTCCCTTAGACAGAGCAGATTTGAAACACTCTTTTTGTGCAATTGGCAAATGGAGATTTCAAGCGCTTTAAGGTCAATGGCAGAAAAGGAAATATCTTCGTTTCAAAACTAGACAGAATGATTCTCAGAAACTCCTTTGAGATGTGTGTGTTCAACTCACAGAGTTTAACCTTTCTTTTCATAGAGCAGTTAGGAAACACTCTGTTTGTAAACTCTGCAAGTGGATATTCAGACCTCTTTGAGGCCTTCGTTGGAAACCGGATTTCTTCATACTGTGCTAGACAGAAGAATTCTCAGAATCTTCCTTGTGTTGTGTGTATTCAACTCACAGAGTTGAACGATCCTTTACACAGAGCAGACTTGAAACACTCTTTTTGTGGAATTTGCAAGTGGAGATTTCAGCCGCTTTGAGGTCCACGGTAGAAAAGGAAATATCTTCGTATAACAACTAGACAGAATGATTCTCAGAAACTTCTTTGTGATGTGTGCGTTCAACTCACAGAGTTTAACCTTTCTTTTCATAGAGCAGTTACGAAACACTCTGTTTGTAAACTCTGCAAGTGGATATTCAGACCTCTTTGAGGCCTTCGTTGGAAACGGGATTTCTTCATACTATGCTAGACAGAAGAATTCTCAGTAACTTCCTTGTGTTGTGTGTATTCAACTGACAGAGTTGAACTTTCATTTAGAGAGAGCAGACTTGAAACACTGTTTTTGTGGAATTTGCAAGTGGAGATTTCAAGCGCTTTGGGGCCAAAGGCAGAAAAGGAAATATCTTCGTATAAAAACTAGACAGAATCATTCTCAGAAACTGCTCTGCGATGTGTGCGTTCAACTCTCAGAGTTTAACTTTTCTTTTCATTCAGAAGTTTGGAAACACTCTGTTTGTAAAGTCTGCACGTGGATAACTTGACCACTTAGAGGCCTTCGTTGGAAACGGGTTTTTTTCATGTAAGGCTAGACAGAAGAATTCTCAGTAACTTCCTTGTGTTGTGTGTATTCAACTCACATAGTTGAACGATCCTTTACACAGAACAGACTTGTAACACTCTTTTTGTGGAATTTGCAAGTGGAGATTTCAGCCACTTTGAAGTCAAAGGTAGAAAAGGAAATAACTTCCTATAAAAACTAGACAGAATGATTCTCAGTAAACTCCTTTGTGATGTGTGCGTTCAACACACAGAGTTTAACTTTTCTTTTCATAGAGCAGTTAGGAAACACTCTGTTTGTAAAGTCTGCAAGTGGATATTCAGACCTCTTTGAGGCCTTCGTTGGAAACGGGATTTCTTCATATTCTGCTAGACAGAATAATTCTCAGTAACTTCCTTTTGTTGTGTGTATTCAACTCACAGAGTTGAACGATCCTTTACAGAGAGCAGACTTGAAACACTCTTTTTGTGGAATTTGCAAGTGGAGATTTCAGCCGCTTTGAGGTCAATGGTAGAATAGGAAATATCTTCCTATAGAAACTAGACAGAATGATTCTCAGAAACTCCTTTGTGATGTGTGCGTTCAACTCACAGAGTTTAACCTTTCTTTTCATAGAGCAGTTGGGAAACACTCTGTTTGTAAAGTCTGCAAGTGGATATTCAGACATCCTTGAGGCTTTCGTTGGAAAAGGGATTTCTTCATATTCTGCTAGAAAGAAGAATTCTCAGTAACTTCCTTGTGTTGTCTGTATTCAACTCACAGAGTTGAACGATCCTTTACACAGAGCAGACTTGAAACACTCTTTTTGTGGAATTTGCAAGTGGAGATTTCAGCCGCTTTGAGGTCAATGGTAGAATAGGAAATATCTTGCTATAGAAACTATACAGAATCATTCTCAGAAACTGCTGCGTGATGTGTGCGTTCAACTCTCAGAGTTTAACTTTTCTTTTCATTCAGCGGTTTGGAAACACTCTGTTTGTAAAGTCTGCACGTGGAAATTTTGACCACTTAGAGGCCTTCGTTGGAAACGGGTTTTTTTCATGTAAGGCTAGACAGAAGAATTCCCAGTAACTTCCTTGTGTTGTGTGCATTCAACTCACAGAGTTGAACGTTCCCTTAGACAGAGCAGATTTGAAACACTCTATTTGTGCAATTTGCAAGTGTAGATTTCAAGCGCTTTAAGGTCAATGGCAGAAAAGGAAATATCTTCGTTTCAAAACTAGACAGAATCATTCCCACAAACTGCGTTGTGATGTGTTCGTTCAACTCATAGAGTTTAACCTTTCTGTTCATAGAGCAGTTAGGAAACACTCTGTTTGTAAAGTCTGTAAGTGGATATTCTGACATCTTGTGGCCTTCGTTGGAAACGGGATTTCTTCATATTCTGCTAGACAGAAGAATTCTCAGTAACTTCCTTGTGTTGTGTGTATTCAACTCACAGAGTTCAACGATCCTTTACACAGAGCAGACTCGAAACACTCTTTTTGTGGAATTTGCAATTGGAGATTTCAGCCGCTTTGAGGTCAATGGTAGAAAAGGAAATATCTTCGTATAAAAACTAGACAGAATGATTCTCAGAAACTCCTTTGTGATGTGTGCGTTCAACTCACAGAGTTTAACCTTTCTTTTCATAGAGCAGTTAGGAAACACTCTGTTTGTAAAGTCTGCACGTGGATATTTGGACTTCTTTGAGGCCTTCGTTGGCAACGGGGTTTTTTCATGTAAGGCTAGACAGAAGAATTCTCAGTAACTTCCTTGTGTTGTGTGTATTCAACTGACAGAGCTGAACTTTCATTTAGAGAGAGCACATTTGAAACACTGTTTTTGTGGAATTTGCAAGTGGAGATTTCAAGCGCTTTGGGGCCAAAGGCAGAAAAGGAAATATCTTCGTATAAAAACTAGACAGAATCATTCTCAGAAACTGCTCTGCGATGTGTGCATTCAACTCTCAGAGTTTAATTTTTCTTTTCATTCAGCAGTTTGGAAACACTCTCTTTGTAAAGTCTGCACGTGGATATTTTGACCACTTAGAGGCCTTCGTTGGAAACGGGTTTTATTCCTGTAAGGCTAGACAGAAGAATTCCCAGTAACTTCCTTGTGTTGTGTACATTCAACTCACAGAGTTGAACGTTCCCTTAGACAGAGCAGATTTGAAACACTCTTTTTGTGCAATTGGCAAATGGAGATTTCAAGCGCTTTAAGGTCAATGGCAGAAAAGGAAATATCTTCGTTTCAAAACTAGACAGAATCATTCCCACAAACTGCGTTGTGATGTGTTCGTTCAACTCACAGAGTTTAACCTTTCTTTTCATAGAGCAGTTAGGAAACAGTCTGTTTGTCAATTCTGTAAGTGGATATTCTGACATCTTGTGGCCTTCGTTGGAAACGGGATTTCTTCACATTCTGCTAGACAGAAGAATTATCAGTAACTTCCTTGTGTTGTGTGTATTCAACTCACAGAGTTGAACGATCCTTTACACAGAGCAGACTTGAAACACTCTTTTTGTGGAATTTGCAAGTGGAGATTTCAGCCGCTTTGAGGTCAATAGTAGAAAAGGAAATATCTTCGTAGAAAAACTAGACAGAATGATTCTCAGAAACTCCTTTGTGATGTGTGCGTTCAACTCACAGAGTTTAACCTTTCTTTTCATAGAGTAGTTAGGAAACACTCTGTTTGTAAAGTCTGCAAGTGGATATTCAGACATCCTTGAGGCTTTCGTTGGAAACGGGATTTCTTCATATTCTGCTAGAAAGAATAATTCTCAGTAACTTCCTTGTGTTGTGTGTATTCAACTCACAGAGTTGAATGATCCTTTACACAGAGCAGACTTGAAACACTCTTTTTGTGGAATTTGCTTGTGGAGATTTCAGCCGCTTTGAGGTCAATGGTAGAATAGGAAATATCTTCTTATAGAAACTAGACAGAATCATTCTCAGAAACTGCTCTGCGATGTGTGCGTTCAACTCTCAGAGTTTAACTTTTCTTTTCATTCAGCAGTTTGGAAACACTCTGTTTGTAAAGTCTGCACGTGGATAACTTGACCACTTAGAGGCCTTCGTTGGAAACGGGTTTTTTTCATGTAAGGCTAGACAGAAGAATTCCCAGTAACTTCCTTGTGTTGTGTGCATTCAACTCACAGAGTTGAACGTTCCCTTAGACAGAGCAGATTTGAAACACTCTATTTGTGCAATTTGCAAGTGTAGATTTCAAGCGCTTTAAGGTCAATGGCAGAAAAGGAAATGTCTTCGTTTCAAAACTAGACAGAATCATTCCCACAAACTGCGTTGTGATGTGTTCGTTCAACTCACAGAGTTTAACCTTTCTGTTCATAGAGCAGTTAGGAAACACTCTGTTTGTAAAGTCTGTAAGTGGATATTCTGACATCTTGTGGCCTTGGTTGGAAACGGGATTTCTTCATATTCTGCTAGACAGAAGAATTCTCAGTAACTTCCTTGTGTTGTGTGTATTCAACTCACAGAGTTGAACGATGGTTTACACAGAGCAGATTTGAAACACTCTTTTTGTGGAATTTGCAAGTGGAGATTTCAGCCTCTTTGAGGTCAATGGTAGAAAAGGAAATATCTTCGTATAAAAACTAGACAGAATGATTCTCAGAAACTCCTTTGTGATGTGTGCGTTCAAATCACAGAGTTTAACTTTTCTTTTCATAGAGCAGTTAGGAAACACTCTGTTTGTAAAGTCTGCAAGTGGATATTCAGACCTCTTTGAGGCCTTCGTTGGAAACGGGATTTTTTCATATTATGCTAGACAGAAGAATTCTCAGTAACTGCCTTGTGTTGTGTTTATTCAACTCACAGAGTTGAACGATCCTTTACACAGAGCAGACTTGAAATACTCTTTTTGTGGAATTTGCAAGTGGAGATTTCAGCCGCTTTGAGGTCAATGGTAGAATAGGAAATATCTTCCTATAGAAACTAGACAGAATGATTCTCAGAAACTCATTTGTGATGTGTGCGTTCAACTCACGGAGTTTAACCTTTCTTTTCATAGAGCAGTTAGGAAACACTCTGTTTGTAAAGTCTGCAAGTGGATATTCAGACCTCTTTGAGGTCTTCGTTGGAAACGGGATTTCTTCATATTCTGCTAGACAGAAGAATTCCCAGTAACTTCCCTTGTGTTGTGTACATTCAACTCACAGAGTTGAACGTTCCCTTAGACAGAGCAGATTTGAAACACTCTTTTTGGGCAATTGGCAAGTGGAGATTACAAGCGCTTTAAGGTCAATGGCAGAAAAGGAAATATCTTCGTTTCAAAACTAGACAGAATCATTCCCACAAACTGCGTTGTGATGTGTTCGTTCAACTCACAGAGTTTAACCTTTCGGTTCATAGAGCAGTTAGGAAACACTCTGTTTGTAAAGTCTGTAAGTGGATATTCTGACATCTTGTGGCCTTCGTTGGAAACGGGATTTCTTCATATTCTGCTAGACAGAAGAATTCTCAGTAACTTCCTTGTGTTGTGTGTATTCAACTCACAGAGTTGAACGATCCTTTACACAGAGCAGACTTGAAACACTCTTTTTGTGGAATTTGCAAGTGGAGATTTCAGCCGCTTTGAGGTCAATGGTAGAATAGGAAATATCTTCCAATAGAAACTAGACAGAATGATTCTCAGAAACTCCTTTGTGATGTGTGCGTTCAACTCACAGAGTTTAACCTTTCTTTTCATAGAGCAGTTAGGAAACACTCTGTTTGTAAAGTCTGCAAGTGGATATTCAGACCTCTTTGAGTCCTTCGTTGGAAACGGGATTTCTTCATATTCTGCTAGACAGAAGAATTCCCAGTAACTTCCTTGTGTTGTGTGTGTTCAACTCACAGAGTTGAACTTTCATTTACACAGAGCAGATTTGAAACACTCTTTTTGTGGAATTTGCAAGTGGAGATTTCAAGCGCTGTGAGGCCAAAGGCAGAAAAGGAAATATCTTCGTATAAAAACTAGACAGAATCATTCTCAGAAACTGCTCTGCGATGTGTGCGTTCAACTCTCAGAGTTTAACTTTTCTTTTCATTCAGCAGTTTGAAAACACTCTGTTTGTAAAGTCTGCACGTGGATAATTTGACCACTTAGAGGCCTTCGTTGGAAACGGGTTTTTTTCATGTAAGGCTAGACAGAAGAATTCCCAGTAACTTCCTTGTGTTGTGTACATTCAACTCACAGAGTTGAACGTTCCCTTAGACAGAGCAGATTTGAAATACTCTTTTTGTGCAATTGGCAAGTGGAGATTTCAAGCGCTTTAAGGTCAATGGCAGAAAAGGAAATATCTTCGTTTCAAAACTAGACAGAATCATTCCCACAAACTGCGTTGTGATGTGTTCGTTCAACTCACAGAGTTTAACCTTTCTTTTCATAGAGCAGTTAGGAAACAGTCTGTTTTTCAATTCTGTAAGTGGATATTCTGACATCTAGTGGCCTTCGTTGGAAACGGGATTTCTTCATACTGTGCTAGACAGAAGAATTCTCAGTAACTTCCTTGTGTTGTGTGTATTTAACTCACAGAGTTGAACGATCCTTTACACAGAGCAGACTTGAAACACTCTTTTGGTGGAATTTGCAAGTGGATATTTCAGCCGCTTTGAGGTCAATGGTAGAATAGGAAATATCTTCCTATAGAAACTAGACAGAATGATTCTCAGAAACTCCTTTCTGATGTGTGCATTCAACTCACAGAGTTTAACCTTTCTTTTCATAGAGCAGTTAGGAAACACTCTGTTTGTAAAGTCTGCAAGTGGATATTCAGACCTCTTTGAGGCCTTCGTTGGAAACGGGATTTCTTCATATTCTGCTAGAGAGAAGAATTCCCAGTAACTTCCTTGTGTTGTGTGTGTTCAACTCACAGAGTTTGAACTTTCATTTACACAGAGCAGATTTGAAACACTCTTTTTGTGGAATTTGCAAGTGGAGATTTCAAGCGCTTTGAGGCCAAAGGCAGAAAAGGAAATATCTTCGTTTGAAAACTAGACAGAATCATTCTCAGAAACTGCTCTGCGATGTGTGCCTTCAACTCTCAGAGTTTAACTTTTCTTTTCATTCAGCAGTTTGGAAACACTCTGTTTGTAAAGTCTGCACGTGGATATTTTGACCACTTAGAGGCCTTCGTTGGAAATGGGTTTTTTTCCTGTAAGGCTAGACAGAAGAATTCCCAGTAACTTCCTTGTGTTGTGTGCATTCAACTCACAGAGTTGAACGTTCCCTTAGACAGAGCAGATTTGAAACACTCTATTTGTGCAATTTGCAAGTGTAGATTTCAAGCGCTTTAAGGTCAATGGCAGAAAAGGAAATATCTTCGTTTCAAAACTAGACAGAATCATTCCCACAAACTGCGTTGAGATGTGTTCGTTCAACTCACAGAGTTTAACCTTTCCGTTCATAGAGCAGTTAGGAAACACACTGTTTGTAAAGTCTGTAAGTGGATATTCTGACATCTTGTGGCCTTCGTTGGAAACGGGATTTCTTCATATTCTGCTAGACAGAATAATTCTCAGTAACTTCCTTGTGTTGTGTGTATTCAACTCACAGAGTTGAACGATCCTTTACAGAGAGCAGACTTGAAACACTCTTTTTGTGGAATTTGCAAGTGGAGATTTCGGCCGCTTTGAGGTCAATGGTAGAATAGGAAATATCTTCCTATAGAAACTAGACATAATGATTCTCAGAAACTCCTTTGTGATGTGTGCGTTCAACTCACAGAGTTTAACCTTTCTTTTCCTAGAGCAGTTAGTAAACACTCTGTTTATAAAGTCTGCAAGTGGATATTCAGACCCCTTTGAGGCCTTCGTTGGAAACGGGATTTCTTCATATTATGCTAGACAGAAGAATTCTCAGTAACTTCCTTGTGTTGTGTGTATTCAACTGACAGAGTTGAACTTTCATTTAGAGAGAGCAGATTTGAAACACTGTTTTTGTGGAATTTGCAAGAGGAGATTTCAAGCGCTTTGGGGCTAAAGGCAGAAAAGGAAATATCTTCGTATAAAAACTAGACAGAATCATTCTCAGAAACTGCTGCGTGATGTGTGCGTTCAACTCTCAGAGTTTAACTTTTCTTTTCATTCAGCAGTTTGGAAACACTCTGTTTGTAAAGTCTGCACGTGGAAATTTTGACCACTTAGAGGCCTTCGTTGGAAACGGGTTTTTTTCATGTAAGGCTAGACAGAAGAATTCCCAGTAACTTCCTTGTGTTGTGTGCATTCAACTCACAGAGTTGAACGTTCCCTTAGACAGAGCAGATTTGGAACACTCTATTTGTGCAATTTGCAAGTGTAGATTTCAAGCGCTTTAAGGTCAACGGCAGAAAAGGAAATATCTTCGTTTCAAAACTAGACAGAATCATTCCCACAAACTGCGTTGTGATGTGTTCGTTCAACTCACAGAGTTTAACCTTTCTGTTCATAGAGCAGTTAGGAAACACTCTGTTTGTAAAGTCTGTAAGTGGATATTCTGACATCTTGTGGCCTTCGTTGGAAACTGGATTTCTCCATATTCTACTAGACAGAATAATTCTACAGTAACTTCCTTGTGTTGTGTGTATTCAACTCACAGAGTTGAAGGATCCTTTACAGAGAGCAGGCTTGAAACACTCTTTTTGTCGAATTTGCAAGTGGAGATTTCAGCCGCTTTGAGGTCAATGGTAGAATAGGAAATATCTTCTTATAGAAACTAGACAGAATGATTCTCATAAACTCCTTTGTGATGTGTGCGTTCAACTCACAGAGTTTAACCTTTCTGTTCATAGAGCAGTTAGGAAACACTCTGTTTGTAAAGTCTGCAAGTGGATATTCAGACCTCCTTGAGGCCTTCGTTGGAAACGGGATTTCTTCATATTCTGCTAGACAGAAGAATTCTCAGTAACTTCCTTGTGTTGTGTGTATTCAACTCACAGAGTTGAATGATCCTTTACACAGAGCAGACTTGAAACACTCTTTTTGTGGAATTTGCAAGTGGAGATTTCAGCCGCTTTGAGGACAATGGTAGAAAAGTAAATATCTTCGTATAAAGACTAGACAGAATCATTCTCAGAAACTGCTGCGTGATGTGTGCGTTCAACTCTCAGAGTTTAACTTTTCTTTTCATTCAGCGGTTTGGAAACACTCTGTTTGTAAAGTCTGCACGTGGATATTTTGACCACTTAGAGGCCTTCGTTGGAAACGGGTTTTTTTCATGTAAGGCTGGACAGAAGAATTCCCAGTAACTTCCTTGTGTTGTGTGCATTCAACTCACAGAGTTGAACGTTCCCTTAGACAGAGCAGATTTGAAACACTCTATTTGTGCAACTTGCAAGTGTAGATTTCAAGCCCTTTAAGGTCAACGGCAGAAAAGGAAATATCTTCGTTTCAAAACTAGACAGAATCATTCCCACAAACTGCGTTGTGATGTGTTCGTTCAACTCACAGAGTTTAACCTTTCTGTTCATAGAGCAGTTAGGAAACACTCTCTTTGTAAAGTCTGTAAGTGGATATTCTGATATCTTGTGGCCTTCGTTGGAAACGGGATTTCTTCATATTCTGCTAGACAGAAGAATTCTCAGTAACTTCCTTGTGTTGTGTGTATACATCTCACAGAGTTGAACGATCCTTTACACAGAGCAGACTTGAAACACTCTTTTTGTGGAATTTGCAAGTGGAGATTTCAGCCGCTTTGAGGTCCATGGTAGAAAAGGAAATATCTTCGTATAAAAACTAGACAGAATGATTCTCAGAAACTCCTTTGTGATGTGTGCGTTCAACTCACAGAGTTTAACCTTTCTTTTCATAGAGCAGTTAGGAAACACTCTGTTTGTAAAGTCTGCAAGTGAATATTCAGACATCCTTGAGGTTTTCGTTGGAAACGGGATTTCTTCATATTCTGCTAGAAAGAAGAATTCTCAGTAACTTCCTTGTGTTGTGTGTATTCAACTCACAGAGTTGAATGATCCTTTACACAGAACAGTCTTGAAACACTCTTTTTGTGGAAATTGCAAGTGGAGATTTCAGCCGCTTTGAGGTCAATGGTAGAATAGGAAATATCTTCCTATAGAAACTAGACAGAATCATTCTCAGAAACTGCTCTGCGATGTGTGCGTTCAACTCTCTGAGTTTAACTTTGCTTTTCATTCAGCAGTTTGGAAACACTCTGTTTGTAAAGTCTGCACGTGGATAATTTGACCACTTAGAGGTCTTCGTTGGAAACGGGATTTTTTCATGTAAGGCTAGACAGAAGAATTCCCAGTAACTTCCTTGTGTTGTGTACATTCAACTCACAGAGTTGAACGGTTCCCTTAGACAGAGCAGATTTGAAACACTCTTTTTGTGCAATTGGCAAATGGATATTTCAAGCGCTTTAAGGTCAATGGCAGAAAAGGAAATATCTTCGTTTCAAAACTGGACAGAATCATTCCCACAAACTGCGTTGTGATGTGTTCGTTCAACTCACAGAGTTTAACCTTTCTTTTCATAGAGCAGTTAGGAAACACTCTGTTTGTAAATTCTGTAAGTGGATATTCTGACATCTTGTGGCCTTCGTTTGAAACGGGATTTCTTCATATTCTGCTAGACAGAATAATTCTCAGTAACTTCCTTGTGTTGTGTTTATTCAACTCACAGAGTTGAATGATCCTTTACACAGAGCAGACTTGAAACACTCTTTTTGTGGAATTTGCAAGTGGAGATTTCAGCCGCTTTGAGGTCAATGGTAGAAAAGTAAATATCTTCCTATAAAGACTAGACAGAATGATTCTCAGAAACTCCTTTGTGATGTGTGCGTTCAACTCACAGAGTTTAACCTTTCTGTTCATAGAGCCGTTAGGAAACACTCTGTTTGTAAAGTCTGCAAGTGGATATTCAGATCTCTTTGAGGCCTTCGTTGGAAACGGGATTTCTTCATATTATGCTAGACAGAAGAATTCCCAGTAACTTCCATGTGTTGTGTGTGTTCAACTCACAGAGTTGAACTTTCATTTACACAGAGCAGATTTGAAACACTCTTTTTGTGGAATTTGCAAATGGAGGTTTCAAGCGCTTTGAGGCCAGAGGCAGAAAAGGAAATATCTTCGTATAAAAACTAGACAGAATCATTCTCAGAAACTGCTCTGCGATGTGTGCGTTCAACTCTCAGAGTTTAACTTTTCTTTTCATTCAGCAGTTTGGAAACACTCTGTTTGTAAAGTCTGCATGTGGATAATTTGACCACTTAGAGGTCTTTGTTGGAAACGGGTTTTTTTCATGTAAGGCTAGACAGAAGAATTCTCAGTAACTTCCTTGTGTTGTGTGTATTCAACTCACAGAGTTGAACGTTCCTTTACACAGAGCAGACTTGTAACACTCTTTTTGTGGAATTTGCAAGTGGAGATTTCAGCCGCTTTGAAGTCAAAGGTAGAAAAGGAAATATCTTCCTATAAACACTAGACAGAATCATTGGCACAAACTGCGTTGTGATGTGTTCGTTCAACTCACAGAGTTTAACCTTTCTTTTCATAGAGCAGTTAGGAAACAGTCTGTTTGTAAATTCTGTAAGTGGATATTCTGACATCTTGTGACCTTCGTTGGAAACGGGATTTCTTCATATTCTGCTAGACAGAAGAATTCTCAGTAACTTCCTTGTGTTGTGTGTATTCAACTCACAGAATTGAACGATCCTTTACACAGAGCAGACTTGAAACATTCTTTTTGTGGAATTTGCAAGTGGAGATTTCAGCCGCTTTGAGGTCAATCGTAGAATAGGAAATATCTTCCTATAGAAACTAGACAGAATGATTCTCAGAAACTCCTTTGTGATGTGTGCGTTCAACTCACAGAGTTTAACCTTTCTTTTCATAGAGCAGTTAGGAAACACTCTGTTTGTTAAGTCTGCAAGTGGATATTCAGTCCTCTTTGAGGCCATCGTTGGAAACGGGATTTCTTCATATTATGCTAGACAGAAGAATTCTCAGTAACTTCCTTGTGTTGTGTGTATTCAACTCACAGAGTTGAACGATCCTTTACACAGAGCAGACTTGAAACACTCTTTTTGTGGAATTTGCAAGTGGAGATTTCAGCCGCTTTGAGGTCAATGGTTGAATAGGAAATATCTTCCAATAGAAACTAGACAGAATGATTCTCAGAAACTCCTTTGTGATGTGTGCGCTCAACTCACAGAGTTTAACTTTTCTTTTCATAGAGCAGTTAGGAAACACTCTGTTTATAAAGTCTGCAAGTGGATATTCAGACCTCTTTGAGGCCTTCGTTGGAAACGGGAGTTCTTCATATTCTGCTAGACAGAAGAATTCTCAGAAACTCCCTTGTGTTGTGTGTATTCAACTGACAGAGTTGAACTTTCATTTAGACAGAGCAGATTTGAAACACTCTTTATGTGGAATTGGCCAGTGGAGATTTGAAGCGCTTTGAGACCAAAGGCAGAAAAGGAAATATCTTCGTTTCAAAACTAGACAGAATCATTCCCACAAACTGCGTTGTGATGTGTTCGTTCAACACACAGGGTTTAACCTTTCTTTTCATAGAGCAGTTAGGAAACACTCTGTTTGTAAAGTCTGTAAGTGGATATTCTGACATCATGTGGCCTTCGTTGGAAACGGGATTTCTTCATATTCTGCTAGACAGAAGAATTCTCAGTAACTTCCTTGTGTAGTGTGTATTCAACTCACAGAGTTGAACGATCCTTTACACAGAGCAGACTTGTAACACTCTTTTTGTGGAATTTGCAAGTGGAGATTTCAGCCACTTTGAAGTCAAAGGTAGAAAAGGAAATAACTTCCTATAAAAACTAGACAGAATGATTCTCAGAAACTCCTTTGTGATGTGTGCGTTCAACTCACAGAGTTTAACCTTTCTTTTCATAGAGCAGTTAGGAAACACTCTGTTTGTAAAGTCTGCAAGTGGATATTCAGACCTCTTTGAGGCCTTCGTTGGAAACGGGTTTTTTTCATATAAGGCTAGATAGAAGAATTCTCAGTAACTTCCTTGTGTTGTGTGTATTCAACTGACAGAGTTGAACTTTCATTTAGAGAGAGCAGATTTGAAACACTGTTTTTGTGGAATTTGCAAGTGGAGATTTCAAGCGCTTTGGGGCCAAAGGCAGAAAACGAAATGTCTTCGTATAAAAACTAGACAGAATCATTCTCAGAAACCGCTCTGTGATGTGTGCGTTCAACTCTCAGAGTTTAACTTTTCTTTTCATTCAGCAGTTTGGAAACACTCTGTTTGTAAAGTCTGCACGTGGATATTTTGACCACTTAGAGGCCTTCGTTGGAAACGGGTTTTTTTTCATGTAAGGCTAGACAGAAGAATTCCCAGTAACTTCCTTGTGTTGTGTACATTCAACTCACAGAGTTGAACGTTCCCTTAGACAGAGCAGATTTGAAACACTCTTTTTGTGCAATTGGCAAGTGGAGATTTCAAGCGCTTTGAGGTCAATGGCAGAAAAGGAAATATCTTCGTTTCAAAACTAGACAGAATGATTCTCATAAACTCCTCTGTGATGTGTGCGTTGAACTCACAGAGTTTAACTTTTCTTTTCATAGAGCAGTTAGGAAACACTCTGTTTGTAAAGTCTGCAAGTGGATATTCAGACGTCTTTGAGGCCTTCGTTGGAAACGGGATTTCTTCATATTATGCTAGACAGAATAATTCTCAGTAACTTCCTTGTGTTGTGTGTATTCAACTCACAGAGTTGAACGATCCTTTACAGAGAGCAGACTTGAAACACTCTTTTTGTGGAATTTCCAATTGGAGATTTCAGCCGCTTTGAGGTCAATCGTAGAATAGGAAATATCTTCCTATAGAAATTAGATAGAATGATTCTCAGAAACTCCTTTGTGATGTGTGCGTTCAACTCACAGAGTTTAACCTTTCTTTTCATAGAGCAGTTAGGAAACACTCTCTAAAGTCTGCAAGTGGATATTCAGACCTCCTTGAGGTCTTCGTTGGAAACGGGATTTCTTCATATTCTGCTAGACAGAAGAATTCCCAGTAACTTCCTTGTGTTGTGTGTGTTCAACTCACAGAGTTGAACTTTCATTTACACAGAGCAGATTGGAAACACTCTTTTTGTGGAATTTGCAAGTGGAGATTTCAAGCGCTTTGAGGCCAAAGGCAGAAAAGGAAATATCTTCGTATAAAAACTAGTCAGAATCATTCTCAGAAACTGCTCTGTGATGTGTGCGTTCAACTCTCAGAGTTTAACTTTTCTTTTCATTCAGCAGTTTGGAAACACTCTGTTTGTAAAGTCTGCACGTGGATATTTTGACCACTTAGAGGCCTTCGTTGGAAACGGGTTTTTTTTCATGTAAGGCTAGACGGTAGCATTCCCAGTAACTTCCTTGTGTTGTGTGCATTCAACTCACAGAGATGAACGTTCCCTTAGACAGAGCAGATTTGAAACGCTCTATTTGTGCAATTTGCAAGTGTAGATTTCAAGCACTTTAAGGTCAATGGCAGAAAAGGAAATATCTTCGTTTCAAAACTAGACAGAATGATTCTCAGAAAATCTTTTGTGATGTGTGCGTTCAACTCACAGAGTTTAACTTTTCTTTTCATAGAGCAGTTAGGAAACACTCTGTTTGTAAAGTCTGCAAGTGGATATTCAGACCTGTTTGAGGCCTTCGTTGGAAACGGGATTTCTTCATATTCTGCTAGACAGAAGAATTCTCAGTAACTTCCTTGTGTTGTGTGTATTCAACTCACAGAGTTGAAGGATCCTTTACAGCGAGCAGGCTTGAAACACTCTTTTTGTCGAATTTGCAAGTGGAGATTTCAGCCGCTTTGAGGTCAATGGTAGAATAGGAAATATCTTCTTATAGAAACTAGACAAAATGATTCTCAGAAACTCCTTTGTGATGTGTGCGTTCAACTCACAGAGTTTAACCTTTCTTTTCATAGAGCAGGTAGGAAACACTCTGTTTGTAAAGTCTGCAAGTGGATATTCAGACCTCCTTGAGGCCTTCGTTGGAAACGGGATTCCTTCATATTCTGCTATACAGAAACAATTCCCAGTAACTTCCTTGTGTTGTGTGTGTTCAACTCACAGAGTTGAACTTTCATTTACACAGAGCAGATTTGAAACACTCTTTTTGTGGAATTTGCAAGTGGAGATTTCAAGCGCTTTGAGGCCAAAGGCAGAAAAGGAAATATCTTCGTATAAAAACTAGACAGAATCATTCTCAGAAACTGCTCTGCGATGTGTGCGTTCAACTCTCAGAGTTTAACTTTTCTTTTCATTCAGCAGTGTGGAAACACTCTGTTTGTAAAGTCTGCACGTGGATATTTTGACCACTTAGAGGCCTTCATTGGAAACGGGTTTTTTTCCTGTAAGGCTAGACAGAAGAATTCTCAGTAACTTCCTTGTGTTGTGTGTATTCAACTCACAGAGTTGAACGATCCTTTACACAGAGCAGACTTGTAACACTCTTTTTGTGGAATTTGCAAGTGGAGATTTCAGCCGCTTTGAAGTCAAAGGTAGAAAAGGAAATATCTCCCTATAAAAACTAGACAGAATGATTCTCAGAAACTTCTTTGTGATGTGTGCGCTCAACTCACAGAGTTTAACCTTTCTTTTCATAGAGCAGTTAGGAAACACTCTGTTTGTAAAGTCTGCAAGTGGATATTCAGACCTCTTTGAGGCCTTCGTAGGAAACGGGATTTCTTCATATTATGCTAGACAGAAGAATTCTCAGTAACTTCCTTGTGTTGTGTGTATTCAACTCACAGAGTTGAACGATCCTTTACACAGAGCAGACTTGAAACACTCTTTTTCTGGAATTTGCAAGTGGAGATTTCAGCCGCTTTGAGGTCAATGGTAGAATAGGAAATATCTTCCCATAGAAACTAGACAGAGTGATTCTCAGAAACTCCTTTGTGATGTCTGCGTTCAACTCACAGAGTTTAACCTTTCTTTTCGTAGAGCAGTTAGGAAACACTCTGTTTGTAAAGTCTGCAAGTGGATATTCAGACCTCCTTGAGGCCTTCGTTGGAAACGGGATTTCTTCATATTCTGCTATACAGAAGAATTCTCAGAATCTTCCTTGTGTTGTTTGTATTCAACTCACAGAGTTGAACTTTCATTTACACAGAGCAGATTTGAAACACTCTTTTTGTGGAATTTGCAAATGGAGATTTCAAGCGCTTTGAGGCCAAAGGCAGAAAAGGAAATATCTTCGTATAAAAACTAGACAGAATCATTCTCAGAAACTGCTGCGTGATGTGTGCGTTCAACTCTCAGAGTTTAACTTCTCTTTTCATTCAGCGGTTTGGAAACACTCTGTTTGTAAAGTCTGCACGTGGAAATTTTGACCACTTAGAGGCCTTCGTTGGAAACGGGTTTTTTTCATTTAAGGCTAGACAGAAGAATTCCCAGTAACTTCCTTGTGTTGTGTGCATTCAACTCACAGACTTGAACGTTCCCTTAGACAGAGCAGATTTGAAACACTCTATTTGTGCAATTTGCAAGTGTAGATTTCAAGCGCTTTCAGGTCAATGGCAGAAAAGGAAATATCTTCGTTTCAAAACTAGACAGAATCATTCCCACAAACAGCGTTGTGATGTGTTCATTCAACTCACAGAGTTTAACCTTTCTTTTCATAGAGCAGTTAGGAAACAGTCTGTTTGTAAATTCTGTAAGTGGATATTCTGACATCTTGTGGCCTTCGTTGGAAACGGGATTTCTTCATATTCTGCTAGACAGAAGAATTCTCAGTAACTTCCTTGTGTTGTGTGAATTCAACTCACAGAGTTGAACGATCCTTTACACAGAGCAGACTTGAAACACTCTTTTTGTGGAATTTGCAAGTGGAGATTTCAGCCGCTTTGAGGTCAATGGTAGAAAAGGAAACTATCTTCATATAAAGACTAGACAGAATGATTCTCAGAAACTCCTTTGTGATGTGTGCGTTCAACTCACAGAATTTAACCTTTCTTTTCATAGAGCAGTTAGGAAACACTCTGTTTGTAAAGTCTGCAAGTGGATATTCAGACCTCTTTGAGGCCTTCGTTGGAAACGGGTTTTTTTCATATAAGGCTAGACAGAATCATTCTCAGAAACTGCTCTGCGATGTGTGCGTTCAACTCTCAGAGTTTAACTTTTCTTTTCATTCAGCAGTTTGGAAACACTCTGTTTGTAAAGTCTGCACGTGGATAATTTGACCACTTAGAGGCCTTCGTTGGAAACGGGTTGTTTTCATGTAAGGCTAGACAGAAGAATTCCCAGTAACTTACCTTGTGTTGTGTACATTCAACTCACAGAGTTGAACGTTCCCTTAGACAGAGCAGATTTGAAACACTTTTTTTGTGCAATTGGCAAATGGAGATTTCAAGCGCTTTAAGGTCAATGGCAGAAAAGGAAATATCTTCGTTTCAAAACTAGACAGAATCATTCCCACAAACTGCGTTGTGATGTGTTCGTTCAACTCACAGAGTTTAACCTTTCTGTTCATAGAGCAGTTAGGAAACACTCTGTTTGTAAAGTCTGCAAGTGGATATTCTGACATCTTGTGGCCTTCGTTGGAAACGGGATTTCTTCATCTTCTGCTAGACAGAAGAATTCTCAGTAACTTCCTTGTGTTGTGTGTATTCAACTCACAGAGTTGAACGATCCTTTACACAGAGCGCACTTGAAACACTCGTTTTGTGGAATTTGCAAGTGGAGATTTCAGCCGTGTTGAGGTAAATGGTAGAAAAGGAAATATCTTCGTATAAAAACTAGACAGAATGATTCTCAGAAACTCCTTTGTGATGTGTGCGTTCAACTCACAGAGTTTAACCTTTCTTTTCATAGAGCAGTTAGGAAACACTCTGTTTGTAAAGTCTGCAAGTGGATATTCAGACCTCCTTGAGGCCTTCGTTGGAAACGGGATTTCTTCATATTCTGCTATACAGAAGAATTCTCAGAAACTTCCTTGTGTTGTGTGTATTCAACTCACAGAGTTGAACGATCGTTTACACACAGCAGACTTGAGACACTCTTTTTGTGGAAATTGTAAGTGGAGATTTCAGCCGCTTTGAGGTCAATGGTAGAAAAGGAAATATCTTCATATAAAAACTAGACAGAATCATTCTCAGAAACTGCTGTGTGATGTGTGCGTTCAACTCTCAGAGTTTAACTTTTCTTTTCATTCAGCGGTTTGGAAACACTCTGTTTGTAAAGTCTGCACGTGGATATTTTGACCACTTAGAGGCCTTCGTTGGAAACGGGTTTTTTTCATGTAAGGCTAGACAGAAGAATTCCCAGTAACTTCCTTGTGTTGTGTGCATTCAACTCACAGAGTTGAACGTTCCCTTAGACAGAGCAGATTTGAAACACTCTATTTGTGAATTTGCAAGTGTAGATTTCAAGCGCTTTAAGGTCAAAGGCAGAAAAGGAAATATCTTCGTTTCAAAACTAGACAGAATTATTCCCACAAACTGCGTTGTGATGTGTTCGTTCAACTCACAGAGTTTAACCTTTCTGTTCATAGAGCAGTTAGGAAACACTCTGTTTGTAAAGTCTATAAGTGGATATTCTGACATCTTGTGGCCTTCGTTGGAAACGCGATTTCTTCATATTCTGTTAGACAGAAGAATTCTCAGAATCTTCCTTGTGTTGTGTGTATTCAACTCACACAGTTGAACGATGGTTTACACAGAGCAGATTTGAAACACTATTTTTGTGGAATTTGCAAGTGGAGATTTCAGCCGCTTTGAGGTCAATGGTAGAAAAGGAAATATCTTCGTATAAAAACTAGAGAGAATGATTCTCAGAAACTCCTTTGTGATGTGTGTGTTCAACTCACAGAGTTTAACCTTTCTTTTCATAGAGCAGTTAGTAAACACTCTGTTTATAAAGTCTGCAAGTGGATATTCAGACCCCTTTGAGGCCTTCGTTGGAAATGGGATTGCTTCATATTATGCTAGACAGAAGAATTCTCAGTAACTTCCTTGTGTTGTGTGTATTCAACTGACAGAGTTGAACTTTCATTTGGAGAGAGCAGATTTGAAACACTGTTTTTGTGGAATTTGCAAGTGGAAATTTCAAGCGCTTTGGGGTCAAAGGCAGAAAAGGAAATATCTTCGTATAAAAACTAGACAGAATCATTCTCAGAAACTGCTGCGTGATGTGTGCGTTCAACTCTCAGAGTTTAACTTTTCTTTTCATTCAGCGGTTTGGAAACACTCTGTTTGTAAAGTCTGCACGTGGATATTTTGACCACTTAGAGGCCTTCGTTGGAAACGGGTTTTTTTTCATGTAAGGCTAGACAGAAGAATTCCCAGTAACTTCCTTGTGTTGTGTGCATTCAACTCACAGAGTTGAACGTTCCCTTAGACAGAGCAGATTTGAAACACTCTAGTTGTGCAATTTGCAAGTGTAGATTTCAAGCGCTTTAAGGTCAATGGCAGAAAAGGAAATATCTTCGTTTCAAAACTAGACAGAATCATTCCCACAAACTGCGTTGTGATGTGTTCGTTCAACTCACAGAGTTTAACCTTTCCGTTCATAGAGCAGTTAGGAAACACTCTGTTTGTAAAGTCTGTAAGTGGATATTCTGACATCTTGTGGCCTTCGTTGGAAACGGGATTTCTTCATATTCTGCTAGACAGAAGAATTCTCAGTAACTTCCTTGTGTTGTGTGTATTCAGCTCACAGAGTTGAACGATCCTTTACACCGAGCAGACTTGAAACACTCTTTTTGTGGAATTTGCAAGTGGTGATTTCAGCCGCTTTGAGGTCAATGGTAGAAAAGGAAACTATTTTCGTATAAAGACTAGACAGAATGATTCTCAGAAACTCCTTTGTGATGTGTGCGTTCAACTCACAGAAGTTTAACCTTTCTTTTCATAGAGCAGTTATGAAACACTCTGTTTGTAAAGTCTGCAAGTGGATATTCAGACCTCTTTGAGGCCTTCGTTGGAAACGGGTTTTTTTCATATAAGGCTAGACAGAAGAATTCTCAGTAACTTCCTTGTGTTGTGTGTATTCAACTGACAGAGTTGAACTTTCATTTAGAGAGAGCAGATTTGAAACACTGTTTTTGTGGAATTTGCAAGTGGAGATTTCAAGCGATTTGGGGCCAAAGGCAGAAAAGGAAATATCTTCGTATAAAAACTAGACAGAATCATTCTCAGAAACTGCTGCGTGATGTGTGCGTTCAACTCTCAGAGTTTAACTTTTCTTTTCATTCAGCGGTTTGGAAACACTCTGTTTGTAAAGACTGCACGTGGATATTTTGACCACTTAGAGGCCTTCGTTGGAAACGGGATTTTTTCATGTAAGGCTAGACAGAAGAATTCCCAGTAACTTCCTTGTGTTGTGTGCATTCAACTCACAGAGTTGAACGTTCCCTTAGACAGAGCAGATTTGAAACACTCTATTTGTCCAATTTGCAAGTGTAGATTTCAAGCGCTTTAAGGTCAACGGCAGAAAAGGAAATATCTTCGTTTCAAAACTAGACAGAATCATTCCCACAAACTGCGTTGTGATGTGTTCGTTCAACCCACAGAGTTTAACCTTTCTGTTCATAGAGCAGTTAGGAAACACACTGTTTGTAAAGTATGAAAGTGGATATTCTGACATCTTGTGGCCTTCGTTGGAAACGGGATTTCTTCATATTCTGCTAGACAGAAGAATTCTCAGTAACTTCCTTGTGTTGTGTGTATTCAACTCACAGAATTGAACGATCCTTTACACAGAGCAGACTTGAAACACTCTTTTTGTGGAATTTGCAAGTGGAGATTTCAGCCGCTTTGAGGTCAATGGTAGAAAAGGAAATATCTTCGTATAGAAACAAGACAGAATGATTCTCAGAAACTTCATTGTGATGTGTGCGTTCAACTCACAGAGTTTAACCTTTCTTTTCATAGAGCAGTTAGGAAACACTCTGTTTGTAAACTCTGCAAGTCGATATTCACACCTCTTTGAGGCCTTCGTTGGAAACGGGATTTCTTCATACTGTGCTAGACAGAAGAATTCCCAGTAACTTCCTTGTGTTGTGTGTGTTCAACTCACAGAGTTGAACTTTCATTTACCCAGAGCAGATTTGAAACACTTTTTTTGTGGAATTTGCAAGTGGAGATTTCAAGCGCTTTGAGGCCAAAGGCAGAAAAGGAAATATCTTCGTTTCAAAACTAGACAGAATCATTCTCAGAAACTGCTGCGTGATGTGTGCGTTCAACTCTCAGAGATTAACTTTTCTTTTCATTCAGCGGTTTGGAAACACTCTGTTTGTAAAGTCTGCACGTGGATATTTTGACCACTTAGAGGCCTTCGTTGGAAACGGGTTTTTTTCATGTAAGGCTAGACAGAAGAATTCCCAGTAACTTCCTTGTGTTGTGTGCATTCAACTCACAGAGCTGAACGTTCCCTTAGACAGAGCAGATTTGAAACACTCTATTTGTGCAATTTGCAAGTGTAGATTTCAAGCGCTTTAAGGTCAACGGCAGAAAAGGAAATATCTTCGTTTCAAAACCAGACAGAATCATTCCCACAAACTGCGTTGTGATGTGTGCGTTCAACTCACAGAGTTCAACTTTTCTTTTCATAGAGCAGTTAGGAAACACTCTGTTTGTAAAGTCTGCAAGTGGATATTCAGACCTATTTGAGGCCTTCGTTGGAAACGGGATTTCTTCATATTCTGCTAGACAGAATAATTCTCAGTAACTTCCTTGTGTTGTGTGTATTCAACTCACAGAGTTGAATGATCCTTTACAGAGAGCAGACTTGAAACATTCTTTTTGTGGAATTTGCAAGTGGAGATTTCAGCCGCTTTGAGGTCAATGGTAGAAAAGGAAATATCTTCGTATAAAGACTAGACAGAATGATTCTCAGAAACTCCTTTGTGATGTGTGCGTTCAACTCACAGAGTTTAACTTTTCTTTTCATAGAGCAGTTAGGAAACACTCTGTTTGTAAAGTCTGCAAGTGGATATTCAGACCTCTTTGAGGCCTTCGTTGGAAATGGGATTTCTTCGTATTCTGCTAGACAGAAGAATTCTCAGTAACTTCCTTGTGTTGTGTGTATTCAACTGACAGAGTTGAACTTTCATTTAGAGAGAGCAGATTTGAAACACTGTTTTTGTGGAATTTGCAAGTGGAGATTTCAAGCGCTTTTGGGCCAAAGGCCGAAAAGGAAATATCTTCGTATAAAAACTAGACAGAATCATTCTCAGAAACTGTGGCGTGATGTGTGCGTTCAACTCTCAGAGTTTAACTTTTCTTTTCATTCAGCGGTTTGGAAACACTCTATTTGTAAAGTCTGCCCGTGGATATTTTGACCACTTAGAGGCCTTCGTTGGAAACGGGTTTTTTTCATGTAAGGCTAGACAGAAGAATTCCCAGTAACTTCCTTGTGTTGTGTGCATTCAACTTGCAGAGTTGAACGTTCCCTTAGACAGAGCAGATTTGAAACACTCTATTTGTGCAATTTGCAAGTGTAGATTTCAAGCGCTTTAAGGTCAATGGCAGAAAAGGAAATATCTTCGTTTCAAAACTAGACAGAAATCATTCCCACAAACTGCGTTGTGATGTGTTCGTTCAACTCACAGGAGTTTAACCTTTCTTTTCATAGAGCAGTTAGGAAACAGTCTGTTTGTCAATTCTGTAAGTGGATATTCTGACATCTTGTGGCCTTCGTTGGAAACGGGATTTCTTCATATTTGGCTAGACAGAAATAATTCTCAGTAACTTCCTTGTGTTGTGTGTATTCAACTCACAGAGTTGAAGGATCCTTTACAGAGAGCAGGCTTGAAACACTCTTTTTGTCGAATTTGCAAGTGGAGATTTCAGCCGCTTTGAGGTCAATGGTAGAATAGGAAATATCTTCTTATAGAAACTAGACAGAATGATTCTCAGAAACTCCTTTGAGATGTGTGTGTTCAACTCACAGTTTAACCTTTCTTTTCATAGAGCAGTTAGGAATCACTCTGTTTGTAAAGTCTGCAAGTGGATATTCAGACCTCTTTGAGGCCTTCGTTGGAAACGGGTTTTTTTCATATAAGGCTAGACAGAAGAATTCTCAGTAACTTCCTTGTGTTGTGTGTATTCAACTGACAGGGTTGAACTTTCATTTAGAGAGAGCAGATTTGAAACACTGTTTTTGTGGAATTTGCAAGTGGAGATTTCAAGCGCTTTGGGGCCAAAGGCAGAAAAGGAAATATCTTCGTATAAAAACTAGACAGAATCATTCTCAGAAACTGCTGCGTGATGTGTGCGTTCAACTCTCAGAGTTTAACTTTTCTTTTCATTCAGCGGTTTGGAAACACTCTGTTTGTAAAGTCTGCACGTGGAAATTTTGACCACTTAGAGGCCTTCGTTGGAAACGGGTTTTTTTCATGTAAGGCTAGACAGAAGAATTCCCAGTAACTTCCTTGTGTTGTGTGCATTCAACTCACAGAGTTGAACGTTCCCTTAGACAGAGCAGATTTGAAACACTCTATTTGTGCAATTTGCAAGTGTAGATTTCAAGCGCTTTAAGGTCAATGACAGAAAAGGAAATATCTTCGTTTCAAAACTAGACAGAATCATTCCCACAAACTGCGTTGTGATGTGTTCGTTCAACTCACAGAGTTTTACCTTTCTGTTCATAGAGCAGTTAGGAAACACTCTGTTTGTAAAGTCTGCAAGTGGATATTCAGACCTCCTTGAGACCTTCGTTGGAAACGGGATTTCTTCATATTCTGCTAGACAGAAGAATTCTCAGTAACTTCCTTGTGTTGTGAGTATTCAACTCACAGAGTTGAACGATCCTTTACACAGAGCAGACTTGAAACACTCTTTTTGTGGAATTTGCAAGAGGAGATTTCAGCCGCTTTGAGGTCAATGGTAGAAAAGGAAATATCTTCGTATAAAGACTAGACAGAATGATTCTCAGAAACTCCTTTGTGATGTGTGCGTTCAACTCACAGAGTTCAACCTTTCTTTTCATAGAGCAGTTGGGAAACACTCTGTTTGTAATGTCTGCAAGTGGATATTCAGACTTCCTTGAGGCCTTCGTTGGAAGCGGGATTTCTTCAAATTCTGCTAGACAGAATAATTCTCAGTAACTTCCTTGTGTTGTGTGTATTCAACTCACAGATTTGAACGATCCTTTACACAGAGCAGACTTGAAACATTCTTTTTGTGGAATTTGCAAGTGGAGATTTCAGCCGCTTTGAGGTCAATGGTAGAATAGGAAATATCTTCCTATAGAAACTAGACAGAATCATTCTCGGAAACTGCTCTGTGATGTGTGCGTTCAAGTCTCAGAGTTTAACTTTTCTTTTCATTCAGCAGTTTGGAAACACTCTGTTTGTAAAGTCTGCACGTGGATATTTTGACCACTTAAAGGCCTTCGTTGGAAACGTGTTTTTTTCCTGTAAGGCTAGACAGAAGAATTCCCAGTAACTTCCTTGTGTTGTGTACATTCAACTCACAGAGTTGAACGTTCCCTTAGACAGAGCAGATTTGAAACACTCTTTTTGTGCAATTGGCAAGTGGTGATTTCAGCCGCTTTGTGGTCAATGGTATAAAAGGAAATATCTTCGTATAAAAACTAGACAGAATCATTCTCAGAAACTGCTCTGCGATGTGTGCGTTCAACTCTCAGAGTTTAACTTTTCTTTTCATTCAGCAGTTTGGAAACACTCTGTTTCTAAAGTCTGCACGTGGATAACTTGACCACTTAGAGGCCTTCTTTGGAAACGGGTTTTTTTCCTGTAAGGCTAGACAGAAGAATTCCCAGTAACTTCCTTGTGTTGTGTACATTCAACTCACAGAGTTGAACCGTTCCCTTAGACAGAGCAGATTTGAAACACTCTTTTTGTGCAATTGGCAAGTGCTGATTTCAGCCGCTTTGAAGTCAATGGTAGAAAAGGAAATATCTTCGTATAAAAACTAGACAGAATGATTCTCAGAAACTTCATTGTGATGTGTGCCGTTCAACTCACAGAGTTTAACCTTTCTTTTCATAGAGCAGTTAGGAAACACTCTGTTTGTAAACTCTGCAAGTGGATATTCAGACCTCTTTGAGGCCTTCGTTGGAAACGGGATTTCTTCATACTGTGCTAGACAGAAGAATTCTCAGTAACTTCATTGTGTTGTGTGTATTCAACTCACAGATTTCAACGATCCTTTACACAGAGCAGACTTGAAATACTCTTTTTATGGAATTTGCAAGTGGAGATTTCAGCCGCTTTGAGGTCAATGTAGAATAGGAAATATCTTCCTATAGAAATTAGACAGAATCATTCTCAGAAACTGCTGCGTGATGTGTGCGTTCAACTCTCAGAGTTTAACTTTTCTTTTCATTCAGCGGTTTGGAAACACTCTGTTTGTAAAGTCTGCACGTGGATATTTTGACCACTTAGAAGCCTTCGTTGGAAACGGGTTTTTTTCATGTAAGGCTAGACAGAAGAATTCCCAGTAACTTCCTTGGGTTGTGTACATTCAACTCACAGAGTTGAACGTTCCCTTAGACAGAGCAGATTTGAAACACTCTTTTTGTGCAATTGGCAAGTGGAGATTTCAAGCGCTTTAAGGTCAATGGCAGAAAAGGAAATATCTTCGTTTCAAAACTAGACAGAATCATTCCCACAAACTGTGTTGTGATGTGTTCGTTCAACTCACAGAGTTTAACCTTTCTTTTCATAGAGCAGTTAGGAAACACTCTGTTGGTAAATTCTGTAAGTGGATATTCTGACATCTTGTGGCCTTCGTTGGAAACGGGATTTCTTCATATTCTGCTACACAGAAGAATTCTCAGTAACTTCCTTGTGTTGTGTGTATTCAACTCACAGAGTTGAACGATCCTTTACACAGAGCAGACTTGAAACACTCTTTTTGTGGAATTTGCAAGTGGAGATTTCAGCCGTTTTGAGGTCAATGGTAGAAAAGGAAATATCTTCGTATAAAGACTAGACAGAATGATTCTAAGAAAATCTTTTGTGATGTGTGCGTTCAACTCACAGAGTTTAACTTTTCTTCTCATAGAGCAGTTAGGAAACACTCTGTTTGTAAAGTGTGCAAGTGGATATTCAGACCTCTTTGAGGCCTTCGTTGGAAACGGGATTTCTTCATATTATGCTAGACAGAAGAATTCCCAGTAACTTCCTTGTGTTGTGTGTGTTCAACTCACAGAGTTGAACTTTCATTTACACAGAGCAGATTTGAAACACTCTTTTTGTGGAATTTGCAAATGGAGATTTCAAGCGCTTTGAGGCCAAAGGCAGAAAAGGAAATATCTTCGTTTCAAAACTAGACAGAATCATTCTCAGAAACTGCTCTGCGATGTGTTCGTTCAACTCTCAGAGTTTAACTTTTCTTTTCATTCAGCAGTTTGGAAACACTCTGTTTGTAAAGTCTGCACGTGCATAATTTGACCACTTAGAGGCCTTCGTTGGAAACGGGTTTTTTTTCATGTAAGGCTAGACAGAAGAATTCCCAGTAACTTCCTTGCGTTGTGTACATTCAACTCACAGAGTTGAACGTTCCCTTAGACAGAGCAGATTTGAAACACTCTTTTTGTGCAATTGGCAAGTGGAGATTTCAAGCGCTTTAAGGTCAATGGCAGAAAAGGAAATATCTTCGTTTCAAAACTAGACAGAATCATTCCCAAAAACTGCGTTGTGATGTGTTCGTTCATCTCACAGAGTTTAACCTTTCTTTTCATAGAGCAGTTAGGAAACAGTCTGTTTGTAAATTCTGTAAGTGGATATTCTGACATCTTGTGGCCTTCGTTGGAAACGGGATTTCTTCATATTCTGCTAGACAGAAGAATTCTCAGTAACTTCCTTGTGTTGTGTGTATTCAACTCATAGAGGTGAACGATCCTTTACACAGAACAGACTTGAAACACTCTTTTTGTGGAATTTGCAAGTGGAGATTTCAGCCGCTTTGAGTTCAATGGTTGAATAGGAAATATCTTCCTATAGAAACTAGACAGAATGATTCTCAGAATCTCCTTTGTGATGTGTGCGTTCAACTCACAGAGTTTAACCTTTCTTTTCATAGAGCATTTAGGAAACACTCTGTTTGTAAAGTCTGCAAGTGGATATTCAGACCTCCTTGAGGCCTTCGTTGGAAACGGGATTTCTTCATATTATGCTAGACAGAAGAATTCTCAGTAACTTCCTTTTGTTGTGTGTATTCAACTGACAGAGTTGAACCTTCCCTTAGACAGAGCAGATTTGAAACACTCTTTTTGTGGAGTTTGCAAGTGGAGATTTAAAGCGCTTTGAGGCCAAAGGCAGAAAAGGAAATATCTTCGTATAAAAACTAGACAGAATCATTCTCAGAAACTGCTGCGTGATGTGTGCGTTCAACTCTCAGAGTTTAACTTTTCTTTTCATTCAGCGGTTTGGAAACACTCTGTGTGTAAAGTCTGCACGTGGATATTTTGACCACTTAGAGGCCTTCGTTGGAAACGGGTTTTTTTCATGTAAGGCTAGACAGAAGAATTCCCAGTAACTTCCTTGTGTTGTGTGCATTCAACTCACAGAGTTGAACGTTCCCTTAGACAGAGCAGATTTGAAACACTCTATTTGTGCAATTTGCAAGTGTAGATTTCAAGCGCTTTAAGGTCAACGGCAGAAAAGGAAATATCTTCGTTTCAAAACTAGACAGAATGATTCTCAGAAACTCCTTTGTGATGTGTGCGTTCAACTCACAGAGTTTAACCTTTCTTTTCGTAGAGCAGGTAGGAAACACTCTGTTTGTAAAGTCTGCAAGTGGATATTCAGACCTCTTTGAGGCCTTCGTTGGAAATGGGATTTCTTCATATTCTGCTAGACAGAATAATTCTCAGTAACTTCCTTGTGTTGTGTGTATTCAACTCACAGATTTGAACGATCCTTTACAGAGAGCAGACTTGAAACACTCTTTTTGTCGAATTTGCAAGTGGAGATTTCAGCCGCTTTGAGGTCAATAGTAGAAAAGGAAATATCTTCGTAGAAAAACTAGACAGAATGATTCTCAGAAACTGCTTTGTGATGTGTGCGTTCAACTCACAGAGTTTAACCTTTCTTTTCATAGAGCAGTTGGGAAACACTCTGTTGGTAAAGTCTGCATGTGGATATTCAGACATCCTTGAGGCTTTCGTTGGAAACGGGATTTCTTCATATTCTGCTAGAAAGAAGAATTCTCAGTAACTTCCTTGTGTTGTGTGTGTTCAACTCACAGAGTTGAACTTTCATTTACACAGAGCAGATTGGAAACACTCTTTTTGTGGAATTTGCAAGTGGAGATTTCAAGCGCTTTGAGGCCAAAGGCAGAAAAGGAAATATCTTCGTATAAAAACTAGACAGAGTCATTCTCAGAAACTGCTCTGTGATGTGTGCGTTCAACTGTCATAGTTTAACTTTTCTTTTCATTCAGCAGTTTGGAAACACTCTGTTTGTAAAGTTTGCACGTGGACATTGTGACCACTTAGAGGCCTTTGTTGGAAACGGGTTTTTTTCATGAAAGGCTAGACAGAAGAATTCCCAGTAACTTCCTTGTGTTCTGTGCACTCAACTCACAGAGATGAACGTTCCCTTAGACAGAGCAGATTTGAAACACTCTATTTGTGCAATTTGCAAGTGTAGATTTCAAGCGCTTTAAGGTCAATGGCAGAAAAGGAAATATTTTCGTTTCAAAACTAGACAGAATGATTCTCACAAACTCCTTTGTGATGTGTGCGTTCAACTCACAGAGTTTAACCTTTCTTTTCATAGAGCAGTTAGGAAACACTCTGTTTGTAAAGTCTGCAAGTGGATATTCAGACCTCTTTGAGGCCTTCGTTGGAAACGGGATTTCTTCATATTCTGCTAGACAGAAGAATTCTCAGTAACTTCCTTGTGTTGTGTTTATTCAACTCACAGAGTTGAATGATCCTTTACACAGAGCAGACTTGAAACACTCTTTTTGTGGAATTTGCAAGTGGAGATTTCAGCCGCTTTGAGGTCAATGGTAGAAAAGGAAATATCTTCGTATAAAGACTAGACAGAATGATTCTCAGAAACTCCTTTGTGATGTGTGCGTTCAACTCACAGAGTTTAACCTTTCTTTTCATAGAGCAGTTAAAAACACTCTGTTTGTAAAGTCTGCAAGTGGATATTCAGACCTCTTTGAGGCCTTCATTGGAAACGGGTTTTTTTCATATAAGGCTAGACAGAAGAATTCCCAGTAACTTCCTTGTGTTGTGTGTGTTCAACTCACAGAGTTGAACTTTCATTTACACAGAGCAGATTTGAAACACTCTTTTTGTGGAATTTGCAAATGGAGATTTCAAGCGCTTTGAGGCCAAAGGCAGAAAAGGAAATGTCTTCGTTTCAAAACTAGACAGAATCATTCTCAGAAACTGCTCTGCGATGTGTGCGTTCAACTCTCAGAGTTTAACTTTTCTTTTCATTCAGCAGTTTGGAAACACTCTGTTTGTAAAGTCTGCACGTGGATAACTTGACCAGTTAGAGGCCTTCGTTGGAAACGGGTTTTTTTCCTGTAAGGCTAGACAGAAGAATTCCCAGTAACTTCCTTGTGTTGTGTGCATTCAACTCACAGAGTTGAACGTTCCCTTAGACAGAGCAGATTTGAAACACTCTATTTGTGCAATTTGCAAGTGTAGTTTTCAAGCTCTTTAAGGTCAACGGCAGAAAAGGAAATATCTTCGTTTCAAAACTAGACAGAATCATTCCCACAAACTGCGTTGTGATGTGTTCGTTCAACTAACAGAGTTTAACCTTTCTTTTCATAGAGCAGTTAGGAAACAGTCTGTTTGTCAATTCTGTAAGTGGATATTCTGACATCTTGTGGCCTTCGTTGGAAACGGGATTTCTTCATATTCTACTAGACAGAAGAATTCCCAGTAACTTCCTTGTGTTGTGTGTGTTCAACTCACAGAGTTGAACTTTCATTTACACAGAGCAGATTTGAAACACTCTTTTTGTGGAATTTGCAAATGGAGATTTCAGCCGCGTTGAGGCCAATGGTAGAAAAGGAAATATCTTCGTTTCAAAACTAGACAGAATGATTCTCAGAAACTCCTTTGTGATGTGTGCGTTCAACTCACACAGTTTAACCTTTCTTTTCATAGAGCAGTTAGGAAACACTCTGTTTGTAAAGTCTGCAAGTGGATATTCAGACCTCCTTGAGGCCTTCGTTGGAAACGGGATTTCTTCATATTCTGCTAGAAAGAAAAATTCTCAGAATCTTCCTTGTGTTGTGTGTATTCAACTCACAGAGTTGAACGATCCTTTACACAGAGCAGATTTGAAACACTCTTTTTGTGGAATTTGCAAGTGGAGATTTCAAGCGCTTTGAGGCTAAAGGCAGAAAAGGAAATATCTTCGTATAACAACTAGACAGAATCATTCTCAGAAACTGCTCTGCGATGTGTGCGTTCAACTCTCAGAGTTTAACTTTTCTTTTCATTCAGCAGTTTGGAAACACTCTGTTTGTAAAGTCTGCACGTGGATATTTTGACCATTTAGAGGCCTTCGTTGGAAACGGGTTTTTTTCTTGTAAGGCTAGACAGAAGAATTCCCAGGAACTTCCTTGTGTTGTGTACATTCAACTCACAGAGTTGAACGTTCCCTTAGACAGAGCAGATTTGAAACACTCTTTTTGTGCAATTGGCAAGTGGTGATTTCAGCAGCTTTGAGGTCAATGGTAGAAAAAGAAATATCTTCGTATAAAAACTAGACAGAATCATTCCCACAAACTGCGTTGTGAGGTGTTCGTTCAACTCACAGAGTTTAACCTTTCTTTTCATAGAGCAGTTAGGAAACAGTCTGTTTGTAAATTCTGTAAGTGGATATTCTGACATCTTGTGGCCTTCGTTGGAAACGGGATTTCTTCATATTCTGCTAGACAGAAGAATTCTCAGAAACTTTCCTTGTGTTGTGTGTATTCAACTCACAGAGTTGAACGATCGTTTACACAGAGCAGACTTGAGACACTCTTTTTGTGGAATTTGTAAGTGGAGATTTCAGCCGCTTTGAGGTCAATGGTAGAAAAGGAAATATCTTCATATATAAACCAGACAGAATGATTCTCAGAAACTCCTTTGTGATGTGTGTGTTCAACTCACAGAGTTTAACCTTTCTTTTCATAGAACAGTTAGTAAACACTCTGTTTTTAAAGTCTGCAAGTGGATATTCAGACCCCTTTGAGGCCTTCGTTGGAAACGGGATTTCTTCATATTCTGCTAGACAGAAGAATTCCCAGTAACTTCCTTGTGTTGTGTGTGTTCAACTCACAGAGTTGAACTTTCATTTACACAGAGCAGATTTGAAACACTCTTTTTGTGGAATTTGCAAATGGAGATTTCAAGCGCTTGGAGGCCAAAGGCAGAAAAGGAAATATCTTCGTATAAAAACTAGACAGAATCATTCTCAGAAACTGCTCTGCGATGTGTGCGTTCAACTCTCAGAGTTTAACTTTTCTTTTCATTCAGCAGTTTGGAAACACTCTGTTTGTAAAGTCTGCACGTGGATAATTTGACCACTTACAGGCCTTCGTTGGAAACGGGTTTTTTTCATGTAAGGCTAGACAGAAGAATTCCCAGTAACTTCCTTGTGTTGTGTACATTCAACTCACAGAGTTGAACGTTCCCTTAAACAGAGCAGATTTGAAACACTCTTTTTGTGCAATTGGCAAGTGGAGATTTCAAGCGCTTTGAGGTCAATGGCAGAAAAGGAAATATCTTCGTTTCAAAACTAGACAGAATGATTCTCAGAAACTCCTTTGTGATGTGTGCGTTCAACTCACAGAGTTTAACCTTTCTTTTCATAGAGCAGTTAGGAAACACTCTGTTTGTAAAGTCGGCAAGTGGATATTCAGTCCTCATTGAGGCCTTCGTTGGAAACGGGATTTCTTCATATTCTGCTAGACAGAAGAATTCTCAGTAACTTCCTTGTGTTGTGTGTATTCAACTCACAGAGTTGAACGATCCTTTACACAGAGCAGACTTGAAACACACTTTTTGTGGATTTTGCAAGTGGAGATTTCAGCCTCTTTGAGATCAATGGTAGAATAGGAAATATCTTCCTATAGAAACTAGACAGAATGATTGTCAGAAACTCCTTTGTGATGTGTGCGTTCAACTCACAGAGTTTAACCATTCCTTTCATAGAGCAGTTAGGAAACACTCTGTTTGTAAAGTCTGCAAGTGGATATTCAGACATCTTTGAGGCCTTCGTTGGAAACGGGATTTCTTCATATTCTGCTAGACAGAAGAATTCTCAGTAACTTCCTTGTGTTGTGTGTATTCAACTGACAGAGTTGAACTTTCATTTAGAGAGAGCAGATTTGAAACACTGTTTTTGTGGAATTTGCAAGTGGTGACTTCAAGCGCTTTGGGGCCAAACGCAGAAAAGGAAATATCTTCGTATAAAAACTAGACAGAATCATTCTCAGAAACTGCTCTGCGATGTGTGCGTTCAAGTCTCAGAGTTTAACTTTTCTTTTCATTCAGCAGTTTGGAAACACTCTGTTTGTAAAGTCTGCACGTGGATATTTTGACCACTTAGAGGCCTTCGTTGGAAACGGGTTTTTTTCCTGTAAGGCTAGACAGAAGAATTCGCAGTAACTTCCTTGTGTTGTGTACATTCAACTCACAGAGTTGAACGTTCCCTTAGACAGAGCAGATTTGAAACACTCTTTTTGTGCAATTGGCAAGTGGAGATTTCAAGCGCTTTAAGGTCAATGGCAGAAAAGGAAATATCTTCGTTTCAAAACTAGACAGAATGATTCCCAGAAAATCCTTTGTGATGTGTGCGTTCAACTCACAGAGTTTAACTTTTCTTTTCATAGAACAGTTAGGAAACACTCTGTTTGTAAAGTCTGCAAGTGGATATTCAGACCTCTTTGAGGCCTTCGTTGGAAACGGGATTTCTTCATATTATGCTATAAAGAAGAATTCTCAGTAACTTTCCTTGTGTTGTGTGTATTCAACTCACAGAGTTGAACGATCCTTTACAGAGAGCAGACTTGAAACACTCTTTTTGTGGAATTTGCAAGTGGAGATTTCAGCCGCTTTGAGGTCAATGGTAGAATAGGAAATATCTTCCAATAGAAACTAGACAGAATGATTCTCAGAAACTTCTTTGTGATGTGTGCGTTCAACTCACACAGTTTAACCTTTCTTTTCATAGAGCAGTTAGGAAACACTCTGTTTGTAAAGTCTGCAAGTGGATATTCACACCTCCTTGAGGCCTTCGTTGGAAACGGGATTTCTTCATATTATGCTAGACAGAAGAATTCCCAGTAACTTCCTTGTGTTGTGTGTGTTCAACTCACAGAGTTGAACTTTCATTTACACAGAGCAGATTTGAAACACTCTTTTTGTGGAATTTCAAGTGGAGATTTCAAGCGCTTTGAGGCCAAAGGCAGAAAAGGAAATATCTTCGTATAAAAACTAGACAGAATGATTCTCAGAAACTCCTTTGTGATGTGTGCGTTCAACTCACAGAGTTTAACCTTTCTTTTCATTCACCAGTTTGGAAACACTCTGTTTGTAAAGTCTGCACGTGGATATTTTGACCACTTAGAGGCCTTCGTTGGAAACGGGTTTTTTTCCTGTAAGGCTAGACAGAAGAATTCCCAGTAACTTCCTTGTGTTGTGTGCAATCAAATCACAGAGTTGAACGTTCCCTTAGACAGAGTAGATTTGAAACACTCTATTTGTGCAATTTGCAAGTGTAGATTTCAAGCGCTTTAAGGTCAAAGGCAGAAAAGGAAATATCTTCGTTTCAAAACTAGACAGAATCATTCCCACAAACTGCGTTGTGATGTGTTCGTTCAACTCACAGCAGTTTAACCTTTCTTTTCATAGAGCAGTTAGGAAACAGTCTGTTTGTAAATTCTGTAAGTGGATATTCTGACATCTTGTGGCCTTCGTTGGAAAAGGGATTTCTTCATATTCTGCTAGACAGAATAATTCTCAGTAACTTCCTTGTGTTGTGTGCATTCAACTCACAGAGTTGAACGATCCTTTACAGAGAGCAGACTTGAAACACTCTTTTTGTGGAATTTGCAAGTGGAGATTTCAGCCGCTTTGAGGTCAATGGTAGAATAGGAAATATCTTCCTACAGAAACTAGACAGAATGATTCTCATAAACTCCTTTGTGATGTGTGCGTTCAACTCACAGAGTTTAACCTTTCTTTTCATAGAGCAGTTAGGAAACACTCTGTTTGTAAAGTCTGCAAGTGGATATTCAGACCTCTTTGAGGCCTTCGTTGGAAACGGGATTTCTTCATATTCTGCTAGACAGAAGAATTCTCAGTAACTTCCTTGTGTTGTGTGTATTCAACTCACAGAGTTGAACGATCCTTTACACAGAGCATACTTGAAACACTCTTTTTGTGGAATTTGCAAGTGGAGATTTCAGCCGCTTTGAGGTCAATTGTAGAAAAGGAAATATCTTCGTAGAAAAACTAGACAGAATCATTCTCAGAAAGTGCTCTGCGATGTGTGCGTTCAACTCTCAGAGTTTAACTTTGCTTTTCATTCAGCAGTTTGGAAACACTCTGTTTGTAAAGTCTGCACGTGGATAATTTGACCACTTAGAGGCCTTCGTTGGAAACGGGTTTTTTTCATGTAAGGCTAGACAGAAGAATTCCCAGTAACTTCCTTGTGTTGTGTGCATTCAACTCACAGAGTTGAACGTTCCCTAGACGGAGCAGATTTGAAACACTCTATTTGTGCAATTTGCAAGTGTAGATTTCAAGCGCTTTAAGGTCAATGGCAGAAAAGGAAATATCTTCGTTTCAAAACTAGACAGAATCATTCCCACAAACTGCGTTGTGATGTGTTCGTTCATCTCACAGAGTTTAACCTTTCTTTTCGTAGAGCAGTTAGGAAACAGTCTGTTTGTAAATTCTGTAAGTGGATATTCTGACATCTTGTGGCCTTCGTTGGAAACGGGATTTCTTCATATTGCTGCTAGACAGAAGAATTCTCAGTAACTTCCTTGTGTTGTCTGTATTCAACTCACAGAGTTGAACGATCCTTTACACAGAGCAGACTTGAAACACACTTTTTGTGGAATTTGCAAGTGGAGATTTCAGCCGCTTTGAGGTCAATGGTAGAATAGGAAATATCTTCCTATAGAAACTAGACAGAATGATTCTCAGAAACTCCTTTGTGATGTGTACGTTCAACTCACAGAGTTTAACCTTTCTTTTCATAGAGCAGTTAGGAAACACTCTGTTTGTAAAGTCTGCAAGTGGATATTCCGACATCCTTGAGGCTTTCGTTGGAAACGGGATTTCTTCATATTCTGCTAGAAAGAAGAATTCCCAGTAACTTCCTTGTGTTGTGTGTGTTCAACTCACAGAGTTGAACTTTCATTTACACACAGCAGATTTGAAACACTCTTTTTGTGGAATTTGCAAATGGAGATTTCAAGCGCTTTGAGGCCAAAGGCAGAAAAGGAAATATCTTCGTATAAAAACTAGACAGAATCATTCTCAGAAACTGCTCTGCGATGTGTGCGTTCAACTCTCAGAGTTTAACTTTGCTTTTCATTCAGCAGTTTGGAAACACTCTGTTTGTAAAGTCTGCACGTGGATAATTTGACCACTTAGAGGCCTTCGTTGGAAACGGGTTTTTTTCATGTAAGGCTAGACAGAAGAATTCCCAGCAACTTCCTTGTGTTGTGTGCATTCAACTCACAGAGTTGAACGTTCCCTTAGACAGAGCAGATTTGAAACACTCTATTTGTGCAATTTGCAAGTGTAGATTTCAAGCCCTTTAAGGTCAATGGCAGAAAAGGAAATATCTTCGTTTCAAAACTAGACAGAATCATTCTCAGAAACTGCTCTGCGATGTGTGCGTTCAACTCTCCGAGTTTAACTTTTCTTTTCATTCAGCAGTTTGGAAACACTCTGTTTGTAAAGTCTGCACGTGGATAATTTGACCACTTAGAGGCCTTCGTTGGAAACGGTTTTTTTTCATGTAAGGCTAGACAGAAGAATTCTCAGTAACTTCCTTGTGTTGTGTGTATTCAACTCACAGAGTTGAACGATCCTTTACACAGACCAGACTTGTAACACTCTTTTTGTGGAATTTGCAAGTGGAGATTTCAGCCGCTTTGAAGTCAAAGGTAGAAAAGGAAATATCTTCGTATAAAAACTAGACAGAATGATTCTCAGAAACTCCTTTGTGATGTGTGTGTTCAACTCACAGAGTTTAACCTTTCTTTTCATAGAGCAGTTAGTAAACACTCTGTTTGTACAGTCTGAAAGTGGATATTCAGACCCCTTTGAGGCCTTCGTTGGAAAAGGGATTTCTTCATATTATGCTAGACAGAAGAATTCCCAGTAACTTCCTTGTGTTGTGTGTGTTCAACTCACAGAGTTGAACTTTCATTTACACAGAGCAGATTTGAAACACTCTTTTTGTGGAATTTGCAAGTGGAGATTTCAAGCGCTTTGAGGCCAAAGGCAGAAAAGGAAATATCTTCGTTTGAAAACTAGACAGAAATGATTCTCAGAAACTCCTTTGTGATGTGTGCGTTCAACTCACAGAGTTTAACCTTTCTTTTCATGGAGCTGTTAGGAAACACTCTGTTTGTAAAGTCTGCAAGTGGATATTCAGACCTCTTTGAGGCCTTCGTTGGAAACGGGTTTTTTTCATATAAGGCTAGACAGAAGAATTCCCAGTAACTTCCTTGTGTTGTGTACATTCAACTCACAGAGTTGAACGTTCCCTTAGACAGAGCAGATTTGAAATACTCTTTTTGTGCAATTGGCAAGTGGAGATTTCAAGCGCTTTAAGGTCAATGGCAGAAAAGGAAATATCTTCGTTTCAAAACTAGACAGAATCATTCCCACAAACTGCGTTGTGATGTGTTCGTTCAACTCACAGAGTTTAACCTTTCTTTTCATAGAGCAGTTAGGAAACACTCTGTTTGTAAATTCTGTAAGTTGATATTCTGACATCTTGTGGCCTTCGTTGGAAACTGGATTTCTTCATATTCTGCTAGACAGAAGAATTCTCAGAATCTTTCCTTGTGTTGTGTGTATTCAACTCACAGAGTTGAACGATGGTTTACACAGAGCAGATTTGAAACACTCTTTTTGTGGAATTTGCAAGTGGAGATTTCAGCCGCTTTGAGGTCAATGGTAGAAAAGGAAATATCTTCGTATAAAAACTAGACAGAATGATTCTCAGAAACTCCTTTGTGATGTGTGCGTTCACCTCACAGAGTTTAACCTTTCTTTTCATAGAGCAGTTAGGAAACACTCTGTTTGTAAAGTCTGCAAGTGGATATTCAGACCTCTTTGAGGCCTTCGTTGGAAACGGGATTTCTTCATATTATGCTAGACAGAAGAATTCCCAGTAACTTCCCTTGTGTTGTGTGTATTCAACTCACAGAGTTGAACTTTCATTTACACAGAGCAGATTTGAAACACTCTTTTTGTGGAATTTGCAAATGGAGATTTCAAGCGCTTTGAGGCCAAAGGCAGAAAAGGAAATATCTTCGGTATAAAAACTAGACAGAATCATTCTCAGAAACTGCTCTGTGATGTGTGCGTTCAACTCTCAGAGTTTAACTTTTCTTTTCATTCAGCAGTTTGGAAACACTCTGTTTGTAAAGTCTGCACGTGGATAATTTGACCACTTAGAGGCCTTCATTGGAAACGGGTTTTTTTCATGTAAGGCTAGACAGAAGAATTCCCAGTAACTTCCTTGTGTTGTGTACATTCAACTCACAGAGTTGAACGTTCCCTTAGACAGAGCAGATTTGAAACACTCTTTTTGTGCAATTGGCAAGTGGAGATTTCAAGCGCTTTAAGGTCAATGGCAGAAAAGGAAATATCTTCGTTTCAAAACTAGACAGAATGATTCTCAGAAACTCCTTTGTGATGTGTGCGTTCAACTCACAGAGTTTAAACTTTCTTTTCATAGAGGAGTTAGGAAACACTCTGTTTGTAAAGTCTGCAAGCGGATATTCAGACCTCTTTGAAGCCTTCGTTGGAAACGGGATTTCTTCATATTCTGCTAGACAGAAGAATTCTCAGTAACTTCCTTGTGTTGTGTGTATTCAACTCACAGAGATGAACGATCCTTTACACAGAGCAGACTTGAAACACTCCTTTTGTGGAATTTGCAAGTGGAGATTTCAGCCGCTTTGAGGTCAATGGTAGAAAAGGAAACTATCTTCGTATAAAGACTAGACAGAATGATTCTCAGAAACTCCTTTGTGATGTGTGTGTTCAACTCACAGAGTTTAACCTTTCTTTTCATAGAGCAGTTAGGAAACACTCTGTTTGTAAAGTCTGTAAGTGGATATTCAGACCTCTTTGAGGCCTTCGTTGGAAACGGGTTTTTTTCATATAAGGCTAGACAGAAGAATTCCCAGTAACTTCCTTGTGTTGTGTGTGTTCAACTCACAGAGTTGAACTTTCATTTACACAGAGCAGATTTGAAACACTCTTTTTGTGGAATTTGCAAATGGAGATTTCAAGCGCTTTGAGGCCAAAGGCAGAAAAGGAAATATCTTCGTATAAAAACTTGACAGAATCATTCTAAGAAACTGCTCTGTGATGTGTGTGTTCAACTCTCAGAGTTTAACTTTTCTTTTCCTTCAGCAGTTTGGAAACACTCTGTTTGTAAAGTCTGCACGTGGATAATTTGACCACTTAGAGGCCTTCGTTGGAAACGGGTTTTTTTCATGTAAGGCTAGACAGAAGAATTCCCAGTAACTTCCTTGTGTTGTGTACATTCAACTCACAGAGTTGAACGTTCCCTTAAACAGAGCAGATTTGAAACACTCTTTTTGTGCAATTGGCAAATGGAGATTTCAAGGGCTTTAAGGTCAATGGCAGAAAAGGAAATATCTTCGTTTCAAAACTAGACAGAACGATTCTCAGAAACTCCTTTGTGATGTGTGCGTTCAACTCACAGAGTTTAACCTTTCTTTTCATAGAGCAGTTAGGAAACACTCTGTTTGTAAAGTCTGCAAGTGGATATTCAGACCTCTTTGAGGCCTTCGTTGGAAACGGGATTTCTTCATTTTCTGCTAGACAGAAGAATTCTCAGTAACTTCCTTGTGTTGTGTGTATTCAACTCACAGAGTTGAACGATCCTTTACACAGAGCAGACTTGAAACACTCTTTTTGTGGAATTTGCAAGTGGAGATTTCAGCCGCTTTGTGGTCAACGGTAGAAAAGGAAATATCTTCGTATAAAGACTAGACAGAATGATTCTCAGAAACTCCTTTGTGATGTGTGTGTTCAACTCACAGAGTTTAACCTTTCTTTTCATAGAGCAGTTAGTAAACACTCTGTTTATAAAGTCTGCAAGTGGATATTCAGACCCCTTTGAGGCCTTCGTTGGAAACGGGATTTCTTCATCTTATGCTAGACAGAAGAATTCTCAGTAACTTCCTTGTGTTGTGTGTATTCAACTGACAGAGTTGAACTTTCATTTAGACAGAGCAGATTTGAAACACTCTTTTTGTGGAATTTGCAAGTGGAGATTTCAAGCGCTTTGAGGCCAAAGGCAGAAAAGGAAATATCTTTGTATAAAAACTAGATAGAATCATTCTCAGAAACTGCTCTGCGATGTGTGCGTTCAACTCTCAGAGTTTAACTTTTCTTTTCATTCAGCAGTTTGGAAACACTCTGTTTATAAAGTCTGCACGTGGATATTTTGACCACTTAGAGGCCTTCGTTGGAAACGGGTTTTTTTCCTGTAAGGCTAGACAGAATAATTCCCAGTAACTTCCTTGTGTTGTGTACATTCAACTCACAGAGTTGAACGTACCCTTAGACAGAGCAGATTTGAAACACTCTTTTTGTGCAATTGGCAAGTGGAGATTTCAAGCGCTTTAAGGTCAATGGCAGAAAAGGAAATTTCTTCGTTTCAAAACTAAACAGAATCATTCCCACAAACTGCGTTGTGATGTGTTCGTTCAACTCACAGAGTTTAACCTTTCTTTTCATAGAGCAGTTAGGAAACAGTCTGTTTGTAAATTCTGTAAGTGGATATTCTGACATCTTGTGGCCTTCGTTGGAAACGGGATTTCTTCATATTCTGCTAGACAGAAGAATTCTCAGTAACTTCCTTGTGTTGTGTGTATTCAACTCACAGAGTTGAACGATCCTTTACACAGAGCAGACTTAAAACACTCTTTTTGTGGAATTTGCAAGTGGAGATTTCAGCCGCTTTGAGGTCAATAGTAGAAAAGGAAATATCTTCGTAGAAAAACTAGACAGAATGATTCTCAGAATCTCCTTTGTGATGTGTGCGTTCAACTCACAGAGTTTAACCTTTCTTTTCATAGAGCAGTTAGGAAACACTCTGTTTGTAAAGTCTGCAAGTGGATATTCAGACCTCTTTGTGGCCTTCGTTGGAAACGGGTTTTTTTCATATAAGGCTAGACAGAAGAATTTTCAGTAACTTCCTTGTGTTGTGTGTATTCAACTCACAGAGTTGAACGATCCTTTACAGAGAGCAGACTTGAAACACTCTTTTTGTGGAATTTGCAAGTGGAGATTTCAGCCGCTTTGAGGTCAATGGTGGAATAGGAAATATCTTCCTATAGAAACTAGACAGAATCATTCTCAGAATCTGCAGCGTGATGTCTGCGTTCAACTCTCAGAGTTTAACTTTTCTTTTCATTCAGCGGTTTGGAAACACTCTGTTTGTAAAGTCTGCACGTGGATATTTTGACCACTTAGAGGCCTTCGTTGGAAACGGGTTTTTTTCATGTAAGGCTAGACAGAAGAATTCCCAGTAACTTCCTTGTGTTGTGTACATTCAACTCACAGAGTTGAACGTTCCCTTAGACAGAGCAGATTTGAAACACTCTTTTTGTGCAATTGGCAAATGGAGATTTCAAGCGCTTTAAGGTCAATGGCAGAAAAGGAAATATCTTCGTTTCAAAACTAGACAGAATCATTCCCACAAACTGCGTTGTGATGTGTTCGTTCATCTCACAGAGTTTAACCTTTCTTTTCATAGAGCAGTTAGGAAACAGTCTGTTTGAAAATTCTGTAAGTGGATATTCTGACATCTTGTGGCCTTCGTTGGAAACGGGATTTCTTCATATTCTGCTAGACAGAAGAATACTGAGTAACTTCCGCGTGTTGTGTGTATTCAACTCACAGAGTTGAACGATCCTTTACACAGAGCAGACTTGAAACACTCTTTTTGTGGAATTTGCAAGTGGAGATTTCAGCCGCTTTGAGGTCAATGGTAGAAAAGGAAATATCTTCATATAAAAACTAGACAGAATGATTCTCAGAAACTCCTTTGTGATGTGTGCGTTCAACTCACAGAGTTTAACTTTTCTTTTCAAAGAGCAGTTAGGAAACACTCTCTTTGTAAAGTCTGCAAGTGGATATTCAGACCTCTTTGAGGCCTTCGTTGGAAACGGGATTTCTTCATATTCTGCTAGACAGAAGAATTCCCAGTAACTTCCTTGTGTTGTGTGTGTTCAACTCACAGAGTGGAACTTTCATTTACACAGAGCAGATTTGAAACACTCTTTTTGTGGAATTTGCAAGTGGAGATTTCAAGCGCTTTGAGGCCAAAGGCAGAAAAGGAAATATCTTCGTTTCAAAACTAGACAGAATCATTCTCAGAAACTGCTGCGTGATGTGTGCGATCAACTCTCAGAGTTTAACTTTTCTTTTCATTCAGCGGTTTGGAAACACTCTGTTTGTAAAGTCTGCACGTGGATATTTTGACCACTTAGAGGCCTTCGTTGGAAACGGGTTTTATTCATGTAAGGCTAGACAGAAGAATTCCCAGTAACTTCCTTGTGTTGTGTGCATTCAACTCACAGAGTTGAACGTTCCCTTAGACAGAGCAGATTTGAAACACTCTATTTGTGCAATTTGCAAGTGTAGATTTCAAGCGCTTTAAGGTCAATGGCAGAAAAGGAAATTTCTTCGTTTCAAAACTAGACAGAATCATTCCCACAAACTGCGTTGTGAAGTGCTCGTTCAACTCACAGATTTTAACCTTTCTGTTCATAGAGCAGTTAGGAAACACTCTGTTTGTAAAGTCTGCAAGTGGATATTCTGACATCTTGCGGCCTTCGTTGGAAACGGAATTTCTTCATATTCTGCTAGACAGAAGAATTCTCAGTAACTTCCTTGTGTTGTGTGTATTCAACTCACAGAGTTGAACGATCCTTTACACAGAGCAGACTTGTAACACTCTTTTTGTGGAATTTGCAAGTGGAGATTTCAGCCGATTTGAAGTCAAAGGTAGAAAAGGAAATATCTTCCTATAAAAACTAGACAGAATGATTCTCAGAAACTCCTTTGTGATGTGTGCGTTCAACTCACAGAGTTCAACCTTTCTTTTCATAGAGCAGTTGGGAAACACTCTGTTTGTAAAGTCTGCAAGTGGATATTCAGACTTCTTTGAGGCCTTCGTTGGAAGCGGGATTTCTTCATGTTCTAGACAGAAGAATTCTCAGTAACTTCCTTGTGTTGTGTGTATTCAACTGACAGAGTTGAAATTTCATTTAGAGGGAGCAGATTTGAAACACTGTTTTTGTGGAATTTGCAAGTGGAGATTTCAAACGCTTTGGGGCCAAAGGCAGAAAAGGAAACATCTTCGTATAAAAACTAGACAGAATCATTCTCAGAAACTGCTCTGCGATGTGTGCGTTAAACTCTCAGAGTTTAACTTTTCTTTTCATTCAGCAGTTTGGAAACACTCTGTTTGTAAAGTCTGCACGTGGATATTTTGACCACTTAGAGGCCTTCGTTGGAAACGGGTTTTTTTCCTGTAAGGCTAGACAGTAGAATTCCCAGTAACTTCCCTGTGTTGTGTGCATTCAACTCACAGAGTTGAACGTTCCCTTAGACAGAGCAGATTTGAAACACTCTATTTGTGCAATTTGCAAGTGTAGATTTCAAGCGCTTTAAGGTCAATGGCAGAAAAGGAAATATCTTCCTTTCAAAACTAGACAGAATCATTCCCACAAACTGCGTTGTGATGTGTTCATTCAACTCACAGAGTTTAACCTTTCTTTTCATAGAGCAGTTAGGAAACAGTCTGTTTGTCAATTCTGTAAGTGGATATTCTGACATCTTGTGGCCTTCGTTGGAAACGGGATTTCTTCATATTCTGCTAGACAGAAGAATTCTCAGTAACTTCCTTGTGTTGTGTGTATTCAACTCACAGAGTTGAACGATCCTTTACACAGAGCAGACTTGAAACACTCTTTTTGTGGAATTTGCAAGTGGAGATTTCAGCCGCTTTGAGGTCAATGGTAGAAAAGGAAACTATCTTCATATAGAGACTAGACAGAATGATTCTCAGAAAATCTTTTGTGATGTGTGCGTTCAACTCACAGAGTTTAACTTTTCTTCTCATAGAGCAGTTAGGAACCACTCTGTTTGTAAAGTCTGCAAGTGGATATTCAGACCTCTTTGAGGCCTTCGTTGGAAACTTGATTTCTTCATATTATGCTAGACAGAAGAATTCCCAGTAACTTCCTTGTGTTGTGTGTGTTCAACTCACAGAGTTGAACTTTCATTTACACAGAGCAGATTTGAAACTCTCTTTTTGTGGAATTTGCAAGTGGAGATTTCAAGCGCTTTGAGGCCAAAGGCAGAAAAGGAAATATCTTCGTTTCAAAACCAGACAGAATCATTCTCAGAAGCTGCTGCGTGATGTGTGCGTTCAACTCTCAGAGTTTAACTTTTCTTTTCATTCAGCGGTTTGGAAACACTCTGTTTGTGAAGTCTGCACGTGGATATTTTGACCACTTAGAGGCCTTCGTTGGAAACGGTTTTTTTGCATGTAAGGCTAGACAGAAGAGTTCCCAGTAACTTCCTTGTGTTGTGTACATTCAACTCACAGAGTTGAACGTTCCCTTAGACAGAGCAGATTTGAAACACTCTTTTTGTGCAATTGGCAAGTGGAGATTTCAAGCGCTTTAAGGTCAATGGCAGAAAAGGAAATATCTTCGTTTCAAAACTAGAGAGAATCATTCCCACAAACTGCGTTGTGATGTGTTTGTTCAACTCACAGAGTTTAACCTTTCTTTTCATAGAGCAGTTAGGAAACAGTCTGTTTGTCAATTCTGTAAGTGGATATTCTGACATCTTGTGGCCTTAGTTGGAAACGGGATTTCTTCATATTCTGCTAGACAGAAGAATTCTCAGTAACTTTCCTTGTGTTGTGTGTATTCAACTCACAGAGTTGAACGATCCTTTACACAGAGCAGACTTGAAACACTCTTTTTGGGGAATTTGCAAGTGGAGATTTCAGCCGCTTTGAGGTCAATGGTAGAAAAGGAAACTATCTTCATATAAAGACTAGACAGAATGATTCTCATAAACTCCTTTGTGATGTGTGCGTTCATCTCACAGAGTTTAACTTTTATTTTCATAGAGCAGTTAGGAAACACTCTGTTTGTAAAGTCTGCAAGTGGATATTCAGACCTCCTTGAGGCCTTCGTTGGAAACGGGATTTCTTCATATTCTGCTAGACAGAAGAATTCTCAGTAACTTCCTTGTGTTGTGTGTATTCAACTCACAGAGTTGAACGATCCTTTACACAGAGCAGACTTGAAACACTCTTTTTGTGGAATTTGCAAGTGGAGATTTCAGCCGCTTTGAGGTCAATGGTAGAAAAGGAATTATCTTCGTATAAAGACTAGACAGAATGATTCTCAGAATCTCCTTTGTGATGTGTGCGTTCAACTCACAGAGTTTAACCTTTCTTTTCATAGAGCAGTTAGGAAACACTCTGTTTGTAAAGTCTGCAAGTGGATATTCAGACCTCTTTGATGCCTTCGTTGGAAACGGGTTTTTTTCATATAAGGCTAGACAGAAGAATTCCCAGTAACTTCCTTGTGTTGTGTGCATTCAACTCACAGAGTTGAACGTTCCCTTAGACAGAGCAGATTTGAAACACTCTATTTGTGCAATTTGCAAGTGTAGATTTCAAGCGCTTTAAGGTCAACGGCAGAAAAGGAAATATCTTCGTTTCAAAACTAGACAGAATGATTCTCAGAAACTCCTTTGTGATGTGTGCGTTCAACTCACAGAGTTCAACCTTTCTTTTCATAGAGCAGTTAGGAAACACTTTGTTTGTAAAGTCTGCAAGTGGATATTCAGACTTCTTTGAGGCCTTCGTTGGAAGCGGGATTTCTTCATGTTCTGCTAGACAGAAGAATTCCTCAGTAACTTCCCTTGTGTTGTGTGTATTCAACTCGCAGAGTTGAACGATCCTTTACACAGAGCAGACTTGAAACACTCTTTTTGTGGAATTTGCAAGTGGAGATTTCAGCCGCTTTGAGGTCAATAGTAGAAAAGGAAATATCTTCGTAGAAAAACTAGACAGAATGATTCTCATAAACTCCTTTGTGATGTGTGCGTTCAACTCACAGAGTTTAACTTTTGTTTTCATAGAGCAGTTAGGAAACACTCTGTTTGTAAAGTCTGCAAGTGGATATTCAGACCTCTTTGAGGCCTTCGGTGGAAACGGGATTTCTTCATATTCTGCTAGACAGAAGAATTCCCAGTAACTTCCTTGTGTTGTGTGTTTTTTAACTCACAGAGTTGAACTTTCATTTACACAGAGCAGATTTGAAACACTCTTTTTGTGGAATTTGCAAGTGGAGATTTCAAGCGCTTTGAGGCCAAAGGCAGAAAAGGAAATATCTTCGTATAAAAACTAGACAGAATCATTCTCAGAAACTGCTGCGTGATGTGTGCGTTCAACTCTCAGAGTTTAACTTTTCTTTTCATTCAGCGGTTTGGAAACACTCTGTTTGTAAAGTCTGCACGTGGATATTTTGACCACTTAGAGGCCTTCGTTGGAAACGGGTTTTTTTCATGTAAGGCTAGACAGAATAATTCTCAGTAACTTGCTTTTGTTGTGTGTATTCAACTCACAGAGTTGAACGATCCTTTACAGAGAGCAGACTTGAAACACTCTTTTTGTGGAATTTGCAAGTGGAGATTTCAGCCGCTTTGAGGTCAATGGTAGAATAGGAAATATCTTCCTATAGAAACTAGACAGAATGATTCTCATAAACTACTTTGTGATGTGTGCGTTCAACACACAGAGTTTAAACTTTCTGTTCATAGAGCAGTTAGGAAACACTCTGTTTGTAAAGTCTGTAAGTGGATATTCTGACATCTTGTGGCCTTCGTTGGAAACGGGATTTCTTCATATTCTGCTAGACAGAAGAATTCTCAGTGACTTCCTTGTGTTGTGTGTATTCAACTCACAGAGTTGAACGATCCTTTACACAGAGCAGTCTTGAAACACTCTTTTTGTGGAATTTGCAAGTGGAGATTTCTGCCGCTTTGAGGTCAATGGTAGAATAGGAAATATCTTCCTATAGAAACTAGACAGAATGATTCTCAGAAACTCCTTTGTGATGTGTGCGTTCAGCTCACAGAGTTCAACCTTTCTTTTCATAGAGCAGTTGGGAAACACTCTGTTTGTAAAGTCTGCAAGTGGATATTCAGACTTCTTTGAGGCCTTCGTTGGAAGCGGGATTTCTTCATGTTCTGCTAGACAGAAGAATTCCCAGTAACTTCCTTGTGTTGTGTGTGTTCAACTCACAGAGCTGAACTTTCATTTACACAGAGCAGATTTGAAACACTCTTTTTGTGGAATTTGCAAATGGAGATTTCAAGCGCTTTGAGGCCAAAGGCAGAAAAGGAAATATCTTCGTATAAAAACTAGACAGAATCATTCTCAGAAACTGCTCTCCGATGTGTGCATTCAGCTCTCAGAGTTTAACTTTTCTTTTCATTCACCAGTTTGGAAACACTCTGTTTGTAAAGTCTGCACGTGGATATTTTGACCACTTAGAGGCCTTCGTTGGAAGCGGGCTTTTGTCATGTAAGGTTAGACAGAATATTTCCCAGTAACTTCCTTGTGTTGTGTACATTCAACTCACAGAGTTCAACGTTCCCTTAGACAGAGCAGATTTGAAACACTCTTTTTGTGAAATTGGCAAGTGGAGATTTCAAGCGCTTAATGTCAATGGCAGAAAAGGAAATATCTTCGTTTCAAAACCAGACAGAATCATTCCCACAAACTGCGTTGTGATGTGTTCGTTCAACTCACAGAGTTTAACCTTTCTTTTCATAGAGCAGTTAGGAAAAACTCTGTTTGTAAATTCTGTAAGTGGATATTCTGACATCTTGTGGCCTTCTTTGGAAACGAGATTTCTTCATATTCTGCTAGACAGAAGAATTCTCAGTAACTTCCTTGAGTTGTGTGTATTCAACTCACAGAGTTGAACGATCCTTTACACAGAGCAGACTTGAAACACTCTTTTTGTGGAATTTGCAACTGGAGATTTCAGCCGCGTTGAGGTCAATGGTAGAAAAGGAAATATCTTCGTATAAAAACTAGACAGAATGATTCTCAGAAAGTCCTTTGTGATGTGTGCGTTCAACTCACAGAGTTTACCCTTTCTGTTCATAGAGCAGTTAGGAAACACTCTGTTTGTAAATTCTGCAAGTGGATATTCAGACCTACTTGAGGTCTTCGGTGGAAACGGGATTTCTTCATATTCTGCTAGACAGAAGAGATTCCCAGTAACTTCATTGTGTTGTGTGTGTTCAACTCACAGAGTTGAACTTTCATTTACACAGAGCAGATTTGAAACACTCTTTTTGTGGAATTTGCAAATGGAGATTTCAAGCGCTTTGAGGCCAAAGGCAGAAAAGGAAATATCTTCGTATAAAAACTAGACAGAATCATTCTCAGAAACTGCTGCGTGATGTGTGCGTTCAACTCTCAGAGTTTAACTTTTCTTTTCATTCAGCGGTTTGGAAACACTCTGTTTGTAAAGTCTGCACGTGGATATTTTGACCACTTAGAGGCCTTCGTTGGAAACGGGATTTTTTCATGTAAGGCTAGACAGAAGAATTCCCAGTAACTTCCTTGTGTTGTGTGCATTCAACTCACAGAGTTGAACGTTCCCTTAGACAGAGCAGATTTGAAACACTCTATTTGTGCAATTTGCAATTGTAGATTTCAAGCGTTTTAAGGTCAATGGCAGAAAAGGAAATATCTTCGTTTCAAAACTAGACAGAATGATTCTCAGAAACTTCTTTGTGATGTTTGCGTTCAACTCACAGAGTTTAACCTTTCTTTTCATAGAGCAGTTAGGAAACACTCTGTTTGTAAACTCTGCAAGTGGATATTCAGACCTCTTTGAGGCCTTCGTTGGAAACGGGATTTCTTCATACTATGCTAGACAGAAGAATTCTCAGTAACTTCCTTGGGTTGTGTGTATTCAACTCACAGAGTTGAACGATCCTTTACACAGAGCAGACTTGAAACACTCTTTTTGTGGAATTTGCAAGTGGAGATTTCAGCCGCTTTGAGGTCAATGGTAGAAAAGGAAATATCTTCGTATAAAGACTAGACAGAGTGATTCTCAGAAACTCCTTTGTGATGTGTGTGTTCAACTCACAGAGTTTAACCTTTCTTTTCAAGAGCAGTTAGTAAACACTCTGTTTATAAAGTCTGCAAGTGGATATTCCGACCCCTTTGAGTCCTTCGTTGGAAACGGGATTTCTTCATATTATGCTAGACAGAAGAATTCCCAGTAACTTCCTTGTGTTGTGTGTGTTCAACTCACAGAGTTGAACTTTCATTTGCACAGAGCAGATTTGAAACACTCTTTTTGTGGAATTTGCAAGTGGAGATTTCAAGCGCTTTGAGGCCAAAGGCAGAAAAGGAAATATCTCCGTTTCAAAACTAGACAGAATCATTCTCAGAAACTGCTGCTTGATGTGTGCGTTCAACTCTCAGAGTTTAACTTTTCTTTTCATTCAGCGGTTTGGAAACACTCTGTTTGTAAAGTCTGCACGTGGACATTTTGACCACTTAGAGGCCTTCGTTGGAAACGGGTTTTTTTCATGTAAGGCTAGACAGAAGAATTCCCAGTAACTTCCTTGTGTTGTATGCATTCAACTCACAGAGTTGAACGTTCCCTTAGACAGAGCAGATTTGAAACAATCTATTTGTGCAATTTGCAAGTGTAGATTTCAAGCGCTTTAAGGTCAATGGCAGAAAAGGAAATATCTTCGTTTCAAAACTAGACAGAATCATTCCCACAAACTGCGTTGTGATGTGTTCGTTCAACTCACAGAGTTTAACCTTTCTGTTCATAGAGCAGTTAGGAAACACTCTGTAAAGTCTGTAAGTGGATATTCTGACATCTTGTGGCCTTCGTTGTAAACGGGATTTCTTCATATTCTGCTAGACAGAAGAATTCTCAGTAACTTCCTTGTGTTGTGTTTATTCAACTCACAGAGTTGAATGATCCTTTACACAGAGTAGACTTGAAACACTCTTTTTGTGGAATTTGCAAGTGGAGATTTCAGCCGCTTTGAGGTCAATGGTAGAAAAGTAAATATCTTCCTATAAAGACTAGACAGAATGATTCTCAGAAACTCCTTTGTGATGTGTGCGTTCAACTCACAGAGTTTAACCTTTCTGTTCATAGAGCCGTTAGGAAACACTCTGTTTGTAAAGTCTGCAAGTGGATATTCAGACCTCTTTGAGGCCTTCGTTGGAAACGGGATTTCTTCATATTATGCTAGACAGAAGAATTCTCAGTAACTTCCTTGTGTTGTGTGTATTCAACTGACAGAGTTGAACTTTCATTTAGAGAGAGCAGATTTGAAACACTGTTTTTGTGGGATTTGCAAGTGGAGATTTCAAGCGCTTTGGGGCCAAAGGCAGAAAAGGAAATATCTTCGTATAAAAACTAGACAGAATCATTCTCAGAAACTGCTGCGTGATGTGTGCGTTCAACTCTCAGAGTTTAACTTTTCTTTTCATTCAGCGGTTTGGAAACACTCTGTTTGTAAAGTCTGCACGTGGAAATTTTGACCACTTAGAGGCCTTCGTTGGAAACGGGTTTTTTTCATGTAAGGCTAGACAGAAGAATTCCCAGTAACTTCCTTGTGTTGTGTGCATTCAACTTACAGAGTTGAACGTTCCCTTAGACAGAGCAGATTTGAAACACTCTATTTGTGCAATTTGCAATTGTAGATTTCAAGCGCTTTAAGGTCAAGGGCAGAAAAGGAAATATCTTCGTTTCAAAACTAGACAGAATCATTCCCACAAACTGCGTTGTGATGTGTTCGTTCAACTCACAGAGTATAACCTTTCTGTTCATAGAGCAGTTAGGAAACACTCTGTTTGTAAAGTCTGTAAGTGGATATTCTGACATCTTGTGGCCTTCGTTGGAAACGGGATTTATTCATATTCTGCTAGACAGAAGAATTCTCAGTAACTTCCTTGTGTTGTGTGTATTCAACTCACAGAGTTGAACGATCCTTTACACAGAGCAGTCTTGAAACACTCTTTTTGTGGAATTTGCAAGTGGAGATTTCTGCTGCTTTGAGGTCAATGGTAGAATAGGAAATATCTTCCTATAGAAACTAGACAGAATGATTCTCAGAAACTCCTTTGTGATGTGGGCGTTCAACTCACAGAGTTTAACCTTTCTTTTCATAGAGCAGTTAGGAAACACTCTGTTTGTAAAGTCTACACGTGGATATTTGGACTTCTTTGAGGCCTTCGTTGGAAACGGGTTTTTTTCATGTAAGGCTAGACGGAAAGAATTCTCAGTAACTTCCTTGTGTTGTGTGTATTCAACTGACAGAGTTGAACTTTCATTTAGAGAGAGCAGATTTGAAACACTGTTTTTGTGGAATTTGCAAGTGGAGATTTCAAGCGCTTTGGGGCCAAAGGCAGAAAAGGAAATATCTTCGTATAAAAACTAGACAGATCATTCTCAGAAACTGCTGTGTGATGTGTGCGTTCAACTCTCAGAGTTTAACTTTTCTTTTCATTCAGCGGTTTGGAAACACTCTGTTTGTAAAGTCTGCACGTGGATATTTTGACCACTTAGAGGCCTTCGTTGGAAACGGGTTTTTTTCATGTAAGGCTAGACAGAAGAATTCCCAGTAACTTCCTTGTGTTGTGTACATTCAACTCACAGAGTTGAACGTTCCCTTAGACAGAGCAGATTTGAAACACTCTTTTTGTGCAATTGACAAGTGGAGATTTCAAGCGCTTTAAGGTCAATGGCAGAAAAGGAAATATCTTCGTTTCAAAACTAGACAGAATCATTCCCACAAACTGCGTTGTGATGTGTTCGTTCAACTCACAGAGTTTAACCTTTCTTTTCATAGAGCAGTTAGGAAACAGTCTCTTTGAAAATTCTGTAAGTGGATATTCTGACATCTTGTGGCCTTCGTTGGAAACGGGATTTCTTCATATTCTGCTAGACAGAAGAATTCTCAGAAACTTCCTTGTGTTGTGTGTTTTCAACTCACAGAGTTGAACGATCCTTTACACAGAGCAGACTTGAAACACTCCTTTTGTGGAATTTGCAAGTGGAGATTTCAGCCGCTTTGAAGTCAATGGTAGAATAGGAAATATCTTCCTATAGAAAGTAGACAGAATGATTCTCAGAAACTCCTTTGTGATGTATGCGTTCAACTCACAGAGTTTAACCTTTCTTTTCATAGAGCAGTTAGGAAACACTCTGTTTGTAAAGTCTGCAAGTGGATATTCAGACCTCCTTGAGGCCTTCGTTGGAAACGGGTTTTTTTCATGTAAGGCTAGACAGAAGAATTCCCAGTAACTTCCTTGTGTTGTGTGTGTTCAACTCACAGAGTTGAACTTTCATTTACACAGAGCAGATTTGAAACACTCTTTTTGTGGAATTTGCAAATGGAGATTTCAAGCGCTTTGTGGCCAAAGGCAGAAAAGGAAATATCTTCGTATAAAAACTAGACAGAATCATTCTCAGAAACTGCTGCGTGATGTGTGCGTTCAACTCTCAGAGTTTAACTTTTCTTTTCATTCAGCGGTTTGGAAAAACTCTGTTTGTATAGACTGCACGTGGATATTTTGACCACTTAGAGGCCTTCGTTGGAAACGGGTTTTTTTTCATGTAAGGCTAGACAGAAGAATTCCCAGTAACTTCCTTGTGTTGTGTGCATTCAACTCACAGAGTTGAACGTTCCCTTAGACAGAGCAGATTTGAAACACTCTATTTGTGCAATTTGCAAGTGTAGATTTCAGGCGCTTTAAGGTCAACGGCAGAAAAGGAAATATCTTCGTTTCAAAACTAGACAGAATGATTCTCAGAAACTCCTTTGTGATGTGTGCGTTCAACTCACAGAGTTTAACCTTTCTGTTCAAAGAGCTGTTAGGAAACACTCTGTTTGTAAAGTCTGCAAGTGGATATTCAGACCTCCTTCAGGCCTTCGTTGGAAACGGGATTTCTTCATATTCTGCTAGACAGAAGAATTCTCAGTAACTTCCTTGTGTTGTGTGTTTTCAACTCACAGAGTTGAACGATCCTTTACACAGAGCAGACTTGAAACACTCTTTTTGTGGAATTTGCAAGTGGAGATTTCAGCCGCTTTGAGCTCAATGGTAGAATAGGAAATATCTTCCTATAGAAACTAGACAGAATGATTCTCAGAAACTCCTTTGTGATGTGTGCGTTCAACTCACAGAGTTTAACCTTTCTTTTCATAGAGCAGTTAGGAAACACTCTGTTTGTAAAGTCTGCAAGTAGATATTCAGACATCTTTGAGGCCTTCGTTGGAAACGGGATTTCTTCATGTTCTGCTAGACAGAAGAATTCTCAGAAACTTCCTTGTGTTGTGTGTTTTCAACTCACAGAGTTGAACGATGCTTTACACAGAGTAGACTTGAAACACTCTTTTTGTGTAATTTGCAAGTGGAGATTTCAGCCGCTTTGAGGTCAATGGTAGAAAAGGAAATATCTTCGAATAAAAACTAGACAGAATCATTCTCAGAAACTGCTGCGTGATGTGTGCGTTCAACTCTCAGAGTTTAACTTTTCTTTTCATTCAGCGGTTTGGAAACACTCTGTTTGTAAAGTCTGCACGTGGATATTTTGACCACTTAGAGGCCTTCGTTGGAAACGGGTTTTTTCATGTAAGGCTAGACAGAAGAATTCCCAGTAACTTCCTTGTGTTGTGTGCATTCAACTCACAGAGTTGAACAGTTCCCTTAGACAGAGCAGATTTGAAACACTCTATTTGTGCAATTTGCAAGTGTAGATTTCAAGCGCTTTAAGGTCAATGGCAGAAAAGGAAATATCTTCGTTTCAAAACTTGACAGAATGATTCTCAGAAACTCCTTTGTGATGTGTGCGTTCAACTCACAGAGTTTAACCTTTCTTTTCATAGAGCAGTTAGGAAGCACTCTGTTAGTAAAGTCTGCAAGTGGATATTCAGACCTCCTTGAGGCCTTCGTTGGAAAGGGGATTTCTTCATATTATGCTAGACAGAAGAATTCTCAGTAACTTCCTTGTGTTGTGTGTATTCAACTCACAGAGTTGAACGATCCTTTACACAGAGCAGACTTGAAACACTCTTTTTGTGAAATTTGCAAGTGGAGATTTCAGCCGCTTTGAGGTCAATGGTAGAATAGGAAATATCTTCCTATAGAAACTAGACAGAATGATTCTCAGAAACTCCTTTGTGATGTGTGCGTTCAACTCACAGAGTTTAACCTTTCTTTTCATAGAGCAGTTAGGAAACACTCTGTTGGTAAAGTCTGCAAGTGGATATTCAGACCTCTTTGAGGCCTTCTTTGGAAACGGGATTTCTTCATATTCTGCTAGACAGAAGAATTCCCAGTAACTTCCTTGTGTTGTGTGTGTTCAACTCACAGAGTTGAACTTTCATTTACACAGAGCAGATTTGAAACACTCTTTTTGTATAATTTGCAAATGGAGATTTCAAGCGCTTTGAGGCCAAAGGCAGAAAAGGAAATATGCTTACTTATAAAAACTAGACAGAATCATTCTCAGAAACTGCTCTGCGATGTGTGCGTTCAACTCTCAGAGTTTAACTTTTCTTTTCATTCAGCAGTTTGGAAACACTCTGTTTGTAAAGTCTGCACGTGGATAACTTGACCACTTAGAGGCCTTCGTTGGAAACGGGATTTTTTCATGTAAGGCTAGACAGAAGAATTCTCAGTAACTTCCTTGTGTTGTGTGTATTCAACTCACAGAATTGAACGATCCTTTACACAGAGCAGACTTGTAACACTCTTTTTGTGGAATTTGCAAGTGGAGATTTCAGCCGCTTTGAAGTCAAAGGTAGAAAAGTAAATATCTTCCTATAAAAACTAGACAGAATGATTCTCAGAAAATCCTTTGTGATGTGTGCGTTCAACTCACAGAGTTTAACATTTCTTTTCATAGAGCAGTTAGGAAACACTCTGTTTGTAAAGTCTGCAAGTGGATATTCAGACCTCTTTGAGGCCTTCTTTGGAAACGGGATTTCTTCATATTCTGCTAGACAGAAGAATTCTCAGTAACTTCCTTGTGTTGTGTGTATTCAACTCACAGAGTGGAACGATCCTTTACACAGAGCAGACTTGAAACACTCTTTTTGTGGAATTTGCAAGTGGAGATTTCAGCCGCTTTGAGGTCAATAGTGGAAAAGGAAATATCTTCGTAGAAAAACTAGACAGAATGATTCTCAGAAACTCCTTTGTGATGTGTGTGTTCAACTCACAGAGTTTAACCTTTCTTTTCATAGAGCAGTTAGTAAACACTCTGTTTATAATGTCTGCAAGTGGATATTCAGACCCCTTTGAGGCCTTCGTTGGAAACGGGATTTCTTCATATTCTGCTAGACAGAAGAATTCCCAGTAACTTCCTTGTGTTGTGTGGATTCAACTCACAGAGTTGAACTTTCATTTACACAGAGCAGATTTGAAACACTCTTTTTGTGGAATTTGCAAATGGAGATTTCAAGCCCTTTCAGGCCAAAGGCAGAAAAGGAAATATCTTCGTATAAAAACTAGACAGAATCATTCTCAGAAACTGCTCTGCGATGTGTGCGTTCAACTCTCCGAGTTTAACTTTTCTTTTCATTCAGCAGTTTGGAAACACTCTGTTTGTAAAGTCTGCACGTGGATAATTTGACCACTTAGAGGCCTTCTTTGGAAACGGTTTTTTTTTCATGTAAGGCTAGACAGAAGAATTCCCAGTAACTTCCTTGTGTTGTGTGCATTCAACTCACAGAGTTGAACGTTCCCTAGACGGAGCAGATTTGAAACACTCTATTTGTGCAATTTGCAAGTGTAGATTTCAAGCGCTTTAAGGTCAATGGCAGAAAAGGGAATATCTTCGTTTCAAAACTAGACAGAATCATTCCCACAAACTGCGTTGTGATGTGTGCGTTCAACTCACAGAGTTTAACTTTTCTTTTCATAGAGCAGTTAGGAAACACTCTGTTTGTAAAGTCTGCAAGTGGATATTCAGACCTCTTTGAGGCCTTCGTTGGAAACGGGATTTCTTCATATTCTGCTAGACAGAAGATTCTCAGTAACTTCCTTGTGTTGTGTGTATTCAACTCACAGAGTTGAACGATCCTTTACACAGAGCAGACTTGAAACACTCTTTTTGTGGAATTTGCAAGTGGAGATTTCAGCCGCTTTGAGGTCAATAGTAGAAAAGGAAATATCTTCGTAGAAAAACTAGACAGAATGATTCTCAGAAACTCCTTTGTGATGTGTGCGTTCAACACACAGAGTTTAACTTTTCTTTTCATAGAGCAGTTAGTAAACACTCTGTTTATAACGTCTGCAAGTGGATATTCAGACCCCTTTGAGGCCTTCGTTGGAAACGGGATTTCTTCATATTATGCTAGACAGAAGAATTCCCAGTAACTTCCTTGTGTTGTGTGTGTTCAACTCACAGAGTTGAACTTTCATTTACACAGAGCAGATTTGAAACACTCTTTTTGTGGAATTTGCAAGTGGAGATTTCAAGCGCTTTGAGGCCAAAGGCAGAAAAGGAAATATCTTCGTAAAAAAATAGACAGAATCATTCTCAGAAACTGCTCTGCAATGTGTGCGTTCAACTCTCAGAGTTTAACTTTTCTTTTCATTCAGCAGTTTGGAAACACTCTGTTTGTAAAGTCTGCACGTGGATAACTTGACCACTTAGAGGCCTTCGTTGGAAACGGGTTTTTTTCATGTAAGGCTAGACAGAAGAATTCCCAGTAACTTCCTTGTGTTGTGTGCATTCAACTCACAGAGTTGAACGTTCCCTTGGACAGAGCAGATTTGAAACACTCTATTTGTGCAATTTGCAAGTGTAGATTTCAAGCGCATTAAGGTCAATGGCAGAAAAGGAAATATCTTCGTTTCAAAACTAGACAGAATGATTCTGAGAAACTCCTTTGTGATGTGTGCGTTCAACTCACACAGTTTAACCTTTCTTTTCATAGAGCAGTTAGGAAACACTCTGTTTGTAAAGTCTGCAAGTGGATATTCAGACTTCTTTGAGGCCTTCGTTGGAAGCGGGATTTCTTCATATTCTGCTAGACAGAAGAATTCTCAGTAACTTCCTTGTGTTGTGTGTATTCAACTCACAGAGGTGAACGATCCTTTACACAGAGCAGACTTGAAACACTCTTTTTGTGGAATTGCAAGTGGAGATTTCAGCCGCTTTGAGGTCAATGGTAGAAAAGGAAATATCTTCGTATAAAGACTAGACAGAATGATTCTAAGAAAATCTTTTGTGATGTGTGCGTTCAACTCACAGAGTTTAACTTTTCTTCTCATAGAGCAGTTAGGAAACACTCTGTTTGTAAAGTGTGCAAGTGGATATTCAGACCTCTTTGAGGCCTTCGTTGGAAAAGGGATTTCTTCATATTATGCTAGACAGAAGAATTCTCAGTAACTTCCTTGGTGTTGTGTGTATTCAAATGACAGAGTTGAACTTTCATTTAGAGAGAGCAGATTTGAAACACTGTTTTTGTGGAATTTGCAAGTGGAGATTTCAAGCGCTTTGGGGCCAAAGGCAGAAAAGGAAATATCTTCGTATAAAAACTAGACAGAATCATCCTCAGAAACTGCACTGTGATGTGTGCGTTCAACTCTCAGTGTTTAACTTTTCTTTTCATTCAGCAGTTTGGAAACACTCTGTTTGTAAAGTCTGCACGTGGATATTTTGACCACTTAGAGGCCTTCGTTGGAAACGGGTTTTTTTCATGTAATGCTAGGCAGAAGAATTCCCAGTAACTTCCTTGTGTTGTGTGCATTCAACTCACAGAGCTGAACTTTCCCTTAGACAGAGCAGATTTGAAACACTCTATTTGTGCAATTTGCAAGTGTAGATTTCAAGCGCTTTAAGGTCAATGGCAGAAAAGGAAATATCTTCGTTTCAAAACTAGACAGAATCATTCCCACAAACAGCGTTGTGATGTGTTCGTTCAACTCACAGAGTTTAACCTTTCTTTTCATAGAGCAGTTAGGAAACAGTCTGTTTGTCAATTCTGTAAGTGGATATTCTGACATCTTGTGGCATTCGTTGGAAACGGGATTTCTTCATATTCTGCTAGACAGAAGAATTCTCAGTAACTTCCTTGTGTTGTGTGTATTCAACTCACAGAGTTGAACGATCCTTTACACAGAGCAGACTTGAAACACTCTTTTTGTGGAATTTGCAAGTGGAGATTTCAGCCGCTTTCAGGTCAATGGTAGAATAGGAAATATCTTCCTATAGAAACTAGACAGAATGATTCTCAGAAACTCCTTTGTGATGTGTGCGTTCAACTCACAGAGTTTAACCTTTCTTTTCATAGAGCAGTTAGGAAACACTCTGTTTGTAAAGTCTGCAAGTGGATATTCAGACCTCTTTCAGGCCTTCGTTGGAAACGGGATGTCTTCATATTATGCTAGACAGAAGAATTCCCAGTAACTTCCTTGTGTTGTGTGTGTTCGACTCACAGAGTTGAACTTTCATTTACACAGAGCAGATTTGAAACACTCTTTTTGTGGAATTTGCAAGTGGAGATTTCAAGCGCTTTGAGGCCAAAGGCAGAAAAGGAAATATCTTCGTATAAAAACTAGACAGAATCATTCTCAGAAACTGCTCTGCGATGTGTGCGTTCAACTCTCAGAGTTTAACTTTTCTTTTCATTCAGCAGTTTGGAAACACTCTGTTTGTAAAGTCTGCACGTGGATAACTTGACCACTTAGAGGCCTTTGTTGGAAATGGGTTTTTTTCATGTAAGGCTAGACAGAAGTATTCTCAGTAACTTCCTTGTGTTGTGTGTATTCAACTCACAGAGTTGAACGATCCTTTACACAGAGCGGACTTGTAACACTCTTTTTGTGGAATTTGCAAGTGGAGATTTCAGCCGCTTTGAAGTCAAAGTTAGAAAAGGAAATAACTTCCTATAAAAACTAGACAGAATCATTCCCACAAACTGCGTTGTGATGTGTTCGTTCATCTCACAGAGTTTAACCTTTCTTTTCATAGAGCAGTTAGGAAACACTCTGTTTGTAAATTCTGTAAGTGGATATTCTGACATCTTGTGGCCTTCGTTGGAAACGGGATTTCTTCATATTCTGCTAGACAGAAGAATTCTCAGTAACTTCCTTGTGTTGTGTGTATTCAACTCACAGAGTTGAACGATCCTTTACACAGAGCGGACTTGAAACACTCGTTTTGTGGAATTTGCAAGTGGAGATTTCAGCCGCGTTGAGGTCAATGGTAGAAAAGGGAATATCTTCGTATAAAAACTAGACAGAGTGATTCTCAGAAACTCCTTTGTGATGTGTGCGTTCAACTCACAGAGTTTAACCTTTCTTTTCATAGAGCAGTTAGGAAACACTCTGTTTGTAAAGTCTGCAAGTGGATATTCAGACCTCCTTGAGGCCTTCGTTGGAAACGGGATTTCTTCATATTCTGCTATACAGAAGAATTCTCAGTAACTTCCTTCTGTTGTGTGTATTCAACTGACAGAGTTGAAGTTTCATTTAGAGAGAGCAGATTTGAAACACTGTTTTTGTGGAATTTGCAAGTGGAGATTTCAAGCGCTTTGGGACCAAAGGCAGAAAAGGAAATATCTTCGTATAAAAACTAGACAGAATGATTCTCAGAAACTCCTTTGTGATGTGTGCGTTCAACTCACAGAGTTTAACCTTTCTTTTCATAGAGCAGTTAGGAAACACTCTGCTTGTAAAGTCTGCAAGTGGATATTCAGCCCTCTTTGAGGCCTTCGTTGGAAACGGGTTTTTTTCACATAAGGCTAGACAGAAGAATTCCCAGTAACTTCCTTGTGTTGTGTACATTCAACTCACAGAGTTGAACGTTCCCTTAGACAGAGCAGATTTGAAACAGTCTTTTTGTGCAATTGGCAAATGGAGATTTCAAGCGCTTTAAGGTCAATGGCAGAAAAGGAAATATCTTCGTTTCAAAACTAGACAGAATCATTCCCACAAACTGCGTTGTGATGTGTTCGTTCAACTCACAGAGTTTAACCTTTCTGTTCATAGAGCAGTTAGGAAACACTCTGTTTGTAAAGTCTGTAAGTGGATATACTGACATCTTGTGGCCTTCGTTGGAAACGGGATTTCTTCATATTCTGCTAGACAGAAGAATTCTCAGTAACTTCCTTGTGTTGTGTGTATTCAACTCACAGAGTTGAACGATCCTTTACACAGAGCAGACTTGTAACACTCTTTTTGTGGAATTTGCAAGAGGAGATTTCAGCCGCTTTGAAGTCAAAGGTAGAAAAGGAAATATCTTCCTATAAAAACTAGACAGAATAATTCTCAGAAACTCCTTTGTGATGTGTGCGTTCAACTCACAGAGTTTAACCTTTCTTTTCATAGAGCAGTTAGGAAACACTCTGTTTGTAAAGTCTGCAAGTGGATATTCAGACCTCTTTGAGGCCTTCGTTGGAAACGGGTTTTTTTCATATAAGGCTAGACAGAAGAATTCCCAGTAACTTCCATGTGTTGTGTGTGTTCAACTCACAGAGTTGAACTTTCATTTTCACAGAGCAGATTTGAAACACTCTTTTTGTGGAATTTGCAAATGGAGATTTCAAGCGCTTTGAGGCCAAAGGCAGAAAAGGAAATATCTTCGTATAAAAACTAGACAGAATCATTCTCAGAAACTGCTGCGTGATGTGTGCTTTCAACTCTCAGAGTTTAACTTTTCTTTTCATTCAGCGGTTTGGAAACACTCTGTTTGTAAAGTCTGCACGTGGATATTTTGACCACTTAGAGGCCTTCGTTGGAAACGGGTTTTTTTCATGTAAGGCTAGACAGAAGAATTCCCAGTAACTTCCTTGTGTTGTGTACATTCAACTCACAGAGTTGAACGTTCCCTTAGACAGAGCAGATTTGAAACACTCTTTTTGTGCAATTGGCAAATGGAGATTTCAAGCGCTTTAAGTTCAATGGCAGAAAAGGAAATATCTTCGTTTCAAAACTAGACAGAATCATTCCCACAAACTGCGTTGTGATGTGTTCGTTCAACTCACAGAGTTTAACCTTTCTGTTCATAGAGGAGTTAGGAAACACTCTGTTTGTAAAGTCTGTAAGTGGATATTCTGACATCTTGTGGCCTTCGTTGGAAACGGGATTTCTTCATATTCTGCTAGACAGAAGAATTCTCAGTAACTTCCTTGTGTTGTGTGTATTCAACTCACAGAGTTGAACGATCCTTTACACAGAGCAGACTTGAAACACTCTTTTTCTGGAATTTGCAAGTGGAGATTTCAGCCGCTTTGAGGTCAATTGTAGAAAAGGAAATATCTTCGTATAAAAACTAGACAGAATGATTCTCAGAAACTCCTTTGTGATGTCTGCGTTCAACTCACAGAGTTTAACCTTTCTTTTCATAGAGCAGTTAGGAAACACTCTGTTTGTATAGTCTGCACGTGGATATTTGGACTTCTTTGAGGCCTTCGTTGGAAACGGGTTTTTTTCATGTAAGGCTAGACAGAAGAATTCTCAGTAACTTCCTTCTGTTGTGTGTATTCAACTGACAGAGTTGAACTTTCATTTAGAGAGAGCAGATTTGAAACACTGTTTTTGTGGAATTTGCAAGTGGAGATTTCAAGCGCTTTGGGGCCAAAGGCAGAAAAGGAAATATCCTTCGTATAAAAACTAGACAGAATCATTCTCAGAAACTGCTCTGCGATGTGTGCGTTCAACTCTCAGAGTTTAAGTTTTCTTTTCATTCAGCAGTTTGGAAACACTCTGTTTGTAAAGTCTGCACGTGGATATTTTGACCACTTAGAGGCCTTCGTTGGAAACGGGTTTTTTTCCTGTAAGGCTAGACAGAAGAATTCCCAGTAACTTCCTTGTGTTGTGTACATTCAACTCACAGAGTTGAAAGTTCCCTTAGACACAGCAGATTTGAAACACTCTTTTTGTGCAATTGGCAAATGGAGATTTCAAGCGCTTTAAGGTCAATGGCAGAAAAGGAAATATCTTCGTTTCAAAACTAGACAGAATCATTCTCAGAAACTGCTCTGCGATGTGTGCGTTCAACTCTCAGAGTTTAACTTTTCTTTTCATTCAGCAGTTTGGAATCACTCTGTTTGTAAAGTCTGCACGTACATAATTTGACCACTTAGAGGCCTTCGTTGGAAACAGGTTTTTTTCATGTAAGGCTAGACAGAAGAATTCTCAGTAACTTCCTTGTGTTGTGTGTATTCAACTCACACAGTTGAACGATCCTTTACACAGAGCAGACTTGTAACACTCTTTTTGTGGAATTTGCAAGTGGAGATTTCAGCCGCTTTGAAGTCAAAGGTAGAAAAGGAAATATCTTCCTATAAAAACTAGACAGAATGATTCTCAGAAACTTCTTTGTGATGTGTGCGTTCAACTCACAGAGTTCAACCTTTCTTTTCATAGAGCAGTTAGGAAACACTCTATTTGTAAACTCTGCAAGTGGATATTCAGACCTCTTTGAGGCCTTCGTTGGAAACGGGATTTCTTCATACTATGCTAGACAGAAGAATTCTCAGTAACTTCCTTGTGTTGTGTGTATTCAACTGACAGAGTTGAACTTTCATTTAGAGAGAGCAGATTTGAAACACTGTTTTTGTGGAATTTGCCAGTGGAGATTTCAAGCGCTTTGGGGCCAAAGGCAGAAAACGAAATATCTTCGTATAAAAACTAGACAGAGTCATTCTCAGAAACTGCTCTGTGATGTGTGCGTTCAACTCTCAGAGTTTAACTTTTCTTTTCATTCAGCAGTTTGGAAACACTCTGTTTGTAAAGTCTGCACGTGGATAATTTGACCACTTAGAGGCCTTCGTTGGAAACGGGTTTTTTTCATGTAAGGCTAGACAGAAGAATTCCCAGTAACTTCCTTGCGTTGTGTACATTCAACTCACAGAGTTGAACGTTCCCTTAGACAGAGCAGATTTGAAACACTCTTTTTGTGCAATTGGCAAGTGGAGATTTCAAGCGCTTTAAGGTCAATGGCAGAAAAGGAAATATCTTCGTTTCAAAACTAGACAGAATCATTCCCACAAACTGCGTTGTGATGTGTTCGTTCAACTCACAGAGTTTAACCTTTCTTTTCATAGAGCAGTTAGGAAACACTCTGTTGTTAAATTCTGTAAGTGGATATTCTGACATCTTGTGGCCTTCGTTGGAAACGGGATTTCTACATATTCTGCCAGACAGAACAATTCTCAGTAACTTCCTTGTGTTGTGTGTATTCAACTCACAGAGTTGAACGATCCTTTACAGAGAGCAGACTTGAAACACTCTTTTTGTGGAATTTGCAAGTGGAGATTTCAGCCGCTTTGAGGTCAATGGTAGAATAGGAAATATCTTCCAATAGAAACTAGACAGAATGATTCTCAGAAACTCCTTTGTGATGTGTGTGTTCAACTCACTGAGTTTAACCTTTCTTTTCATAGAGCAGTTAGGAAACACTCTGTTTGTAAAGTCTGCAAGTGGATATTCAGACCTCTTTGAGGCCTTCGTTGGAAACGGGATTTTTTCATATAAGGCTAGACAGAGGAATTCCCAGTAACTTCCTTGTGTTGTGTGTGTTCAACTCACAGAGTTGAACTTTCATTTACACAGAGCAGATTTGAAACACTCTTTTTGTGGAATTTGCAAGTGGAGATTTCAAGCGCTTTGAGGCCAATGCAGAAAAGGAAATATCTTCGTATAAAAACTAGACAGAATCATTCTCAGAAACTGCTCTGCGATGTGTGCGTTCAACTCTCAGAGTTTAACTTTTCTTTTCATTCAGCAGTTTGGAAACAATCTGTTTGTAAAGTCTGCACGTGGATAATTTGACCACTTAGAGGCCTTCGTTGCAAACGGGTTTTTTTCCTGTAAGGCTAGACAGAAGAATTCCCAGGAACTTCCTTGTGTTGCGTACATTCAACTCACACATTTGAACGTTCCCTTAGACAGAGTAGATTTGAAACACTCTTTTTGTGCAATTGGCAAGTGGTGATTTCAGCCGCTTTGAGGTCAATGGTAGAAAAGGAAATATCTTCATATAAAAACTAGACAGATAATCATTCCCACAAACTGCGTTGTGATGTGTTCGTTCAACTCACAGAGTTTAACCTTTCTGTTCATAGAGCAGTTAGGAAACACTCTGTTTGTAAAGTCTGTAAGTGGATATTCTGACATCTTGTGGCCTTCGTTGGAAACGGGATTTCTTCCTATTCTGCTAGACAGAAGAATTCTCAGTAACTTCCTTGTGTTGTGTGTATTCAACTCACAGAGTTGAACGATCCTTTACACAGAGCAGACATGTAACACTCTTTTTCTGGAATTTGCAAGTGGAGATTTCAGCCGCTTTGAAGTCAAAGGTAGAAAAGGAAATATCTTCCTATAAAAACTAGACAGAATGATTCTCAGAAACTCCTTTGTGATGTGTGCGTTCAACTCACAGAGTTTAACCTTTCTTTTCATAGAGCAGTTAGGAAACACTCTGTTTGTAAAGTCTGCAAGTGGATATTCAGACCTCTTTGAGGCCTTCGATGGAAACGGGATTTCTTCATATTCTGCTAGACAGAAGAATTCTCAGTAACTTCCTTGTGTTGTGTGTATTCAACTCACAGAGTTGAACGATCCTTTACACAGGGCAGACTTGAAACACTCTTTTTGGGGAATTTGCAAGTGGAGATTTCAGCCTCTTTGAGGTTAATGGTAGAAAATGAAATATCTTCGTATAGAAACTAGACAGAATCATTCTCAGAAACTGCTCTGTGATGTGTGCGTTCAACTCTCAGAGTTTAACTTTTCTTTTCATTCAGCAGTTTGGAAACACTCTGTTTGTAAAGTCTCCACGTGGATAATTTGACCACTTAGAGGCCTTCGTTGGAAACGGGTTTTTTTCATGTAAGGCTAGACAGAAGAATTCCCAGTAACTTCCTTGTGTTGTGTACATTCAACTCACAGAGCTGAACGTTCCCTTAGACAGAGCAGATTTGAAACACTCTTTTTGTGCAATTGGCAAGTGGTGATTTCAGCTGCTTTGAGGTCAATGGTAGAAAAGGGAATATCTTCGTATAAAAACTAGACAGAATCATTCTCAGAAACTGCTCTGCGATGTGTGCGTTCAACTCTCAGAGTTTAACTTTTCTTTTCATTCAGCAGTTTGGAAACACTCTGTTTGTAAAGTCTGCACGTGGATAATTTGACCACTTAGAGGCCTTCCTTGGAAACGGGTTTTTTTCATGTAAGTCTAGACAGAAGAATTCCCAGTAACTTCCTTGTGTTGTGTACATTCAACTCACAGAGTTGAACGTTTCCTTAGACAGAGCAGATTTGAAACACTCTTTTTGTGCAATTGGCAAGTGGTGATTTCAGCCGCTTTGAGGTCAATGGTAGAAAAGGAAATATCTTCGTAAAAAAACTAGACAGAATGATTCTCAGAAACTTCATTGTGATGTGTGCGTTCAACTCACAGAGTTTAACCTTTCTTTTCATAGAGCAGTTAGGAAACACTCTGTTTGTAAACTCTGCAAGTGGATATTCACACCTCTTTGAGGCCTTCGTTGGAAACGGGATTTCTTCATACTGTGCTAGACAGAAGAATTCTCAGTAACTTCCTTGTGTTGTGTGTATTCAACTCACAGAGTTGAACGATCCTTTACACAGAGCAGACTTGAAACACTCTTTTTGTGGAATTTGCAAGTGGAGATTTCAGCCGCGTTGAGGTCAATGGTAGAAAAGGTAATATCTTCGTATAAAAACTAGACAGAATCATTCTCAGAAACTGCTGCGTGATGTGTGCGTTCAACTCTCAGAGTTTAACTTTTCTTTTCATTCAGCGGTTTGGAAACACTCTGTTTGTAAAGTCTGCACGTGGAAATTTTGTCCACTTAGAGGCCTTCGTTGGAAACGGGTTTTTTTCATGTAAGGCTAGACAGAAGAATTCCCAGTAACTTCCTTGTGTTGTGTGCATTCAACTCACAGAGTTGAACGTTCCCTTAGACAGAGCAGATTTGAAACACTCTATTTGTGCAATTTGCAAGTGTAGTTTTCAAGCTCTTTAAGGTCAACGGCAGAAAAGGAAATATCTTCGTTTCAAAACTAGACAGAATGATTCTCAGAAACTCCTTTGTGATGTGTGCGTTCAACTCACAGAGTTTAACCTTTCTTTTCATAGAGCAGTTGGGAAACACTCTGTTTGTAAAGTCTGCAAGTGGATATTCAGACCTCCTTGAGGCTTTCGTTGGAAACGGGATTTCTTCATATTCTGCTAGACAGAATAATTCTCAGTAACTTCCTTGTGTTGTGTGTATTCAACTCACAGAGTTGAACGATCCTTTACACAGAGCAAACTTGAAACACTCTTTTTGTGGAATTTGCAAGTGGAGATTTCAGCCGCTTTGAGGTCAATGGTAGAATAGGAAATATCTTCCTATAGAAACTAGACAGAGTGATTCTCAGAAACTCCTTTGTGATGTGTGCGTTCAACTCACAGAGTTTAACCTTTCTTTTCATAGAGCAGTTAGGAAACACTCTGTTTGTAAAGTCTGCAAGTGGATATTCAGACATCCTTGAGGCTTTCGTTGGAAACGGGATTTCTTCATATTCTGCTAGAAAGAAGAATTCCCAGTAACTTCCTTGTGTTGTGTGTGTTCAACTCACAGAGTTGAACTTTCATTTACACAGAGCAGATTTGAAACACTCTTTTTGTGCAATTTGCAAGTGGAGATTTCAAGCGCTTTGAGGCCAAAGGCAGAAAAGGAAATATCTTCGTTTCAAAACTAGACAGAATCATTCTCAGAAACTGCTGCGTGATGTGTGCGTTCAACACTCAGAGTTTAACTTTTCTTTTCATTCAGCGGTTTGGAAACACTCTGTTTGTAAAGTCTGCACGTGGATAATTTGACCACTTAGAGGCCTTCGTTGGAAACGGGATTTTTTCATGTAAGGCTAGACAGAAGAATTCCCAGTAACTTCCTTGTGTTGTGTGCATTCAACTCACAGAGTTGAACGTTCCCTTAGACAGAGCAGATTTGAAACACTCTATTTGTGCAATTTGCAAGTGTAGTTTTCAAGCTCTTTAAGGTCAACGGCAGAAAAGGAAATATCTTGGTTTCAAAACTAGACAGAATGATTCTCAGAAACTTCTTTGTGATGTGTGCGTTCAACTCACACAGTTTAACCTCTCTTTTCATAGAGCAGTTAGGAAACACTCTGTTTGTAAAGTCTGCAAGTGGATATTCAGACCTCCTTGAGGCCTTCGTTGGAAACGGGATTTCTTCATATTATGCTAGACAGAAGAATTCTCAGTAACTTCCTTGTTTTGTGTGTATTCAACTCACAGAGTTGAACGATCCTTTACACAGAGCAGACTTGTAACACTCTTTTTGTGGAATTTGCAAGTGGAGATTTCAGCCGCTTTGAAGTCAAAGGTAGAAAAGGAAATATCTTCCTATAAAAACTAAACAGATAATGATTCTCAGAAACTCCTTTGTGATGTGTGCGTTCAACTCACAGAGTTTAACCTTTCTTTTCATAGAGCAGTTAGTAAACACTCTGTTTATAAAGTCTGCAAGTGGATATTCAGACCCCTTTGAGGCCTTCGTTGGAAACGGGATTTCTTCATATTCTGCTAGACAGAAGAATTCTCAGTAACTTCCTTGTGTTGTGTGTATTCAACTCACAGAGTTGAACTTTCATTTGGAGAGAGCAGATTTGAAACACTGTTTTTGTGGAATTTGCAAGTGGAGATTTCAAGCGCTTTGGGGCCAAAGGCAGAAAAGGAAATATCTTCGTATAAAAACGAGACAGAATCATTCTCAGAAACTGCTGCGTGATGTGTGCGTTCAACTCTCAGAGTTTAACTTTTCTTTTCATTCAGCGGTTTGGAAACACTCTGTTTGTAAAGTCTGCACGTGGATATTTTGACCACTTAGAGGCCTTCGTTGGAAACGGGTTTTTTTCAAGTAAGGCTAGACAGAAGAATTCTCAGTAACTTCCTTGTGTTGTGTGTATTCAACTCACAGAGTTAAACGATCCTTTACACAGAGGAGACTTGTAACACTCTTTTTGTGGAATTTGCAAGTGGAGATTTCAGCCGCTTTGAAGTCAAAGGTAGAAAAGGAAATATCTTCCTATAAAAACTAGACAGAATCATTCCCACAAACTGCGTTGTGATGTGTTCGTTCATCTCACAGAGTTTAACCTTTCTTTTCGTAGAGCAGTTAGGAAACAGTCTGTTTGTAAATTCTGTAAGTGGATATTCTGACATCTTGTGGCCTTCGTTGGAAACGGGATTTCTTCATATTCTGCTAGACAGAAGAATTCTCAGTAACTTCCTTGTGTTGTGTGTATTCAACTCACAGAGTTGAATGATCCTTTACACAGAACAGTCTTGAAACACTCTTTTTGTGGAATTTGCAAGTGGAGATTTCATCCGCTTTGAGGTCAATGGTAGAATAGGAAATATCTTCCTATAGAAACTAGACAGAATGATTCTCAGAAACTTCTTTGTGATGTGTGCGTTCAACTCACAGAGTTTAACCTTTCTTTTCATAGAGCAGTTAGGAAACACTCTGTGTGTAAACTCTGCAAGTGGATATTCAGACCTGTTTGAGGCCTTCGTTGGAAACGGGATTTCTTCATACTATGCTAGACAGAAGAATTCCAAGTAACTTCCTTGTGTTGTGTGTGTTCAACTCACAGAGTTGAACTTTCATTTACACAGAGCAGATTTGAAACACTCTTTTTGTGGAATTTGCAAGTGGAGATTTCAAGCGCTTTGAGGGCAAAGGCAGAAAAGGAAATATCTTCGTTTCAAAACTAGACAGAATCATTCCCACAAACTGCGTTGTGATGTGTTCGTTCAGCTCACAGAGTTTAACCTTTCTTTTCATAGAGCAGTTAGGAAACACTCTGTTGGTAAATTCTGTAAGTGGATATTCTGACATCTTGTGGCCTTCGTTGGAAACGGGATTTCTTCATATTCTGCTAGACAGAAGAATTCCCAGTAACTTCCTTGTGTTGTGTGCATTCAACTCACACAGTTGAACGTTCCGTTAGACAGAGCAGATTTGAAACACTCTTTTTGTGCAATTTGCAAGTGGAGATTTCAAGCGCTTTAGGGTCAATGGCAGAAAAGGAAATATCTTCGTTTCAAAACTAGACAGAATCATTCCCACAAACTGCGTTGTGATGTGTTCGTTCAACTCACAGAGTTTAACCTTTCTTTTCATAGAGCAGTTAGGAAATACTCTGTTTGTAAAGTCTGCAAGTGGATATTCAGACCTCTTTGAGGCCTTCGTTGGAAACGGGATTTCTTCATATTCTGCTGGACAGAAGAATTCTCAGAATCTTCCTTGTGTTGTGTGTATTCAACTCACAGAGTTGAACGATCCTTTACACAGAGCAGACTTGAAACACTCTTTTTGTGGAATTTGCAAGTGGAGATTTCAGCCGCTTTGAAGTCAAAGGTAGAAAAGGAAATAACTTCCTATAAAAACTAGACAGAATGATTCTCAGAAACTCCTTTGTGATGTGTGCGTTCAACTCACACAGTTTAACCTTTCTTTTCATAGAGCAGTTAGGAAACACTCTGTTTGTAAAGTCTGCAAGTGGATATTCAGACCTCCTTGAGGCCTTCGTTGGAAACGGGATTTCTTCATATTATGCTAGACAGAAGAATTCTCAGTAACTTCCTTGTGTTGTGTGTATTCAACTCACAGAGTTGAACGATCCTTTACACAGAGCAGACTTGAAACACTCTTTTTGTGGAATTTGCAAGTGGAGATTTCAGCCGCTTTGAGGTCAATGGTAGAATAGGAAATATCTTCATATAGAAATTAGACAGAATCATTCTCAGAAACTGCTCTGCGATGTGTGTGTTCAACTCTCAGAGTTTAACTTTTCTTTTCATTCAGCAGTTTGGAAACACTCTGTTTGTAAAGTCTGCACGTGGATATTTTCACCACTTAGAGGCCTTCGTTGGAAACGGGTTTTTTTCCTGTAAGGCTAGACAGAAGAATTCCCAGTAACTTCCTTGTGTTGTGTACATTCAACTCACAGAGTTGAACGTTCCCTTAGACAGAGCAGATTTGAAACACTCTTTTTGTGCAATTGGCAAATGGAGATTTCAAGCGCTTTAAGGTCAATGGCAGAAAAGGAAATATCTTCGTTTCAAAACTAGACAGAATGATTCTCAGAAACTCCTTTGTGATGTGTGCGTTCAACTCACAGAGTTCAACCTTTCTTTTCATAGAGCAGTTGGGAAACACTCTGTTTGTAAAGTCTGCAAGCGGATATTCAGACTTCTTTGAGGCCTTCGTTGGAAGCGGGATTTCTTCATATTCTGCTAGACAGAAGAATTCTCAGTAACTTCCTTGTGTTGTGTGTATTCAACTCACAGAGTTGAACGATCCTTTACACAGAGCAGACTTGAAACACTCTTTTTGTGGAATTTGCAAGTGGGGATTTCAGCCGCTTTGAGGTCAATGGTAGAATAGGAAATATCTTCCTATAGAAACTAGACAGAATGATTCTCAGAAACTCCTTTGTGATGTGTGCGTTCAACTCACAGAGTTTATCCTTTCTTTTCATAGAGCAGTTAGGAAACACTCTGTTTGTAAAGTCTGCAAGTGGATATTCAGACATCCTTGAGGCTTTCGTTGGAAACGGGATTTCTTCATATTCTGCTAGAAAGAAGAATTCTCAGTAACTTCCTTGTGTTGTGTGTATTCAACTCACAGAGTTGAACGATCCTTTTCACAGAGCAGACTTGAAACACTCTTTTTGTGGAATTTGCAAGTGGAGATTTCAGCCGCTTTGAGGTCAATGGTAGAATAGGAAATATCTTCCTAAAGAAACTAGACAGAATCATTCTCAGAAACTGCTGCGTGATGTGTGCGTTCAACTCTCAGAGTTTAACTTTTCTTTTCATTCAGCGGTTTGGAAACACTCTGTTTGTAAAGTCTGCACGTGGATATTCAGACCTCTTTGAGGCCTTCGTTGGAAACGGGTTTTTTTCATGTAAGGCTAGACAGAAGAATTCCCAGTAACTTCCTTGTGTTGTGTGCATTCAACTCACAGAGTTGAACGTTCCCTTAGACAGAGCAGATTTGAAACACTCTATTTGTGCAATTTGCAAGTGTAGATTTCAAGCGCATTAAGGTCAATGGCAGAAAAGGAAATATCTTCGTTTCAAAATTAGACAGAATCATTCCCACAAACTGCGTTGTGATGTGTTCGTTCAACTCACAGAGTTTAACCTTTCTGTTCATAGAGCAGTTAGGAAACACTCTGTTTGTAAAGTCTGCAAGTGGATATTCAGACCTCCTTGAGGCCTTCGTTGGAAACGGGATTTCTTCATATTCTGCTAGACAGAAGAATTCTCAGTAACTTCCTTGTGTTGTGTGTATTCAACTCACAGAGTTGACCGATCCTTTACACAGAGCAGACTTCTAACACTCTTTTTGTGGCATTTGCAAGTGGAGATTTCAGCCGCTTTGAAGTCAAAGGTAGAAAAGGGAATATCTTCCTATAAAAACTAGACAGAATGATTCTCAGAAACTTCTTTGTGATGTGTGCGTTCAACTCACAGAGTTTAACCTTTCTTTTCATAGAGCAGTTAGGAAACACTCTGTTTGTAAAGTCTGCAAGTGGATATTCAGACCTCTTTGAGGCCTTCGTTGGAAACGGGTTTTTTACATATAAGGCTAAACAGAAGAATTCCCCAGTAACTTCCTTGTGTTGTGTGTGTTCAACTCACAGAGTTGAACTTTCATTTACACAGAGCAGATTTGAAACACTCTTTTTGTGGAATTTGCAAGTGGAGATTTCAAGCGCTTTGAGGCCAAAGGCAGAAAAGGAAATATCTTCGTATAAAAACTAGACAGAATCATTCTCAGAAACTGCTGCGTAATGTGTGCGTTCAACTCTCAGAGTTTAACTTTTCTTTTCATTCAGCGGTTTGGAAACACTCTGTTTGTAAAGTCTGCACGTGGAAATTTTGACCACTTAGAGGCCTTCGTTGGAAACGGGTTTTTTTCATGTAAGGCTAGACAGAAGAATTCCCAGTAACTTCCTTGTGTTGTGTGCATTCAACTCACAGAGTTGAACGTTCCCTTAGACAGAGCAGATTTGAAACACTCTATTTGTGCAATTTGCAAGTGTAGATTTCAAGCGCTTTAAGGTCAACGGCAGAAAAGGAAATATCTTCGTTTCAAAACTAGACAGAATCATTCCCACAAACTGCGTTGTGATGTGTTCGTTCAACTCACAGAGTTTAACCTTTCTGTTCATAGAGCAGTTAGGAAACACTCTGTTTGTAAAGTCTGTAAGTGGATATTCTGACAACTTGTGGCCTTCGTTGGAAACGGGATTTCTTCCTATTCTGCTAGACAGAAGAATTCTCAGTAACTTCCTTGTGTTGTGTGTATTCAACTCACAGAGTTGAACGATCCTTTACACAGAGCAGACTTGAAGCACTCTTTTTGTGGAATTTGCAAGTGGAGATTCCAGCCTCTTTGAGGTCAATAGTAGAAAAGGAAATATCTTCGTAGAAAAACTAGACAGAATGATTCTCATAAACTCCTTTGTGATGTCTGCGTTCAACTCACAGAGTTTAACCTTTCTTTTCATAGAGCAGTTAGGAAACACTCTGTTTGTAAAGTCTGCAAGTGGATATTCAGACCTCTTTGAGGCCTTCGTTGGAAACGGGATTTCTTCATATTATGCTAGACAGAAGAATTCTGAGTAACTTCCTTGTGTTGTGTGTATTCATCTGACAGAGTTGAACTTTCAGTTAGACAGAGCAGAATTCAAACACTGTTTTTGTGGAATTTGCAAGTGGAGATTTCAAGCGCTTTGGGGCCAAAGGCACAAAAGGAAATATCTTCGTATAAAAATTAGACAGAATCATTCTCAGAAACTGCTCTGCGATGTGTGCGTTCAACTCTCAGAGTTTAACTTTTCTTTTCATTCAGCAGTTTGGAAACACTCTGTTTGTAAAGTCTGCACGTGGATAACTTGACCACTTAGAGGACTTCGTTGGAAACGGGTTTTTTTCCTGTAAGGCTAGACAGAAGAATTCCCAGTAACTTCCTTGTGTTGTGTGCATTCAACTCACAGAGTTGAACGTTCCCTTAGACAGAGCAGATTTGAAACACTCTATTTGTGCAATTTGCAAGTGTAGTTTTCAAGCTCTTTAAGGTCAACGGCAGAAAAGGAAATATCTTCGTTTCAAAACTAGACAGAATCATTCCCAAAAACTGCGTTGTGATGTGTTCGTTCATCTCACAGAGTTTAACCTTTCTTTTCATAGAGCAGTTAGGAAACACTCTGTTTGTAAATTCTGTAAGTGGATATTCTGACATCTTGTGGCCTTCGTTGGAAACGGGATTTCTTCATATTCTGCTAGACAGAATAATTCTTAGTAATTTCCTTGTGTTGTGTGTATTCAACTCACAGAGTTGAAGGATCCTTTACAGAGAGCAGGCTTGAAACACTCTTTTTGTCGAATTTGCAAGTGGAGATTTCAGCCGCTTTGAGGTCAATGGTAGAATAGGAAATATCTTCTTATAGAAACTAGACAGAATGATTCTCAGAAACTCCTTTGTGATGTGTGCGTTCAACACACACAGTTTAACCTTTCTTTTCATAGAGCAGTTAGGAAACACTCTGTTTGTAAAGTCTGCAAGTGGATATTCAGACCTCCTTGAGGCCTTCGTTGGAAACTGGATTTCTTCATATTATGCTAGACAGAAGAATTCTCAGTAACTTCCCTTGTGTTGTGTGTATTCAACTGACAGAGTTGAACTTTCATTTGGAGAGAGCAGATTTGAAACACTGTTTTTGTGGAATTTGCAAGTGGAGATTTCAAGCGCTTTGGGGCCAAAGGCAGAAAAGGAAATATCTTCGTAGAAAAACTAGACAGAATCATTCTCAGAAACTGCTGCGTGATGTGTGCGTTCAACTCTCAGAGTTTAACCTTTCTTTTCATTCAGCGGTTTGGAAACACTCTGTTTGTAAAGTCTGCACGTGGATATTTTGACCACTTAGAGGCCTTCGTTGGAAACGGGTTTTTTTCATGTAAGGCTAGACAGAAGAATTCCCAGTAACTTCCTTGTGTTGTGTACATTCAACTCACAGAGTTGAACGTTCCCTTAGACAGAGCATATTTGAAACACTCTTTTTGTGCAATTGGCAAGTGGAGATTTCAAGCGCTTTAAGGTCAATGGCAGAAAAGGAAATATCTTCGTTTCAAAACTAGACAGAATGATTCTCATAAACTCCTTTGTGATGTGTGCGTTCAACACACAGAGTTTAACCTTTCTGTTCATAGAGCAGTTAGGAAACACTCTGTTTGTAAAGTCTGTAAGTGCATATTCTGACATCTTGTGGCCTTCGTTGGAAACGGGATTTCTTCATATTCTGCTAGACAGAAGAATTCTCAGTAACTTCCTTGTGTTGTGTGTATTCAACTCACAGGGTTGAACGATCCTTTACACAGAGCAGACTTGAAACACTCTTTTTGTGGAATTTGCAAGTGGCGATTTCAGCCTCTTTGAGGTCAATGGTAGAATAGGAAATATCTTCCTATAGAAAATAGACAGAATGATTCTCAGAAACTCCTTTGTGATGTGTGCGTTCAACTCACAGAGTTTAACCTTTCTTTTTATAGAGCAGTTAGGAAACACTCTGTTTGTAAAGTCTGCAAGTGGATATTCAGACCTCCTTGAGGCCTTCTTTGGAAACGGGATTTCTTCCTATTATGCTAGACAGAAGAATTCTCAGTAACTTCCTTGTGTTGTGTGTATTCAACTGACAGAGTTGAACTTTCATTTAGAGAGAGCAGATTTGAAACACTGTTTTTGTGGAATTTGCAAATGGAGATTTCAAGCGCTTTGGGGCCAAAGGCAGAAAAGGAAATATCTTCGGTATAAAAACTAGACAGAATCATTCTCAGAAACTGCTCTGTGATGTGTGCGTTCAACTCTCAGGAGTTTAACTTTTCTTTTCATTCAGCAGTTTGGAAACACTCTGTTTGTAAAGTCTGCACGTGGATAATTTGACCACTTAGAGGCCTTCGTTGGAAACGGGTTTTTTTCATGTAAGGCTAGACAGAAGAATTCCCAGTAACTTCCTTGTGTTGTGTGCATTCAACTCACAGAGTTGAAAGTTCCCTTAGACAGAGCAGATTTGAAACACTCTATTTGTGCAATTTGCAAGTGTAGATTTCAAGCGCTTTAAGGTCAACGGCAGAAAAGGAAATATCTTCGTTTCAAAACTAGACAGAATCATTCCCACAAACTGCGTTGTGATGTGTTCGTTCAACTCACAGAGTTTAACCTTTCTTTTCATAGAGCACTTAGGAAACAGTCTGTTTGTAAATTCTGTAAGTGGATATTCTGACATCTTGTGCCCTTCGTTGGAAACGGGATTTCTTCATATTCTGCTAGACAGAAGAATTCTCAGAATCTTCCTTGTGTTCTGTGTATTCAACTCACAGAGTTGAACGATGGTTTACACAGAGCAGATTTGAAACACTCTTTTTGTGGAATTAGCAAGTGGAGATTTCAGCCGCTTTGAGGTCAATGGTAGAAAAGGAAATATCTTCGTATAAAAACTAGACAGAATGATTCTCAGAAAATCTTTTGTGATGTGTGCGTTCAACTCACAGAGTTTAACTTTTCTTCTCATAGAGCAGTTAGGAAACACTCTGTTTGTAAAGTCTGCAAGTGGATATTCAGACCTCTTTGAGGCCTTCGTTGGAAACGGGATTTCTTCATATTATGCCAGACAGAAGAATTCCCAGTAACTTCCTTGTGTTGTGTTTGTTCAACTCACAGAGTTGAACTTTCATTTACACAGAGCAGATTTGAAACACTCTTTTTGTGGAATTTGCAAGTGGAGATTTCAAGCGCTTTGAGGCCAAAGGCAGAAAAGGAAATATCTTCGTTTCAAAACTAGACAGAATCATTCTCAGAAAGTGCTCTGCGATGTGTGCGTTCAACTCTCAGAGTTTAACTTTGCTTTTCATTCAGCAGTTTGGAAACACTCTGTTTGTAAAGTCTGCACGTGGATAATTTGACCACTTAGAGGCCTTCGTTGGAAACGGGTTTTTTTCATGTAAGGCTAGACAGAAGAATTCCCAGTAACTTCCCTTGTGTTGTGTACATTCAACTCACAGAGTTGAACGTTCCCTTAGACAGAGCAGATTTGAAACACTCTTTTTGGGCAATTGGCAAGTGGAGATTACAAGCGCTTTAAGGTCAATGGCAGAAAAGGAAATATCTTCGTTTCAAAACTAGACAGAATCATTCCCACAAACTGCGTTGTGATGTGGTCGTTCAACTCACAGAGCTTAACCTTTCTGTTCATAGAGCAGTTAGGAAACACTCTGTTTGTAAAGTCTATAAGTGGATATTCTGACATCTTGTGGCCTTCGTTGGAAACGGGATTTCTTCATATTCTGCTAGACAGAATAATTCTCAGTAACTTCCTTGTGTTGTGTGTATTCAACTCAGAGAGTTGAACGATCCTTTACAGAGAGCAGACTTGAAACACTCTTTTTGTGGAATTTGCAAGTGGAGATTTCAGCCGCTTTGAGGTCAATGGTAGAAAAGGAAATATCTTCGTATAAAGACTAGACAGAATGATTCTCAGAAACTCCTTTGTGATGTGTGCGTTCAACTCACAGAGTTTAACCTTTCTTTTCATAGAGCAGTTAGGAAACACTCTGTTTCTAAAGTCTGCAAGTGGATATTCAGACATCTTTGGGGCCTTCGTTGGAAACGGGATTTCTTCATGTTCTGCTAGACAGAAGAATTCCCAGTAACTTCCTTGTGTTGTGTACATTCAACTCACAGAGTTGAACGTTCCCTTAGACAGAGCAGATTTGAAACACACTTTTTGTGCAATTGGCAAGCGGAGATTTCAAGCGCTTTAAGGTCAATGGCAGAAAAGGAAATATCTTCGTTTCAAAACTAGACAGAATCATTCTCAGAAACTGCTCTGCGATGTGTGCGTTCAACTCTCAGAGTTTAACTTTTCTTTTCATTCAGCAGCTTGGAAACACTCTGTTTGTAAAGTCTGCACGTGGATATTTTGACCACTTAGAGGCCTTCGTTGGAAACGGGTTTTTTTCCTGTAAGGCTAGACAGAAGAATTCCCAGTAACTTCCTTGTGTTGTGTGCATTCAACTCACAGAGTTGAACGTTCCCTTAGACAGAGCAGATTTGAAACACTCTATTTGTGCAATTTGCAAGTGTAGATTTCAAGCGCTTTAAGGTCAATGGCAGAAAAGGAAATATCTTCGTTTCAAAACTAGACAGAATCATTCCCACAAACTGCGTTGTGATGTGTTCGTTCAACTCACAGAGTTTAACCTTTCTTTTCATAGAGCAGTTAGGAAACAGTCTGTTTGTCAATTCTGTAAGTGGATATTCTGACATCTTGTGGCATTCGTTGGAAACGGGATTTCTTCATATTCTGCTAGACAGAAGAATTCTCAGTAACTTCCTTGTGTTGTGTGTATTCAACTCACAGAGTTGAACGATCCTTTACACAGAGCAGACTTGAAACACTCTTTTTGTGGAATTTGTAAGTGGAGATTTCAGCCGCGTTGAGGTCAATGGTAGAAAAGGAAATATCTTCGTATAAAAACTAGACAGAATGATTCTCAGAAACTCCTTTGTGATGTGTGTGTTCAACTCACAGAGTTTAACCTTTCTTTTCATAGAGCAGTTAGGAATCACTCTGTTTGTAAAGTCTGCAAGTGGATATTCAGACCTCTTTGAGGCCTTCGTTGGAAACGGGTTTTTTTCATATAAGGCTAGACAGAAGAATTCTCAGTAACTTCCCCTGTGTTGTGTGTATTCAACTGACAGAGTCGAACTTTCATTTAGAGAGAGCAGATTTGTAACACTGTTTTTGTGGAATTTGCAAGTGGAGATTTCAAGCGCTTTGGGGCCAAAGGCAGAAAAGGAAATATCTTCGTATAAAAACTAGACAGAATCATTCTCAGAAACTGCTGCGTGATGTATGCGTTCAACTCTCAGAGTTTAACTTTTCTTTTCATTCAGCAGTTTGGAAACACTCTGTTTGTAAAGTCTGCACGTGGATATTTTGACCACTTAGAGGCCTTCGTTGGAAACGGGTTTTTTTCATGTAAGGCTAGACAGAAGAATTCCCAGTAACTTCCTTGTGTTGTGTGCATTCAACTCACAGAGTTGAACGTTCCCTTAGACAGAGCAGATTTGAAACACTCTATTTGTGCAATTTACAAGTGTAGTTTTCAAGCTCTTTAAGGTCAACGGCAGAAAAGGAAATATCTTCGTTTCAAAACTAGACAGAATGATTCTCATAAACTCCTTTGTGATGTGTGCGTTCAACTCACAGAGTTTAACCTTTCTTTTCATAGAGCAGTTAGGAAACACTCTGTTTGTAAAGTCTGCAACTGGATATTCAGACCTCTTTGAGGCCTTCGTTGGAAACGGGATTTCTTCATATTCTGCTAGACAGAAGAATTCTCAGTAACTTCTTTGTGTTGTGTGTATTCAACTCACAGAGTTGAACGATCCTTTACACAGAGCAGACTTGAAACACTCTTTTTGTGGAATTTGCAAGTGGAGATTTCAGCCGCTTTGAGGTCAATGGTAGAATAGGAAATATCTTCCTATAGAAAATAGACAGAATGATTCTCAGAAACTCCTTTGTGATGTGTGCGTTCAACTCACAGAGTTTAACCTTTCTTTTCATAGAGCAGTTAGGAAACACTCTGTTTGTAAAGTCTGCAAGTGGATACTCAGACCTCCTTGAGGCCTTCGTTGGAAACGGGATTTCTTCATATTATGCTAGACAGAAGAATTCTCAGTAACTTCCCTTGTGTTGTGTGTATTCAACTCACAGAGTTGAACGATCCTTTACAGAGAGCAGACTTGAAACACTCTTTTTGTGGAATTTGCAAGTGGAGATTTCAGCCGCTTTGTGGTCAATGGTAGAATAGGAAATATCTTCCTATAGAAACTAGACAGAATGATTCTCAGAAACTCCTTTGTGATGTGTGCGTTCAACTCACAGAGTTTAACCTTTCTTTTCATAGAGCAGTTAGGAAACACTCTGTTTGTAAAGTCTACAAGTTGATATACAGACCTCTTTGAGGCCTTCGTTGGAAACGGGATTTCTTCATATTCTGCTAGAGAGAAGAATTCCCAGTAACTTCCTTGTGTTGGGTGCATTCAACTCACAGAGTTGAACGTTCCCTTAGACAGAGCAGATTTGAAACAGCCTATTTGTGCAATTTGCAAGTGTAGATTTCAAGCGCTTTAAGGTCAACTGCAGGAAAGGAAATATCTTCCTTTCAAAACTAGACAGAATCATTCCCACAAACTGCGTTGTGATGTGTTCGTTCAACTCACAGAGTTTAACCTTTCTGTTCATAGAGCAGTTAGGAAACACTCTGTTTGTAAAGTCAGTAAGTGGATATTCTGACATCTTGTGGCCTTTGTTGGAAACGGGATTTCTTCATATTCTGCTAGACAGAATAATTCTCAGTAACTTCCTTGTGTTGTGTGTATTCAACTCACAGTAGTTGAACGATCCTTTACAGAGAGCAGACTTGAAACACTCTTTTTGTGGAATTCGCAAGTGGAGATTTCAGCCGCTTTGAGGTCAATGGTAGAAAAGGAAATGTCTTCGTATAAAGACTAGACAGAATGATTCTCAGAAACTCCTTTGTGATGTGTGCGTTCAACTCACAGAGTTTAACCTTTCTTTTCATAGAGTAGTTAGGAAACACTCTGCTTGTAAAGTCTGCAAGTGGATATTCAGCCCTCTTTGAGGCCTTCGTTGGAAACGGGTTTTTTTCATATAAGGCTAGACAGAAGAATTCTCAGTAACTTCCTTGTGTTGTGTGTATTCAACTGACAGAGTTGAACTTTCATTTAGAGAGAGCAGATTTGAAACACTGTTTTTGTGGAATTTGCAAGTGGAGATTTCAAGCGCTTTGGGGCCAAAGGCAGAAAAGGAAATATCTTCGTATAAAAACTACACAGAATCATTCTCAGAAAGTGCTCTGCGATGTGTGCGTTCAACTCTCAGAGTTTAACTTTGCTTTTCATTCAGCAGTTTGGAAACACTCTGTTTGTAAAGTCTGCACGTGGATAATTTGACCACTTAGAGGCCTTCGTTGGAAACGGGTTTTTTTCATGTAAGGCTAGACAGAAGAATTCCCAGTAACTTCCTTGTGTTGTGTGCATTCAACTCACAGAGTTGAACGTTCCCTTAGACAGAGCAGATTTGAAACACTCTATTTGTGCAACTTGCAAGTGTAGTTTTCAAGCTCTTTAAGGTCAACGGCAGAAAAGGAAATATCTTCGTTTCAAAACTAGACAGAATGATTCTCAGAAACTCCTTTGTGATGTGTGCGTTCAACTCACAGAGTTTAACTTTTCTTTTCAAAGAGCAGTTAGGAAACACTCTCTTTGTAAAGTCTGCAAGTGGATATTCAGACCTCTTTGAGGCCTTCGTTGGTAACGGGATTTCTTCATATTCTGCTAGACAGAAGAATTCTCAGTAACTTCCTTGTGTTGTGTGTATTCAACTCACAGAGTTGAACGATCCTTTACACAGAGCAGACTTGAAACATTCTTTTTGTGGAATTTGCAAGTGGAGATTTCAGCCGCTTTGAGGTCAATAGTAGAAAAGGAAATATCTTCGTAGAAAAACTAGACAGAATGATTCTCAGAAACTCCTTTGTGATGTGTGCGTTCAACTCACAGAGTTTAACCTTTCTTTTCATGGAGCAGTTAGGAAACACTCTGTTTGTAAAGTCTGCAAGGGGATATTCAGACCTCTTTGAGGCTTTCGTTGGAAACGGGATTTCTTCATATTCTGCTAGACAGAAGAATTCCCAGTAACTTCCTTGTGTTGTGTGTTTTCAACTCACAGAGTTGAACTTTCATTTACCCAGAGCAGATTTGAAACACTCTTTTTGTGGAATTTGCAAGTGGAGATTTCAAGCGCTTTGAGGCCAAAGGCAGAAAAGGAAATATCTTCGTTTCAAAACTAGACAGAATCATTCTCAGAAACTGCTGCGTGATGTGTGCGTTCAACTCTCAGAGTTTAACTTTTCTTTTCATTCAGCGGTTTGGAAACACTCTGTTTGTAAAGTCTGCACGTGGATATTTTGACCACTTAGAGGCCTTCGTTGGAAACGGGTTTTCTTCATGTAAGGCTAGACAGAAGAATTCCCAGTAACTTCCTTGTGTTGTGTACATTCAACTCACAGAGTTGAACGTTCCCTTAGACAGAGCAGATTTGAAACACTCTTTTTGTGCAATTGGCAAGTGGAGATTTCAAGCGCTTTAAGGTCAATGGCAGAAAAGGAAATATCTTCGTTTCAAAACTAGACAGAATCATTCCCACAAACTGCGTTGTGATGTGTTCGTTCAACTCACACAGTTTAACCTTTCTTTTCATAGAGCAGTTAGGAAACACTCTGTTGGTAAATTCTGTAAGTGGATATTCTGACATCTTGTGGCCTCCGTTGGAAACGGGATTTCTTCATATTCTGCTAGACAGAATAATTCTCAGTAACTTCCTTGTGTTGTGTGTATTCAACTCACAGAGTTGAACGATCCTTTACAGAGAGCAGATTTGAAACACTCTTTTTGTGGAATTTGCAAGTGGAGATTTCAGCCGCTTTGAGGTCAAAGGTAGAATAGCAAATATCTTCCTATAGAAACTAGACAGAACGATTCTCAGAAACTCCTTTGTGATGTGTGCGTTCAACTCACAGAGTTTAACCTTTCTTTTCATAGAGCAGTTAGGAAACACTCTGTTTGAAAAGTCTGCACGTGGATATTCAGACCTCTTTGAGGCCTTCGTTGGAAACGGGATTTCTTCCTATTCTGCTAGACAGAAGAATTCCCAGTAACTTCCTAGTGTTGTGTGTGTTCAACTCACAGAGTTGAACTTTCATTTACACAGAACAGATTTGAAACACTCTTTTTGTGGAATTTGCAAGTGGAGATTTCAAGCGCTTTGAGGCCAAAGGCAGAAAAGGAAATATCTTCGTATAAAAACTAGACAGAATCATTCTCAGAAACTGCTCTGCGATGTGTGCGTTCAACTCTCAGAGTTTAACTTTTCTTTTCATTCAGCAATTTGGAAACAGTCTGTTTGTAAAGTCTGCACGTGGATAACTTGACCACTTAGAGGCCTTCGTTGGAAACGGGTTTTTTTCATGTAAGGCTAGACAGAAGAATTCCCAGTAACTTCCTTGTGTTGTGTGCATTCAACTCACAGAGTTGAACGTTCCCTTAGACAGAGCAGATTTGAAACACTCTATTTGTGCAATTTGCAAGTGTAGATTTCAAGCGCTTTAAGGTCAATGGCAGAAAAGGAAATATCTTCGTTTCAAAACTAGACAGAATGATTCTCAGAAACTGCTTTGTGATGTGTGCGTTAAACTCACAGAGTTTAACCTTTCTTTTCATAGAGCAGTTAGGAAACACTCTGTTTGTAAAGTCTGCAAGTGGATATTCAGACATCTTTGAGGCTTTCGTTGGAAACGGGATTTCTTCATATTCTGCTAGGCAGAAGAATTCTCAGAAACTTCGATGTGTTGTGTGTTTTCAACTCACAGAGTTCAACGATCATTTACACAGAGTAGACTTGAAACACTCTTTTTGTGGAATTGGCAGGGTGGAGATTTCAGCCGCTTTGAGGTCAATGGTAGAAAAGGAAATATCTTCGTATAAAAACTAGACAGAGTGATTCTCAGAAACTCCTTTGTGATGTCTGCGTTCAACTCACAGAGTTTAACCTTTCTTTTCATAGAGCAGTTAGGAAACACTCTGTTTGTAAAGTCTGCAAGCGGATATTCAGACCTCCTTGAGGGCTTCGTTGGAAACGGGATTTCTTCATATTATGCTAGACAGAAGAATTCCCAGTAACTTCCTTGTGTTGTGTTTGTTCAACTCACAGAGTTGAACTTTCATTTACACAGAGCAGATTTGAAACACTCTTTTTGTGGAATTTGCAAATGGAGATTTCAAGCGCTTTGAGGCCAAAGGCAGAAAAGGAAATATCTTCGTATAAAAACTAGACAGAATCATTCTCAGAAACTGCTGCGTGATGTATGCGTTCCACTATCAGAGTTTAACTTTTCTTTTCATTCAGCGGTTTGGAAACACTCTGTTTGTAAAGTCTGCACGTGGATATTTTGACCACTTAGAGGCCTTCGTTGGAAACGGGTTTTTTGCATGTAAGGCTAGACAGAAGAATTCCCAGTAACTTCCTTGTGTTGTGTGCATTCAACTCACAGTGTTGAACGTTCCCTTAGACAGAGCAGATTTGAAACACTCTATTTGTGCAATTTGCAAGTGTAGATTTCAAGCGCTTTAAGGTCAATGGCAGAAAAGGAAATATCTTCGTTTCAAAACTAGACAGAATCATTCCCACAAACTGCGTTGTGATGTGTTCGTTCACCTCACAGAGTTTAACCTTTCTGTTCATAGAGCAGTTAGGAAACACTCTGTTTGTAAAGTCTGTAAGTGGATATTCTGACATCTTGTGGCCTTCGTTGGAAACGGGATTTCTTCATATTCTGCTAGACAGAAGAATTCTCAGTAACTTCCTTGTGTTGTGTGTATTCAACTCACAGAGTTGCAGGATCCTTTACACAGAGCAGACTTGAAACACTCTTTTTCTGGAATTTGCAAGTGGAGATTTCAGCCGCTTTGAGGTCAATGGTAGAATAGGAAATATCTTCCTATAGAAACTAGACAGAATGATTCTCAGAAACTTCTTTGTGATGTGTGCGTTCAACTCACAGAGTTTAACCTTTCTTTTCATAGGGCAGTTAGGAAACACTCTGTTTGTAAAGTCTGCAAGTGGATATTCAGACCTCCTTGAGGCCTTCGTTGGAAGCGGGATTTCTTCATGTTCTGCTAGACAGAAGAATTCTCAGTAACTTCCTTGTGTTGTGTGTATTCAACTGACAGAGTTGAACTTTCATTTAGAGAGAGCAGATTTGAAACACTGTTTTTGTGGAATTTGCAAGTGGAGATTTCAAACGCTTTGGGGCCAAAGGCAGAAAAGGAAATATCTTCGTATGAAAACTAGACAGAATCATTCTCAGAAACTGCTCTGCGATGTGTGCGTTCAACTCTCAGAGTTTAACTTTTCTTTTCATTCAACAGTTTGAAAACACTCTGTTTGTAAAGTCTGCACGTGGATATTTTGACCACTTAGAGGCCTTCGTTGGAAACGGGTTTTTTTCTTGTAAGGCTAGACAGAAGAATTCTCAGTAACTTCCTTGTGTTGTGTGTATTCAACTCACAGAGTTGAACGATCCTTTACACAGAGCAGACTTGTAACACTCTTTTTGTGGAATTTGCAAGTGGAGATTTCAGCCGCTTTGAAGTCAAATGTAGAAAAGGAAATATCTTCCTATAAAAACTAGACATAAGGATTCTCAGAAACTCCTTTGTGATGTGTGCGTTCAACTCACAGAGTTTAATCTTTCTGTTCATAGAGCAGTTAGGAAACACTCTGTTTGTAAAGTCTGCAAGTGGATATTCAGACCTCCTTGAGGCCTTCGTTGGAAACGGGATTTCTTCATATTCTGCTAGACAGAAGAATTCTCAGTAACTTCCTTGTGTTGTGTGTATTCAACTCACAGAGTTGAACGATCCTTTACACAGAGCAGACATGAAACACTCTCTTTGTGGAATTTGCAAGTGGAGATTTCAGCCGCTTTGAGGTCAATAGCAGAAAAGGAAATATCTTCGTAGAAAAACTAGACAGAATGATTCTCAGAATCTCCTTTGTAATGTGTGCGTTCAACTCACAGAGTTTAACCTTTCTTTTCATAGAGCAGTTAGGAAACACTCTGTTTGTAAAGACTGCAAGTGGATATTCAGACCTCTTTGCGGCCTTCGTTGGAAACGGGATTTCTTCATATTCTGCTAGACAGAAGAATTCCCACTAACTTCCTTGTGTTGTGTGTGTTCAACTCACAGAGTTGAACTTTCATTTACACAGAGCAGATTTGAAACACTCTTTTTGTGGAATTTGCAAGTGGAGATTTCAAGCGCTTTGAGGCCAAAGGCAGAAAAGGAAATATCTTCGTTTCAAAACTATACAGAATCATTCTCAGAAACTTCTCTGCGATGTGTGCGTTCAACTCTCAGAGTTTAACTTTTCTTTTCATTCAGCAGTTTGGAAACACTCTGTTTGTAAAGTCTGCACGTGGATATTTTGACCACTTAGAGGCCTTCGTTGGAAACGGGTTTTTTTCCTGTAAGGCTAGACAGAAGAATTCCCAGTAACTTCCTTGTGTTGTGTACATTCAACTCACAGAGTTGAACGTTCCCTTAGACAGAGCAGATTTGAAACACTCTTTTTGTGCAATTGGCAAGTGGTGATTTCAGCCTCTTTGAGGTCAATGGTAGAAAAGGAAATATCTTCGTATAAAAACTAGATAGAATGATTCTCAGAAACTTCATTGTGATGTGTGTGTTCAACTCACAGAGTTTAACCTTTCTTTTCATAGAGCAGTTGGGAAACAGTCTGTTTGTAAATTCTGTAAGTGGATATTCTGACATCTTGTGGCCTTCGTTGGAAACGGGATTTCTTCATATTCTGCTAGACAGAAGAGTTCTCAGTAACTTCCTTGTGTTGTGTCTATTCAACTCACAGAGTTGAACGATCCTTTACACAGAGCAGACTTGAAACACTCTTTTTGTGGAATTTGCAAGTGGAGATTTCAGCCGCTTTGAGGTCAATGGTAGAAAAGGAAATATCTTCGTATAAAGACTAGACAGAATGATTCTCAGAAACTCCTTTGTGATGTGTGTGTTCAACTCACAGTGTTTAACCTTTCTTTTCATAGAGCAGTTAGTAAACACTCTGTTTATAAAGTCTGCAAGTGGATATTCAGACCCCTTTGAGGCCTTCGTTGGAAACGGGATTTCTTCATATTATGCTAGACAGAAGAATTCTCAGTAACTTCCTTGTGTTGTGTGTATTCAACTGACAGAGTTGAACGTTCATTTAGAGAGAGCAGATTTGTAACACTGTTTTTGTGGAATTTGCAAGTGGAGATTTCAAGCGCTTTGGGGCCAAAGGCAGAAAAGGAAATATCTTCGTATAAAAACTAGACAGAATCATTCTCAGAAACTGCTCTGCGATGTGTGCGTATAACTCTCAGAGTTTAACTTTTCTTTTCATTCAGCAGTTTGGAAACACTCTGTTTGTAAAGTCTGCACGTGGATAATTTGACCACTTAGAGACCTTCGTTGGAAACGGGTTTTTTTCATGTAAGGCTAGACAGAAGAATTCCCAGTAACTTCCTTGTGTTGTGTACATTCAACTCACAGAGTTGAACGTTCCCTCAGACAGAGCAGATTTGAAACACTCTTTTTGTGCAATTGGCAAATGGATATTTCAAGCGCTTTAAGGTCAATGGCAGAAAAGGAAATATCTTCGTTTCAAAACTAGACAGAATGATTCTCAGAAACTCCTTTGTGGTGTGTGCGTTCAACTCACAGAGTTTAACCTTTCTTTTCATAGAGCAGTTAGGAAACACTCTGTTTGTAAAGTCTGCAAGTGGATATTCAGACCTCTTTGAGGCCTTCGTTGGAAACGGGATTTCTTCATATTCTGCTAGACAGAAGAATTCTCAGTAACTTCCTTGTGTTGTGTGTATTCTACTCACAGAGTTGAACGATCCTTTACACAGAGCAGACTTGAAACACTCTTTTTGTGGAATTTGCAAGTGGAGATTTCAGCCGCTTTGAGGTCAATAGTAGAAAAGGAAATATCTTCGTAGAAAAACTAGGCAGAATGATTCTCAGAAACTCCTTTGTGATGTGTGTGCTCAACTCACAGAGTTTAACCTTTCTTTTCATAGAGCAGTTAGTAAACACTCTGTTTATAAAGTCTGCAAGTGGATATTCAGACCCCTTTGAGGCCTTCGTTGGAAACGGGATTTCTTCATATTATGCTAGACAGAAGAATTCTCAGTAACTTCCTTGTGTTGTGTGTATTCAACTCACAGAGTAGAACGATCCTTTACACAGAGCAGACTTGAAACACTCTTTTTGTGGAATTTGCAAGTGGAGATTTCAAGCGCTTTGAGGCCAAAGGCAGAAAAGGAAATATCTTCGTATAAAAACTAGACAGAATCATTCTCAGAAACTGCTCTGCGATCTGTGCGTTCAACTCTCAGAGTTTAACTTTTCTTTTCATTCAGCAGTTTGGAAACACTCTGTTTGTAAAGTCTACACGTGGATATTTTGACCACTTAGAGGCCTTCGTTGGAAACGGGTTTTTTTCCTGTAAGGCTAGAGAGAAGAATTCCCAGTAACTTCCTTGTGTTGTGTACATTCAACTCACAGAGTTGAACGTTCCCTTAGACAGAGCAGATTTGAAACACTCTTTTTGTGCAATTGGCAAGTGGTGATTTCAACCGCTTTTAGGTCAATGGTAGAAAAGGAAATATCTTCGTATAAAAACTAGACAGAATCATTCCCACAAACTGCGTTGTGATGTGTTCGTTCAACTCACAGAGTTTAACCTTTCTTTTCATAGAGCAGTTAGGAAACACTCTGTTTGTAAATTCTGTAAGTGGATATTCTGACATCTTGTGGCCTTCGTTGCAAACGGGATTTCTTCATATTCTGCTAGACAGAAGAATTCTCAGTAACTTCCTTGTGTTGTGTGTATTCAACTCACAGAGTTGAACGATGGTTTACACAGAGCAGATTTGAAACACTCTTTTTGTGGAATTTGCAAGTGGAGATTTCAGCCGCTTTGAGGTCAATGGTAGAAAAGGAAATATCTTCGTATAAAAACTAGACAGAAGCATTCTCAAAAACTCCTTTGTGAGGCTTGTGTTCAACTCCCAGAGGATAACATTGCTTTTCATAGAGCAGTTTTGAAACATTCTTTTCGTTGAGTCTCCAAGTGGACATTTGGAGCGCTTTCAGGCCTGTGGTGGAAAAGGAAATATCTTCACATAAAAACTAGAGAGAAGAATTCTCAGTAACTTCCTTGTGTTGTGTGTATTCAACTGACAGAGTTGAACTTTCATTTAGAGAGAGCAGATTTGAAACACTGTTTTTGTGGAATTTGCAAGTGGAGATTTCAAGCGCTTTGGGGCCAAAGGCAGAAAAGGAAATATCTTCGTTTAAAAACTAGACAGAATCATTCTCAGCAACTGCTGCGTGATGTGTGAGTTCAACTCTCAGAGTTTACCTTTTCTTTTCATTCAGCGGTTTGGAAACACTCTGTTTGTAAAGTCTGCACGTGGATATTTTGACCACTTAGAGGCCTTCGTTGGAAACTGGATTTTTTCATGTAAGGCTAGACAGAAAAATTCCCAGTAACTTCCTTGTGTTGTGTGCATTCAACTCACAGAGTTGAACGTTCCCTTAGACAGAGCAGATTTGAAACACTCTATTTGTGCAATTTGCAAGTGTAGATTTCAAGCGCTTTAAGGTCAACGGCAGAAAAGGAAATATCTTCGTTTTAAAACTAGACAGAATCATTCCCACAAACTGCGTTGTGATGTGTTCGTTCAACTCACAGAGTTTAACCTTTCTGTTCATAGAGCAGTTAGGAAACACTCTGTTTGTAAAGTCTGTAAGTGGATATTCTGACATCTTGTGGCCTTCGTTTGAAAAGGGATTTCTTCATATTCTGCTAGACAGAAGAATTCTCAGAAACTTCCTTGTGTTGTGTGTTTTCAACTCACAGAGTTGAACGATGCTTTACACAGAGTAGACTTGAAACACTCTTTTTGTGTAATTTGCAAGTGGAGATTTCAGCCGCTTTGAGGTCAATGGTAGAATAGGAAATATCTTCCTATAGAAACTAGACAGAATGATTCTCAGAACCTCCTTTGTGATGTGTGCGTTCAACTCACAGAGTTTAACCTTTCTTTTCATAGAGCAGTTAGGAAACACTCTGTTTGTAAAGTCTGCAAGTGGATATTCAGACCTCCTTGAGGCTTTCGTTGGAAACGGGATTTCTTCATATTCTGCTAGAAAGAAGAATTCCCAGTAACTTCCTTGTGTTGTGTGTGTTCAACTCACAGAGTTGAACTTTCATTTACACAGAGCAGATTTGAAACACTCTTTTTGTGGAATTTGCAAGTGGAGATTTCAAGCGCTTTGAGGCCAAAGGCAGAAAAGGAAATATCTTCGTATAAAAACCAGACAGAATCATTCTCAGAAACTGCTGCGTGATGTGTGCGTCCAACTCTCAGAGTTTAACTTTTCTTTTCATTCAGCGGTTTGGAAACACTCTGTTTGTAAAGTCTGCACGTGGATATTTTGACCACTTAGAGGCCTTCGTTGGAAACGGGTTTTTTTCATGTAAGGCTAGACAGAAGAATTCCCAGTAACTTCCTTGTGTTGTGTGCATTCAACTCACAGAGTTGAACGTTCCCTTAGACAGAGCAGATTTGAAACACTCTATTTGTGCAATTTGCAAGTGTAGATTTCAAGCGCTTTAAGGTCAATGGCAGAAAAGGAAATATCTTCGTTTCAAAACTAGACAGAATCATTCCCACAAACTGCGTTGTGATGTGTTCGTTCAACTTTCAGAGTTTAACCTTTCTGTTCATAGAGCAGTTAGGAAACACTCTGTTTGTAAAGTCTGTAAGTGGATATTCTGACATCTTGTGGCCTTCGTTGGAAACGGGATATCTTCATATTCTGCTAGACAGAATAATTCTCAGTAACTTCCTTGTGTTGTGTGTATTCAACTCACAGAGTTGAACGATCCTTTACACAGAGCAGACTTGAAACACTCTTTTTGTGGAATTTGCAAGTGGAGATTTCAGCCGCTTTGAGGTCAATGGTAGAAAAGGAAACTATCTTCATATAAAGACTAGACAGAATGATTCTCAGAAACTCCGTTGTGATGTGTGCGTTCAACTCACAGAGTTTAACCTTTCTTTTCATAGAGCAGTTAGGAAACACTCTGTTTGTAAAGTCTGCAAGTGGATATCCAGACCTCTTTGAGGCCTTCATTGGAAACGGGATTTCTTCATATTCTGCTAGACAGAAGAATTCTCAGTAACTTCCTTGTGTTGTGTGTATTCAACTGACAGAGTTGAACTTTCATTTAGAGAGAGCAGATTTGAAACACTGTTTTTGTGGAATTTGCAAGTGGAGATTTCAAGCGCTTTGGGGCCAAAGGTAGAAAAGGAAATATCTTCGTATAAAAACTAGACAGAATCATTCTCAGAAACTGCTCTGCGATGTGTGCGTTCAACTCTCAGAGTTTAACTTTGCTTTTCATTCAGCAGTTTGGAAACACTCTGTTTGTAAAGTCTGCACGTCGATAATTTGACCACTTAGAGGCCTTCGTTGGAAACGGGTTTTTTTCATGTAAGGCTAGACAGAAGAATTCCCAGTAACTTCCTTGTGTTGTGTGCATTCAACTCACAGAGTTGAACGTTCCCTTAGACAGAGCAGATTTGAAACACTCTATTTGTGCAATTTGCAAGTGTAGATTTCAAGCGCTTTAAGGTCAATGGCAGAAAAGGAAATATCTTCGTTTCAAAACTAGACAGAATGATTCTCAGAAACTCCTTTGTGATGTGTGCGTTCAACTCACAGAGTTTAACCTTTCTGTTCATAGAGCAGTTAGGAAACACTCTGTTTGTAAAGTCTGTAAGTGGATATTCTGACATCTTGTGGCCTTCGTTGGAAACGGGATTTCTTCATATTCTGCTAGACAGAAGAATTCTCAGTAACTTCCTTGTGTTGTGTGTATTCAACTCACAGAGTTGAACGATCCTTTACACAGAGCGGACTTGAAACACTCGTTTTGTGGAATTTGCAAGAGGAGATTTCAGCCGCGTTGAGGTCAATGGTAGAAAAGGAAATATCTTCGTATAAAAACTAGACAGAATGATTCTCAGAAACTCCTTTGTGATGTGTGCGTTCAACTCACAGAGTTTAACCTTTCTTTTCATAGAGCAGTTAGGAAACACTCTGTTTGTAAAGTCTGCAAGTGGATATTCAGACCTCCTTGAGGCCTTCGTTGGAAACGTGATTTCTTCATATTCTGCTAGACAGAAGAATTCCCAGTAACTTCCTTGTGTTGTGTGTGTTCAACTCACAGAGTTGAACTTTCATTTACCCAGAGCAGATTTGAAACACTCTTTTTGTGGAATTTGCAAGTGGAGATTTCAAGCGCTTTGAGGCCAAAGGCAGAAAAGGAAATATCTTCGTATAAAAACTAGACAGAATCATTCTCAGAAACTGCTGCGTGATGTGTGCGTTCAACTCTCAGAGTTTAACTTTTCTTTTCATTCAGCGGTTTGGAAACACTCTGTTTGTAAAGTCTGCACGTGGAAATTTTGACCACTTAGAGGCCTTCGTTGGAAACGGGTTTTTTCATTTAAGGCTAGACAGAAGAATTCCCAGTAACTTCCTTGTGTTGTGTGCATTCAACTCACAGAGTTGAACGTTCCCCTAGACAGAGCAGATTTGAAACACTCTATTTGTGCAATTTGCAAGTGTAGTTTTCAAGCTCTTTTAGGTCAACGGCAGAAAAGGAAATATCTTGGTTTCAAAACTAGACAGAATCATTCCCACAAACTGCGTTGTGATGTGTTCGTTCAACTCACAGTGTTTAACCTTTCTTTTCATAGAGCAGTTAGGAAAC